>NC_000003.12:143099513-143402543 GCF_000001405.40 Homo sapiens
CAGAACTCAAGGGCAGAAAGAAGCTCCTGATTGTGGACTCAGCATTCCTTTTGCTGTCATTGGCTTGCAGTACCATTGGACTAGGTCAGTTTATGTATCTCAGTTGTTTATGTATGTTATTTGGCATGTTTATGTATCTCTAATGTTGCCCATGAGGCTTACCTGCTTATTTGCTGCCAATCAGGTGGCATTTCTGTGGGAGAAATGGGGAGGAGAATGATTGGATGTGGGAGGATAGAGAGAAGATCTTCTTTTCTTAGTTTTCTGTTCTCTGAGCAGTGTTTAGGCATTCAGTAGTCCTTGGGAGACACTGAAATAAAGTTGCTAAAATTCTGCTGGACCTAGTTATTTATGGGCAAAATTAGTACCACATGTTCAGTCTTCTTAAAATTTCCATCCTTCTCTCGTGGGAGATATAAGGACTAGTATCTGCAAGTTGCTTTGAAAGTAAACCATGCAAGCTGATGACATTATCCGCCTTCCTTTGACAGCAAGAATCAGTGATGTGGGAGGTCTTGTAGGTAAATCAAGACTTTGAATCAGGAGGAACCATGGGATTAGACTAAATGTGAGCCCAAATAAACACAGTGCATATTCAGCACTTTGCCATAAATAACCAGATGGATAATATTCTATTGGGGGATTGCAGTGTGGGTTATTTAAAAGGATGTAAAAGATTGCTGACACAGGCTGGGACCAGGGGAAAGCTGTGGGTACATCTGCAACTATTGAGCACATATTTCTAAGGGTTTCCAGCACTACATAAGTAAACGATTGCCTTCTTGAGTGAAATGGGAGCTTCATAAGGGCCGTAAACACCAAACTGATGGCCATGATGGCTGGCCAAATCCAGCTGTTTAAGAAACAATGCCATTCAGCCAAAACATACCAACTGCCACCACCTCTCTTAGGTTCCTCTCCAACACAGCACTCTATGCAGAAGGGCCACATTTGAGAAACGGATACCCAAGAGCCGTGACCTGGTGACACCAGCAAAAATGCTCCAAATATGTAAAGATGTTGTGGCTTCCACATTATTGTGGACAGAGCTAAACAAGCCAGAGATCCAAAAGCTTCCAAAGCAGTGCCATGCATGTTAACTGAGAAGAATTAATTTTCACCAGTAGGAGAGCGCTTCCTTCTGTCATCAGTGACTACTGTTCCTGCTTCGTTGGTGCTGCCATTCTGCCAAGCACAACACCACATGTCATGATGTCGTACATCAAATTTGCATTCTTCGGGCACAGAGTCCAGGCAGTGGCAATGGCTATACATTTGCATGGCTCACTATGATGAGTATACAATGATGAACTACAATGACAGGTCAAAATCACACCAGTCTCCTTGTTCTAGGCAGATGAGATACTGGGGATAAAAGAAACAAAATATCCATCATTAAAATAATGATGGGAAAAAAATCTGGGTGAACCCAGGTGCTTGTCATAAAAATCAAAACAGTATCTCGCTACAATAAATTCCTAATTTCTTATGCTGCATAAAAATTTCATTAAGCCAATTAGATCCTGAAATAAATGACAAATGGAACACTGGCTGGAGGTTAAGAAAACAACATTTTCATAGAAAGGCTAGGGGTTTAGGTTATTTGTTGAATTGGAATTTGACCTGTGGCATTACAATGCAGATTGTCTCCAAAAACTGTAAGTGGGGCATGGATTTGCAGAAGAGACTTTTCTGCATAATAAGTTGTGTCCTAACAATAAAATTGTGCATAAAAATTGACAGCTAACAAGGCAAAGCAAAGAAACAGTGCACGAAATCAACAAAACATTTTGTGCTCTAGAAATGGATGTGGCAGAAACTGTACTTGAGCTGAAAAGTTGTTCCTTTGAAGTAAGTAGAACTACATGTAATGTTGTGACTGAGAAAAGAGAAACCTATAGAAGGACGAAGATATATCGTCTGAAAACTAATGAGATGTTACATTTTGAACCAAAATCGCATCTAACTTTTCAGCATGTAATTAGGCAAGATCTGAGCCAAAGTATAAAGAGTTGACATAAAATTTTGGGAATACGGCTGGGTGCGGTGACTCACGCCTGTAATCCCAGCACTTTGGGAGGCTGAGGCGGGCAAATCACCTGAGGTCAGGAGTTGAAGACCAGTCTGGCCAACATGGTGAAACCCCGTCTCTACTAAAAATACAAAAATGAGTTGGGCGTGGTGGCGCGTACCTCTAGTCCCAGGTACTTGGGAGGCTGAGGCAGGAGAATCGCTTGAACCTGGGAGGCGGAGGTTGCAGTGAGCCAGGATCCCACCACTGCAGTCCAGCCTGGGTGACAGAGCAAGACTCTGTCTCCAAGAAAACAAACAAACAAGAAACTTTGGGAATTCACAATTCAGCAACTGCGATAGAAGATGAAAGGGGGAAAGAGACTAATAATAGAACTGAGAAGACGCGGAATGAAACCAACTAGATTGAGAGCTACTTTCTTTATTCAGTGTTTTCCCCTGTTGGGTTTTTAATCCTGTGATGCCAAATGATATCTGTATGAAATTGTACATTCCACTTCACTCACCAGTACACCATAGAAATTACACACATAAGCACAGAGATCACCTGTGGAAAATTCCATGTCTCTGCATAAGAGTTTATAAGTTACACGGATAAGAGATAACATTGCCTAGAATAGAATTTGCTTCTGTGTGTGGCAATGTACACTGTGAGACTCACGACGTGCCCAGGGCGCTTGTCTTTCTTCATAGAGAACCAGTGTCACAATGTGTTGCTACTGTAATGAAGTGTGGCTATAATTTCTTTTTCTTTCTGGCTAATGCAAGCAAAGCAGCTATTTCTGCTGCTTTTGGTACATGTGGAGGTTTAAGGTGGTGGGCTAATTTTGGGGAATTTTTAAGCATTATTTTACTTATTTTTACAGGCCCTCATACAGTTGTACAGGTTATATCTGGCAACAAATCACCAGTGTTGCAGTGAATGCCACTGAAATCCATCCTGCATCTGCCCTCTGGCTGTGTACCCTGGTGAGGAGCTGCATAGGAGAGAGGAGGGAGACACATCTCTCTCTCTTTTAAAGTATTATGAAGTAATTTATTATTTTATATTATTATAATGTCATTATTGTTATTATTATTTAGATTGAATTTCACTCTGTTGCCCAGGCTGGAGTGCAATGGTGTGATCTTGGCTCACTGCAACCTCCGCCTCCCAGGTCCAAGCGATTCTTCCACCTCAGCCCCCTCAGTAGCTGCGACTATAGGCGCCTGCCATCACACCTGGCTAATTTTTTGTATTTTTGGTAGAGACAGGGTTTCACCATGTTGGCCAGGCTGGTCTCAAACTCTTGACCTCAAGTGATCCACCTGACTTGGCATCCCAAAGTGTTGAGATTACAGGTGTGGGCCACCGTGCCCGGTCCATTCTTTTTTAATTTCAAGTTTTATTTTAGATTCAGGGGGTACATGTAGGTTTGTTACATGGGTACGGTACATTGTGTGATGCTGAGCTTTGGGGTATGAATGATCCCATCACCTAGGTAGTGAGCATAGTAACCAACAGGTAGTTTTTCAACCCTTTTCTCCCTCTTTCTCTCCCCTCATAGTAGTCCCTAGTATCTACTGTTGCCATCTTTATGTCTATATGTGCCCAGTATTTAGCTTCCACTTGTGAGAGCATCAGTATTTGGTTTTCTGTTCTTACATTAATTCACTTAAGATAATCACTTCCAGCTGCTTCCATATTGCTGGAAAAGACATGATTGTGTATTTTTATGGCTGTGTAGTGTTCCATGGTGTACATGCACCACATTTTCTTTAACCAATCCACTGTTGATAGGTTCCTAGGTTGATTCCTTATCTTTGCTTAGTGCTTTGATGAAACATATGAGTGCATGTGTCTTTTTGGTAGAATGGTTTATTTTCCTTAGGATATATACCAAGTAATAGGATTGCTGGGTCAAATGGTAGTTCTGTTTTAAGTTGCTCGAGAAAGCTCCAAACTGCTTTCCAGAGTGGCTGAACTAATTTACACTCCCACTGAGAGTAGCAGGAGGCAGCCAAATGCCTAGGCAGAGAGGGTTGGGTCTCTGGTGAAACCCCACCTCCAAGCCAAAGGCATTTTAAAGCCTGAAAGCCAAGCTACAGGTTAAATCCTTGGACCAGACTGAGAACTTGTCTTCTTATTTGGCGTACTTTCTTCTAGTTGATCTTCACCCTTAACCTATTTTACATATACCTACCCTTTCCTAATTGGTGTTCTACACAATCATGCCCACCTTTGAGTGGTGCCTTCACTTTAACCATTCTTTTTGCATACTCAAAACCAATCAGCACATACTTCCCACTCTGAGTCCATAAAAAGCCCCGGACCCAGCCACACTGGGGACTTTCCTGCCTTTGTGTAGGGTGCCCACCCCCACATCCTCTCTCTGCTGAAAGCTGTTTCATCACTTAATAAAATTCTCTGCTGCTGGCATTTTGGGAGGCTGAGGTGGGCAGATCATGAGGTCAGGAGTTAAAGACCAGCCTGGCCAACATGGTGAAACCCCATCTCTACTAAAAAAAAATACAAAAAATTAGCTGGGCATCATGGCAGTTGCCTGTAATCCCAGCTACTTGGGAGGCTGAGGCAGGAGAAACGCTTGAACCCGGGAGGCAGAGGTTGCAGTGAACCGAGATTGTGCCACTGCATTCCAGCCTCAGCAACAGTGCGAGACTCTATCTCAAAAAAAAAAAAATAAATAAATAAAATTCTCTGCCCTCCTCACCCTTCAATGTCGAGCATATTCTCATTCTTCTTGGGTGTGGTACAAGAGTTTGGGAATCACTGAACATGGGTACAAGCTATAACACAGGTGAGCTGAGGCATGCCAGAGTGGCCAAACAGGGCCCAGATGGGAGGTCCCTGGCTTGCAAAGTGACCAAGAAGAAAAATCCTACATTATTTTGGGGGCTTGTCTGGGATACCTGAAGAGCAAATAAATGTAGACCTAGACTCTTCACTTTTTTCTGAGGATTCTTGTCCTCAGACTTTTTTTCTGAAGGCAGATGAAGTGCTGAACCTCTGGTGAGACCATTAAGAATGAATGGCCTGGCTACAGAGGACAGGGTGCTGGAGAGGTCCCCAACGCCCCAGCCAATTGCTCTCGGGGTTTGGGAATGTTGGCCTCGTTCCAATCCAGCAGTCTTTTCTATGTTATTTTTCTTCTTTTCTGGGGGCTGTCATGGTGCCTATTTCTTCTTTTATAATGTTAAGGGTGTTGCATATTGCAGAGATATTACTAGGTAGAATGAGCATTTGGCCTAGCCATCAGATATGCAATTCAGAACAATGTGATTTCTGCCTGGCAAGGAGGGTACAGTGATCCAAGGGTTTTTCCCCTGCTGAAGGAACCCATTTTCATAGATCAAGAGGCTTTTTTCCCCAGGCACCTTCCCCCGTGCACTTAAGCTTTTTTTTTTTTTCTTTTCTCCACCATGTCAGGAGTTCACATAGCCCTGCAAATACAGGGAGCTTTTCTGTGTGAGAGGTTTTTTTCCTTTTGAAAGGTGTCTTACTAGGCCAGGACCCAATTCATGGTACTCCCTAACTTAATGAGTCTATGCATCCTCCTGAGACACCTTTTTGTCCCAAACTCAATTCCAAGCTTCAGGTTGAAGCCCTAGAAAGAAAAGCTAGATCTGAGGGATCCAGAGGCAGACAACAACAGAAGTCAAGGGGAACAGCACAGGTGAGCATGACTAATTCCTGCTGATTAGGTGCCCCCTCCTCCATTTCGTGGATAGAGGTCATGCTAGTATCCATGGCATAAATGAGATCTGGGAAACTCAAAGGTTACCGACAGCATGGGGTATAGGTAGTGCGTGGGTGAGTGTGGATAATTCCTACCACCTGGGTCTCCTGTTAACACGGGTGAAAGCTGCATTGGCACCCATGGGTGGCACCCTGCTGAGATCACCAGGACTCGGGATATAAGGATGGAAGAAAGAAGGGGAATGTCTTTTCTTTCTGACCCTCACATACCCTGGTATTTGCTGGGAAGAGAAAGGAACTAAGGGACAGTCTTCCCCCCCCTTTTCAAATGGGTAAGCAATCATCTTCAGTCTGTATTTCTCTCAAATGCCCCCTGAATCACTGGGACTCCTTTGCAAAAAAGAACTTTTATTTTTTTTCCTTTTCTTCCTCTGTCCTCTCTTTGTGGATAGGTAATCGTGTCCCTGTACCACAGGACACTCCCCTCAGATGCATTCCCCAAACAGGGAAAAGCTAATTTCCCCAAACCTTAAACTGCTTGGCTTAAAATTGAACTTGGGGGAAGGGAACCCAGAAACCTGACATGCCGGCAAAGGGTAAAGTTTTTTTTAACCAGTCGTACTTCTGACCTTTCTCTCCCTGTGCAAACTGGTAAAGGAATGGTAAAGATCACTGTAAAATTTTGAAAAAAAAAACTAGATGAGGTCTCATCTTGTTTTATATCCTTGGGAGCTTGACCTTGTAACAATGTGGCAGTACTTTCTTTTGGTCTCTGCCATTTTACAATGGGAATGAGTACTTTCTAGTTAATATCTCCCCTCGAAGAACAGCTTCTAACTTCCTTTCTTAAATCTTCCTTTCTCTGAGCTACCTTTAAAGATTTCAGATTTTGTGAAAACTGCTTACCACCTATTTGAAAATACCTTGTATGCTCGTAGTTAAGTCATAACCTTAGTTGAGGCTTGTTGGTTTCACCTGTGAGGTTACTTTTGGTAAAGTTCAAAAGCCAGAAATATTGGCCACTTGGCTAAAGTCGGGTAACAAAGGATTTAAAAGTATTTTCTTAAAGAATGTTATGGTTAAAAGCCAGCTTAACTAAAAGTAGATATCCAAGCTATAGGTATATTTAAAAGATCTTCTTTTTTTTCTCTTATTGGATCTTGTGTTGCTGGAAGATGTTTTGTCTCCTCAGTTGACTGAATTATTTTTCTCCATTTTGTCTTGCCACTCAATGCACACATAAGAGGCCCTAAGGGAACTTCTGAGAGCATGGGACTCCTTGGGAAAAACAGAGAAGGTGCCACGGACTCTGTTTAGGAAAAAAGACCTCCTTTTTCCTCATGAAACCCCAGGAATTAAAAGCAGATATATCCCTCTCAAAATCTGTTTTTGTCATCCAGCTATGCCTGTTTCTTATGCCCTAGAAACTGCATGTTTTCCTAGCCCTGTTTGTTTAAGGGCTCCACCCTGAAGCCAGTAATCCAATTAGTAGATTGGTAAATGAAAAATCCTACAACTACTGGATCTTCTTCTGTCTGCCTGTGTAATTATATATGTGTTATATGTGTGATGTTTATAAAAAAGAGCTCTAACTGATTGGCCTAAAGAAAAATAAGCGCTTAGATCAATTTTTTTTGAAGAAACAAAAGCTGTAATGCCTTTTAGTTCATGTGACTTTCATATTTGAGAAATAAAAACAGCTTTAAAGATAATTGGTAAAATACAAATGTCTTCAAAATGTAAATATATGGTGTAGATTATGCAGGTCAGACACTAGGTTTGCTAAATGTTTTAAGGTTATAAACTGCTTCTTTGGCTTTTGAAAATTTGTTCAACTTGCCTGCTTTACAGTTTGGTAAGGCCTGGGGACATATGGCATTAACTATGCCCCTAACTATGCTGGGAAGTGTCAGACCTTAGCTGCACCTAGCACATAATTAAAATAACTTACCAGGTTTTACATTAAAATTAAAAATTGGTAAGTGTTACCATTATAACATTTAATTGAGACTACTCAAAATAGATTTACATGCAAGGTGTGTAAGAAAAGTAAAACATGTTTTTAGTAAAAATTACAAGAAGGCATGAAAATGTAAATTTTTGTGTAGTTTAAAGGGTTAAAAGATTGTTTTAAATTAAATAAGATAAAGCTAAAGGCTTAACCAAGTTGTGGAAGGTTTGTAAAAATTAATCTTGTAAGAGAAACTCTGTGCATGAACATATTGACTAGATTCAAAAGGATATTATATGGTTTTTCCATAAATTGAGCATTGAAATAAAAGCACAAGATTTTCTTAAGGCACTAATCTGCTCTTTAACAAAAACTTATAAAGGGTTATAAAAGGTCTATAAGAATCTCACCTCATGACCAAACTAGTTAAGATTGGATAGAATTATTTATAAGGTTTCATTAAAAAATTGTGGTTGACATTAATAGCAGACTAATGCGAGGGCGAAATTAGATTTTCTCTCTTTTGAACAAGATTTTCATGTAATAGTAAAGGATAATGAAAGGTTTTTGCCTTTTAAAAAATTCTTGAGTCATCATTTTGGCTAAATGACTTGTGGTAACCTGGAATTTTATTTCAAACTATCAAGTGTTTTGAACATTTAGCATGTTTGATAGGCCTCCCAAAATCAAATTTCAGCTTCAAAATTGTCTTTTCTAAATCCTTACTTTTGGATGCTACAGAGGGCCCCTGGAGCATCCGAAAGAGAGGTAAACAGGATTATTTGACGTGTTTATTTATTTGGGATTGCCAAAATAAGGTTTAACCTTCAGGTTATATTTCAGTGAATAATATTAATATATGTCCCAAAATTGTATAGGATTTCTAAAATTCTAATATCTGAGTATATGTTATCAATCATGATTAAGGTTATATTATTGCAAACCACAGAAATAAGCAAATTCCTTTGTCAATCATATTTTTGACTGTGACTACCCAAAGACATTTTGTCATTCACAGACAATTGTTGCTTTGTTTTGATCCTCTTCAAACTATGGTTTATAATCAGCTATAGGACTTTGACAGCTGATCTCAAATGCAGGTTTCTGATAGCTTTGGATATTGTAACACTGGAATAGAGGAAAACATACAGGACTCATGAAGAGCTGAAATGTTCATGAATATCAAGCCAACAAGAGTAACTGAATGGACTGAACTAACATAAAACTGAAGTAATCTTTTTAAACTTTTTTGCTTAAAACACTGCTGATCTTTGTTTTGTTTTTCAGAGCCAAGGAAACTTTTCTTTTGAGCTATCTACAGCTTTTAACAATTGAGTAAGGTATACTCCTGTGAACAAAATTTGAGGCATATTTGTTTCTCTCTGCCTGGTTTCTCTAGAATTTGGAAACTGAATATTCTTAACTTATGGCAACATAGCTATTTGCATCAGTGCAATCAACAAGAATCCATTTTGTTTTGCAGCAGGATGCAGCTGGAGAAACTGGTTGTTTTACCAAGGCTTGGACTGGAAAGGGCATGCTTCCCTTAAAAAAATCAAGCTTGACTTGCAGAGCCAATAAAAGCCTGTTGGGAAAACCGGCCTCATACCTTGTCTACCTAGTCCCTATACAGGGTTCCTAACCTGTGGTGAGTAAAGAATGTCACTTCCTAACAGGCCCAGGAGCCCCATGTCATCTTGGGACCTCAAGAAGAGAGGAATTTAGGCTGGGTGCGGTGGCTCATGCCTGTAATCTCAGCACTTTGGGAGGCCGAGGTGGGTGGATCACTTGAGGCCAGGAGTTTGAGACCAGCCTGGCCCAAATGGTGATGTCCCATCTCTACTAAAAATACAAAAAAATTAGCTGGGCATGGTGGCACTTGCCTGTAGTCCCAGCTACTCGGGAGACTGAGGCAGGAGAATCGCTTGAACCCGGGAGGCGGAGAGTGCAGTGAGCCAAGATTGTACCACTACACTCCAGCCTGGGCAACAGAGTGAGACTCCATCTCAAAAAAAAAAAGAGGAATTTACCCAACTCATAGGTATTTGAGGGTACAAACCCATGGCTGGGCTCAGCTTTAAAAGGTATTATCTGAGATTCCTGAACAGAGTTCCATCAAAGCCATTTTTTTTTTTTTTTGAGACAGAGTCTTACTCTGTCGCCCAAGCTGGAGTGCAGTGGTGTGATCTTGGCTCACTGCAACCTCCGCCTCCCGGGTTCAAGTGATTTTCCTGCCTCAGCCTCCCAAGTAGCTGGGATTACAGGTGCCCACCACCATGCCTAGCTAAATTTTTTGTATTATTAGTAGAGACGGGGTTTCACCATTTTGATCAGGCTGGTCTTGAACTCCTGACCTCAGGTGATCCACCTGCCTCGGCATCCCAAAGTGCTGGGATTACAGGCGTGAGCCACTGTGCCCGGCCCCATCAAAGCCAATTTTAAAAGCCTATGTGAAAAATAATTATTCTTGCTGCACTTGATGCAAATAATCAGGCCAAGTATAAGACTAAAGCTTATTTTGCGAACAATTCAGTCCTATCATTTTTTTTTAACTAAAATGATGACTGGAGAGAGAAAAATTATTTTTTAAAAGTTATCATATACTTGTTATTAAATTCTAGTCTTATTAGTTAAATTTTTGCCTACCTTTTAGACTAACTCTGCTTATTCCTGTGAACCAACCAGTGATCTCCGGCTGCAGCTCAGAAGAAACAGAAGGGATGGGTAATGTAAAAATCTGGATCAGCATTCTAGTTCTGGGCAATTACCCTGCAAATCCTGTCAGGTGATAGGTGTAAATAGGGTGTGGTACAAGAGCTCAGGAATGGCCCAACGCGGGCACAAGCTATAACACAGGTGAGCTGGGGCATGCTAGCGTGTCCAAGTGGGGCCTGGGAGGGGTATTGCTGGCTGGAGGTCCCTGGCTTGCAAAGTGACTGAGAAGAAAAAATCCTACATCACTGCCAATAAGCGTTCCCTTTTCTCTGAAGCCTTGCCAGCATCTGTTATTTTTTGCCTTTTTAATATAGCCATTCTGGACCTGTCTCTCTAATTTTCACAAGTGCACTGCATGGGCTAGCAGCTGCTCAGAAGAAGGCTTTACTATGCACCTGATAACCTCATGCAACAGAAAAGGCAGGGGGGCTCAGTTCACCCACCTGCACAACACTGAGTTATTTATTGTGGAGGTTTACTCAACATTAAATACTATAGTGGCTGCTACCATGCTTCCCAAACTTGAATGTGGACCAATCACTCAGAGGTCTTGTTAAAATGCAGATTCTGACACAGGAGGTGTAGGCCCTGAGATTCCGCAGTTCTAGCAAGCTCTCAGGTGACTCCAATTCAGCCGATCCACTGACCACACTTTGGATAGCAAGGCCAAGTGGATGTCAAGACCAATGAAAGTCACAGGTGAACTGGCTGCGAAGGGCCTCTTCCTCTCCGCTGATCACTGAAATCTCCTCTCCATCTTTCTTCCCTTACAAACCTCAAGCAGAACCCTCCCTGCCCCGCAAAAGGACCTCACCAAAACAAGTCCCCAATGTCCTTATCAAGAAAGGGGTAAAGAAAGTGATACAGCATCCTGTTTGTAGATCCTGAATTCTTCTTTTAACCGGCTTTATCTCCTCCCCAGGAAAAAGAGGCTCTTAGCCCTGGGCTTTCACTGGGGGTTGGGGCAGAATTATTATTTCCTAACCAGTCAGTGCCGTGCCATGACATGGGCTTTATTTCTGAGCTCTCTCCAGGTTTTCCTAGCCATTCTATGAGACAGCTATTAGCTCTGTATTATAGATGGGGAAAACTGAGGCCTGAAGAAATTTCATATCTTTTCCAAGAACATAGACCCAGAAAGTAAACCTGTAAGGAATTCAATCTAGGGTTGATTCCAAATTCTGTACCGGAGCTGATCTGGTTTCTAAATTTCAAGGAACTTAATTTTTTTCTGCCAATAAAGAGGTTTTCCAATTGGCAACCTTTTAAATCAGATTCTGCAGTACCTGATGTAGAAGTGACATTGAAGGCATGGGGGTATTACAGTAGACATTGCTTTATTTGTTTAAACAGAATTCTATTACTGAAGAGCCATATGAATGTCTCTTGGAGTTTCTACTAATGTGACATTTTCTCTGCTTCCTCATGAGAGTTGACTTTGATGACTGGTTACTTATTTTATTTTATTTTTTTTGAGATGGAGTCTTGCTCTATCACCCAGGCTGGAGTGTAGTGGCATGATCTCGGTTCACTGCAACCTCCGCCTCCCGGGTTCAAGTGATTCTCCTGCCTCAGCCTCCCAAGTAACTGGGAATTACAGGCACCTGCCACCACACCAGCTAATTTTTGTATTTTCAGTAGAGACGGGGTTTCACCATGTTGGCCAGGCTGGTCTCAAACTCTTGACCTCAGGTGATCTGCCCGCCTTGGCCTCCCAAAGTGCTGGGATTACAGATGTGAGCTACCGTGCCGGGCTGGTTACTTATTTTTAAAGCATTTCTGATCATCTACTAAAACCGCAGTGTTGAAGCTTTTCCAGGATTTCAAATGTTGTATTTCAGAATACAGCAAGGCTCATCTCTCCTGAGCCATTAGGACCAGGTGGTACTTTCACCAGGTCCCTCTAAGCACCCAGTCATCAGGGGCAGGCCCCCATGGAGAGAACAGGCTTGTTTCAGGGAGGAATTCCCAGAAGCTGGAGCTCCAGACAGAGGTGAGGGACAGTGGTCAGCGCAAGGCACACTGGACAGAGCTGACTTCAGTCCTATCTGGTGGGTTCATAACTCATGAATCATGGGAAACTGAGGGGAAAGCCCAGGGGAAAATTGAAATAATTTTCAAAATGGTTCAAGACCACTTTCTAATTGAGGGTAGCAAAAGATGCAGCTTCTACTGTTGGGAAGGTTTGGCAGGGAGCTGTGGAAAGAGGTGACAGAAACTAAGTCTCTTGTTTCTCTGCAGGAGTTTCTCCAAGAAGCTTCTTCCTAGAAGCTCATCATCCCTACTCACTTTGGGGTGAAAATAGCTTTGCAAAACCTGCTCAGATGAGTCAGCAGGCCAGACCTCCAGAGCGGTGGATGTAGTCCACACGAAATTGCCTTTAGTGAACTGAGCATTGATGTTATACCATTTGATTGCATTGATTTGGTTTATAAGAACCAGCACATCCCTAGCTGACTCTACAGTAGTTTTTATTGTAGAGATATATTGAAGGACATAGTCTACTTTCTGTAACACATAATTCTTTTATAAGGGGCCAGAGTAAGTCAGTCAATAAATATGTATTGAGCACTTATGTGCCAGACACTGGGCTATTCCCTTTATTGAGAATAAAGCAGTAAATAAAGAAATCACATGAGTGAAGCTCACATTATTGAAGGAAGGTAAGATTTTTTTCTTGAGTCCCTATGTCAGGCAAAGCTGTGAATCTCTTAAGCGATTTTACAATTTTCCTTCTTCTTTTTTTTTTTTTTTTTTTTAGACAGGGTCTCACTCTGTCACCCAGGCTGGAGTGCAGTGGTGAGATCTTGGCTCACTGCAACCTCTGCCTCCCACCTTAAGTGGTTCAAGCGATTCTCCCACTTCAGCCTCCCAAGTAGCTGGGGTTATAGGCATTACCACCATGCCTGGCTAACTTTTATATTTTTTGGTAGAGACAGGGTTTCACCATGTTGGCCAGGCTGGTCTCGAATTCCTGACCTCAAGTGATCTGCCTGCCTTAGCCTCCCAAAATGTTGGGATTACAGGTGTGAGCCATCACACCCAGCTAATTTTCCTTTTTTACTATGATTACTGGGAAACTCAAAGCGGTTTTGTTGTTGCTGTTTGCCTCTAGCAAATGCAAAACCTTATGGAATGAATTGTTACACAGACCATACCCCTGGATTTATGTTATTTTCCTTTTTATCATTTTTTTTTGTTTTATTCTTTGTGAACTACCTCACATACCTACTATCTTAAAAAAAAAAAGATAGAGGGGGCTATAACTAAATAATAGTAAAATAACCCAGAAAGTCTTTGGGACAGAAATCAAGAGATAATTATAATGATAATTAGATGTGTTTTTGGAAGTAAATCCAATGAGAAGAGTACACTCGTTATTGTAAAGGCAATCCTGGCTGTCAGGGGTCACAAGGGAGCAGCCCAGCCAGTGATGGTGACAATCAAGCCCAAGGAAAGATGTGAATGATGAGGCCACTGATGTTGATGTGCGGCAGAGACGGAGTTCCTTAGGATGACTGGCTCTCTAGAAACCAGAATTTAAAAGTGGGGATTCAAAGAGAAAGCCCCATTGTAAGGACAGATGGAGAACAAGGCACAGGGACAAAAGCATGAATGAAACCAAATCTGTAATTAGGCAGTAAGCCAGCCTGTCAATTAGAGTTTTTTTTTTTGTTTGTTTGTTTTGAGATGGAGTCTTGCTCTGTCACCCAGGCTGGTATACAGTGGCACAATCTCGGCTCACTGCAACTTCTGCCTCCTGGGTTCAAGCGATTCTCCTGCCTCAGCCTCCCAAGTAACTGGGATTACAGGTGCATGCCACCACGTCTGGCTAATTTTTTGTATTTTTAGCAGAGAAGGGGTTTCACTGTGTTGGCCAGGCTGGTCTTGAACTCCTGACCTCAAGTGATCCACCTGCCTTGGCCTCCCAAAGTGCTGAGATTACAGGCATGAGCCACTGCACCCAGCCAGAAATTTTTGATTGTAAATAACAGAAATGGACGGTGAGTAACATAAGCAGGAGGCGAAAGGGATTTGGGGAAGCATTTGGGGTAGCTCACAGACTTTAAACAAAGAACAAACAATAGTCTTAAAAAGGGTAGGGTCCCTTCTGAGAGATAATGAGCCATTGCTTTAGGGCTCTGCTGTTGGCCCGAGAGGGCAGCAACCATTTTCCTTCTTATGAATCTCTCTGCTAAAGATTCAGATTGCTTGGCACATGGTGGGAACTCAATACATATAGGATGACCGAATGAGTGACTGAGTGAATGAATGAATGCAACTTTCATGGAGAGAACATCTAATTGGTTGAGCTTGGGTCATGTACCTGCCCCTTGGGAGGAGGGGAGGAGTACTTTGGCTGAAGGTCCCACCAAATCCACGTACAATGGGGTGCATTGGTTCAGATACTGTTACCACAGAAAAGAATGGATGTGGGTCAGGCAGAACCCAATAGGATGCCTACCACAGGGAACAGAGCAATGGCTGGCAGACTAGAGAAGTCAGTGGTTATAGGTGTGGTGGCGGAGCATCTCCTGGTCCAGCTAGCTAGCTCCTGTCCTCTAATATCTGGAAGGAAAAAACTGCAAGAAGAAGCCACAGGCTTTGTTACCAATCTTCCAGGCTGGGGTGAGACCCGGGAAGTAGACAGCTGGGCTAGGTCTCAAAGGTGAAGATGCAGAAAGGCTGAGGAACTCCAAGTGGAGTCTGGGGAAGAGAGAGGGGTGCTCAAAGACAACACCAGAGTGACACATTTAGAAATTAGCTACATATGTTCTTAGAGAAGCAAACCTGTGTGCGCTTCTCCCATAACATCCATTTTGTGCTTCTTCTTTTTCTTATTTCCCCTTCCTGCCCCCTGCCACCACCTCCTCCTTTTTTCTGAGACAGGGTCTTGCTGTATCACTCAGGCTGGAATGCACTGGCACCTACATGGCTCACTTCAGCCTTGAACTCATGGGCTGAATGAAGTGAGCCTCCCACCTCAGCCTTCGAGTACCTAGGACTACAAGCCTGTGCCACTATGCCCAGCTAATTTTTAATATTTTTTGTAGATATGGGGGTAAGGGGTAGTGGGAGGGTTTTGGGGGGCGGGTCTCTCTATGTTGCCCAGGCTGGTCTCAAACTCCTGGGCTCAATTGATCCTCCTACCTTGGTCTCCCGAAGTGCTGGGATTATAGGAGTGGGCCACTGTGCCCAATCTGTGCTTCTTAACAAATTGATTTTTAAAGTCTATGTTAAGGAAACCCCTTCAGGTTTTGTAAACCAGGCACACCCCAATCAGGTAGACAGCATAATCGCATTCACTGGGCTAGACCTCATCCCCACTCAGGGCTTCTGCACTTGCAGTATCGTCTGCATGCAACTCTCATCCCTCAGTTTTCATCTGGCTGCATCCTCATTCTTTGCAAGGGTCACCTCCCCTTTGCAAACCTTACTTTCCCAATTTAAAAATAGCTGTTTCCAGTCACTCTCCATCACATTAATATTTTATTTCTTCTATAGTACTTACCATTCTCAAAAATAATCTTATTTGTTTAAATGTGTGTGCACTGAGTATCTCCCACTCTAGAGTGTAAACTTCATGAAGGTAGGGTCTAGGCCTGTCTGCTTCACTTTTGCATCTCACATAGCTAGACCAGCACCTGGTACATTATAGGTGCTTACTAAATATTTATTGTCATCCTTATATTTCTGGGATAAACCCAAATTGGTTCTAGTTTATTGTCCTTTTTTCCCCACTTGAGTGGATTTGTTTTGCTTATATTTTATTTAAGAGTTTTATGTATAAATTAATCAGAGACAGTACCAAATTTCTTCTCTGAAATCCCTCTGTAGTTATTATCCCCTTTGAATGAGTTGGGGGAAATATTCCCTCTTGTTCTCTTCTCTGATAGAGATAAGACTGAAACAATCTAGTTCTTGAAAGTTTGGTGGAACCCTCCTTTAAATCCCTCTGGTAATAGTGTTGTTTCAATTTGTAAGTACTGTTTTTCTTCTTTTTCTTTCTTTTCCTTCCTTTTCTTTTTTTTTGAGACAGAGTCTCATTCTGTTGCCCAGGCTGGAGTGCAGTGGCGCGATCTTGGCTCACTGCAACCTCTGCCTCCCGGGTTCAAGCAATTCTCCTGCCTCAGCCTCCCGAGTAGCTGGGACTACAGGTGCGCACCACCAAACCAGGCTAATTTTTGTATTTTTAGCAGAGACGGGGTTTCAGCCTGGTCTCAAACTCCTGACCTCGGGTGATCTGCCCAACTCGGCCTCCCAAAGTGCTGGGATTACAGGTGTGAGCCACCGTGCCCAACCTCTTTTTCTTTTTTTTTTTTTTGAGACTGGGTCTCACTCTGTTGCCCAGGTTGGAGTGCAGTGGCACCATTATGGCTCACTGCAGCCTTGACCTCCTGGGGTCAGGTAATTCTCCCATCTCAGTCTCCCGAGTTGCTGGGACTACAGGCATGCACTGCCACACTTGGCTAATTTTTTTGTAGTTTTTGTAGAGATGGGGTTTTGCCATGTTGCCCAGGTTGGTCTCAAGCTCCTAGGCTCAAGTGATATGCCCACCTCAGCCTCCCAAAGTGTTGGGATTACAGGCATGAGCCACCGTGCCCGGCCATAAGTAGTCTTGTATCTTTTTGAGATTGTTAAAGCAAGTTGTTTTTCCTTCCTGTTAGAACTTTATCATTTCATCTCAGTTTCTAAACTAAGTAGAGCGGTTACTCTTGGAGGTTTTTGGGCTGTGTAATGGGTTCATGCATATTCATTATATTAAAACATAGGACATTTAAAAGGGCCACTTGGACTAACAATGGCAGCATATCTTAAATCAAGGATTATGAGTAACCTGAATCTATAATCTCAAGTTCTATTGAAAATGCATATTTGTTCAAAATATGAGGGAGTGAATCTATCTTGGTGCCCAGGGGCAAACATTTTCCAAAGGTGAATCTTCTAGGATTCACACAGATAGGCCCAAATGGGAACTGTTCAGGTAACCCAGCCTTGCATCTTTCCCCAGTTCAGACTCTGGAAGAAAGTCCTTGAAGATCTCTGGACATTTGTCCAGGATTAAGCAAAAGCCACAGCAAGTTTCTTTCACTCGCATCAGTGTGAAGAGACCACCAAACAGGCTTTGTGTGAGCAATAAAGCTTTTTAATCACCTGGGTGCAGGCGGGCTGAGTCCGAAAAGAGAGTCAGTGAAGGGAGATAGGCGTGGGGCCGTTTTATAGGATTTGGGCAGGTAAAGGAAAATTACAGTCAAAGGGGGTTGTTCTCTGGTGGGCAGGTGTGGAGGGGGGGATCACAAGGTGCTCAGTGGGGGAGCTTTTTGAGCCAGGATGAGCCAGGAGAAGGAATTTCACAAGGTAATGTCATCAGTTAAGGCAGGACCTGCCATTTTCACTTCTTTTGTAGTGGAATGTCATCAGTTAAGGCAAGGACCAGCCATCTGGATGTGTACATGCAGGTCACAGGGGATATGATGGCTTAGCTTTGGCTCAGAGGCCTGACAGTTTCCAATAGAACATAACAGGCAGCAGAGAAGACAGAGACTGAAAGAGCATCCTGGGGGAGATGGAATTGTGACAAACTAAACCAGTGAGCCGAAATTAAGGCTAGCCCTGTGGCATGACTGGCTCTTGTGCAAGTGACATTATTATGTGACATATTATATGTCTGGGTCATTACTATGCTAAAATAAGTAGATTAAAATGAAAGGAATTTCCAAACAAATGCGGGAAGGAAGGCATTATGAAGTTTTCAGATGTCATTAGCTATAACAAAGTTCAGAATTAATCATGACACCATGCAAAATGGGAAAAATTTGCAAGCAAGGAGAGGGTGGAGATGCCAGAACCCGTAAATTTATGCCAGCTGAGCACTGTGGGGGCACCTGGCAAATGGATTTACTATTTTGCCAACACCAGTAAAGTGTTACAAAATTGCAAACGGAATTATTTCTATGCAAACAATTGTTTTTAAAAAGGGTCCCTACATCGACTAATGCAATTCAGTTTTTTTCTGGGTAAGCACAAAGCCAGAAACTAAATGAAAAATATTAGAAATTATTTTTCTTGGAATCATGTTGAATATTAAAATTGAGATTTACTTTCCTCCCCAATTCCCTCTCTCTCCCATCAGTCTTTTCATGCACCAATGTCATTTTAGTTTTCGTGGTAAAAGAGGTGGTGAAAAAGGGGCAGGGGCATTTGAGAGAGTAGGCGAAGGGAGGCTGGGGATTCCAGAAAAGGAAAAGATGGGGAGTCGCTCAATTAAACTCTACCACCTTCATCTGTTAACAGGGATTCTTGCCTGTCTCGACCCACTTCCAGAGGCAATGCCATATTATTTGAGAAAGCTGGATATAAAATTTGAGCTCTGCTGTCCTTGTCCCAATCCCCCTCCCCAGGAGAAAAAATAAGCTGAACTGTACTCGTGACATTATGGGTTTTTCTGGAAAACAAGGATAAATAAGTTTTTTGAACATTTTTCTCCCCTGAAACTAAATCCGTAAGAGAGTTAAAAACCCGTGGAAAGCGAGTTAAGTCACTTTTCAAGTCTTTGTACTCAGGGGATTCTGTAAGACTCATGGAAGAATAATGGCGCAAACAGCAATATTTTAATGTTAGAACGGTCCTCTGAAAAGTCTGCCCGAAACGCTACAAAGATAATTGTGCAGTAACTTCTAAAAACTCTACTGGGACAGGAGGCAACAAAACTCCGGATCAGCGAGAGCTCTGTTTATCCGAGGGTGCTGAGCCTCAGGCCCCACGGAGATTCCCTTTTCGGCACTTGGAGGCCTGAACTCAGGTCTAACCTTTCGTGTGCGCGCTCTGATACTCAACCACCGTTCAGTCTCCGGAGGCTGTTACAACTGTCCCCATTCTACAGATGAAGTTGAGGCTACAGCTTAGTGTTCTTGGGGAGGGAGGGAGTTGGGGGGAGAGAGAGACGCTTTTCCTCATAACCTTAAACAAAAGTACTTAAACCTAAAGCAACTGAAAAATGATTTTCTTTCAACAACGGTGTTTCCTTTGGGGTCAAGTTCTTTGATCTCATCTACAAAACCAAGAAGCGGGACAAGTATTTTTCTGCAAATTAGAACGGGGCGTTCCCCTCCCCCATCACCCCAATTCCAGAGGACGTCAATCACAGTGGACGCAGCACCGCGAGCGGAAATGCGGAGAGCATCGGGGCTCCGCATGTGGGGCACAATGAAACAAGAGCAGCCCCGGCCAGAGGTCCAGTAAAGCGGAAAGACGGTCCCGCCCGCACACCCCTCCGGAAAACTGAAGCGTCTCCTCTGACCCCCAAGGTCAGAAAGATTTATTACTTCCTTCGAGAGGGCGCAGCCACAGACCCACTAGAGAGGGCGGGCAGGGTGTCGGAAGCCAGAGAACGGCGCTCCGCGTCCTCCCACCGCTCCAGGGCGCAGAGGTGTCCTCAGTGCCCGGAGAGGTTGGCAGTGTCGGCCCCGAGGGAAGCGTGGAGCGGACGGCCGACAGGGGATTTCTGCCCAAACTTCATCACCAACTCTTTCTGAGAGCAAAAACATGGGGCCGAGTCCGGCAGCTGCACGCAGAATCCAACTCTCTGGCAGCTCTCGGCACCGACGAGCTCCAGATCCCGCGTTCGCATCCCGGCGCTTTGCGCGCAGAGCTAAGCCTTCGGACCCGTGGACTGCAGCCCCCGCGCGTCGCGGTAAAGCGGGTCGCGTCTCCAGCCCCCGAGGCGCAGCGACGGTGGGAGCCGGCTCGGCGTTGGGGGCGGGGGCGGGGCCGGCGAAGGGGGAGGGCTGCGCGGCGGAGGGGAGGAGCCGCGGCGACAGACGGCGGCGCGCACCAACCGGGCGCCGGCTGGCAGGAGCCGCGCAGAGGCTGGTCCGAGCGCGTTGCGGGCGCCCGGCGTAAGGGGAGTCGGGTAGCAGCATCCTCCTGGGCGCCGCTTTCGCGCGGCGGCGGCGGCTGCGGCGGGGTCTTTCTTTGCTTAAATACCTCGTTGGCCAGAAGCGCTGGTACCGGGGGCGGGTTGGGTCGGGTCGGGCAGTGCTGCACACCTGGGTTTCCTTGCCTAGAGCTGTGTGTTCGGGGTCCTTTGGTCCAGTCGGAGGCTGCGGAGCGGCGGGGGTTGCCTGCGCTGTCCGCCCGGGCATCCTCCCGGTGATGGAAGCAGCCGCCGCCGCCGCTGCGGGGTCGCGCTGTGCCCCATCCACCGCTGCCAGAGAGGTGGGAAAATTCGCCGCACGGAGGCCGAAAGCGAGAGGGGCTGCGCCGCTATGCCGGGAGCTGAGTCCCATATAAGCCGCCCCCAGCCATCGCCCCCAGCCGGCTTCGTTCCCCTGAGCGAGACAGGAAGCTGCGGTCCCGAGAAAGCGGAGGAGACGTCGCTGGAGCCGGGAGGCGCCGGGTTCGGCGGAGCGCGGAGCGGGGCTCTGGGCCGCGTGAAAGTTTTTCTTCCCGAGCCGCAGGGCGCCCGCTGCCCGGAAACTGCCCAGGGATAAGTCGGCCGACTCCCCAGACCCCTCGAAGGTGCGGGGACCCCCAGCGGAAGCGAGAGGGAGCGAAATCGAGGAACGAGTGACAGCCGGACAGTCCGCCGGGCGGTGATCCGGGGCCGCTCCCGGGCGCGCCCTCGGCTCCAGGTGAGCGGAGGAACCGGGCAGAACCGAGGGTGGGCGTTACTTAGGAGGAGGAGGCTGGGAGGGAGATTGGGGCGCATCCGCTCACTCCGCTTCCCCTCGCAGGTCCTACCCGGAGCCGCTGCCATGGGAGAGCCAGCCTTGGGCGCTGGGGACCAGCCGCCGCGCCCGCCTCGGAGTCGCGGCCCGAGTCCCGGCGCCAGCAGCCAGCCCGCTGCGTCCCCTTCCCGGGCTGCAGGGCTGCCTCCGCCGCGCCGCCGGCCCGGATTGTGCCTGTGATGAGCCGCAGCCCGCAGCGAGCTCTGCCCCCGGGCGCGCTCCCTCGGCTGCTCCAGGCTGCGCCTGCAGCCGCGCCGCGTGCCCTGCTCCCGCAGTGGCCCCGGCGCCCAGGACGCCGCTGGCCCGCGTCCCCTCTCGGAATGAAGGTGTTCCGTAGGAAGGCGCTGGTGTTGTGCGCGGGCTATGCACTGCTGCTGGTGCTCACTATGCTCAACCTCCTGGACTACAAGTGGCACAAGGAGCCGCTGCAGCAGTGCAACCCCGATGGGCCGCTGGGTGCCGCAGCGGGGGCAGCCGGAGGCAGCTGGGGGCGCCCAGGGCCGCCTCCGGCCGGGCCGCCCCGTGCTCATGCCCGTTTGGACCTCCGCACTCCTTACCGCCCTCCCGCTGCCGCCGTCGGGGCGGCTCCTGCAGCCGCGGCAGGGATGGCGGGGGTTGCGGCCCCTCCAGGCAATGGCACTCGGGGCACCGGGGGCGTCGGGGACAAGCGGCAGCTGGTGTACGTGTTCACCACGTGGCGCTCTGGCTCGTCGTTCTTCGGCGAGCTATTCAACCAGAATCCCGAGGTGTTCTTTCTCTACGAGCCAGTGTGGCATGTATGGCAAAAACTGTATCCGGGGGACGCCGTTTCCCTGCAGGGGGCAGCGCGGGACATGCTGAGCGCTCTTTACCGCTGCGACCTCTCTGTCTTCCAGTTGTATAGCCCCGCGGGCAGCGGGGGGCGCAACCTCACCACGCTGGGCATCTTCGGCGCAGCCACCAACAAGGTGGTGTGCTCGTCACCACTCTGCCCCGCCTACCGCAAGGAGGTCGTGGGGTTGGTGGACGACCGCGTGTGCAAGAAGTGCCCGCCACAGCGCCTGGCGCGTTTCGAGGAGGAGTGCCGCAAGTACCGCACACTAGTCATAAAGGGTGTGCGCGTCTTCGACGTGGCGGTCTTGGCGCCACTGCTGCGAGACCCGGCCCTGGACCTCAAGGTCATCCACTTGGTGCGTGATCCCCGCGCGGTGGCGAGTTCACGGATCCGCTCGCGCCACGGCCTCATCCGTGAGAGCCTACAGGTGGTGCGCAGCCGAGACCCGCGAGCTCACCGCATGCCCTTCTTGGAGGCCGCGGGCCACAAGCTTGGCGCCAAGAAGGAGGGCGTGGGCGGCCCCGCAGACTACCACGCTCTGGGCGCTATGGAGGTCATCTGCAATAGTATGGCTAAGACGCTGCAGACAGCCCTGCAGCCCCCTGACTGGCTGCAGGGCCACTACCTGGTGGTGCGGTACGAGGACCTGGTGGGAGACCCCGTCAAGACACTACGGAGAGTGTACGATTTTGTGGGACTGTTGGTGAGCCCCGAAATGGAGCAGTTTGCCCTGAACATGACCAGTGGCTCGGGCTCCTCCTCCAAGCCTTTCGTGGTATCTGCACGCAATGCCACGCAGGCCGCCAATGCCTGGCGGACCGCCCTCACCTTCCAGCAGATCAAACAGGTGGAGGAGTTTTGCTACCAGCCCATGGCCGTCCTGGGCTATGAGCGGGTCAACAGCCCTGAGGAGGTCAAAGACCTCAGCAAGACCCTGCTTCGGAAGCCCCGTCTCTAAAAGGGGTTCCCAGGAGACCTGATTCCCTGTGGTGATACCTATAAAGAGGATCGTAGTGTGTTTAAATAAACACAGTCCAGACTCAAACGGAGGAAGCCCACATATTCTATTATAGATATATAAATAATCACACACACACTTGCTGTCAATGTTTTGAGTCAGTGCATTTCAAGGAACAGCCACAAAATACACACCCCTAAGAAAAGGCAAGACTTGAACGTTCTGACCAGGTGCCCCTCTTCTTCTTTGCCTTCTCTTGTCCTCTTTCTCCTATTTCTTACCCTGTCCTCCACCTGCCTTCCATTTTGAAGTGGGATGTTAATGAAATCAAGTTCCAGTAACCCAAATCTTGTTTACAAAATATTCGTGGTATCTGTGAACATGTTAAGAGTAATTTGGATGTGGGGGTGGGGGTGGAGAAAGGGGAAGTGGTCCAGAAACAAAAAGCCCCATTGGGCATGATAAGCCGAGGAGGCATTCTTCTAAAGCAGACTTTTGTGTAAAAAGCAAAGGTTACATGTGAGTATTAATAAAGAAGATAATAAATAATATTCTTTTTAATATTTGCCTCCATTACTTTGGATTCACCTGTGTTACTTGTCCTCAGCTTCAGATAGAATCTCCTTCCCCTCCCTCGTTTCCATTTTTCCAGTCTCTTTCCTGAAAGGCAGCTAAACTGGGTGGGAGCAATTTTTGCCTCCTTGGTAATAACCTGGGGGATGTTTTCTCACATGTAAATCTCAGCCTGTTAGGTGTCCAGGAGTGAAACACATCTTTGTATTCTAAAGGCAGAAACCAAACAGGGCAGTGGAAGAAAAAGCACACTACTCTCTTCAACTTTGAACACAGGAAGAAGCAACTCCTTCAGGACTTGAAGGCATTTGGTTTTTCATTCCTCTTCAGTTAAAATGGGGAACCTTGAAGCAGAGACCAATGTTTTGGTGCTGAGGCTGGTTCAGAAAAAGGATTTTTAAAAAAAGTATGTAATTTTTAAAAGTTCTGATGATTAGAACACAGACCTCAGGAAAGTAGCGTGAACATACTGCTGGCGATGGTAGCAGCTTCGTTGGTTTAGCAAAGTGACAGAAGTATCTATTTGGAGTGTTTTTCTGACCCTGACACGGTATGTGGAGGTGGATGAAAGCAGCGAAGTTTCATCTGAGAACCGTAAGGGTTTTCCCTTTTCTTACTTGCTTCCCATTTAAATCAGTGCAAGAGAGAATATGAATTTATAATGCTTTACTTGGGATGCCTGTGGAATATGTTGCTTTTCTTTATCATGTTTCCTAAAAGTAAATTTGCAAAGAAAGTAACATGCTGCAGACAGTATAAGGCTTCAGCCAAGAGCTTCTTTTAGATATGATAATGAATTGTGGTAAAGAGGAAATGAAAATGAACTAGTGTGTAGGATTTTGAAATTTGGTATTTTCCAGGGAGAAAACCGTTACATTTTCCTGTAGTGGTTATGATGTTGTGTCCTGAACCCATTTGGTACTGAAACATTCTGCAGAATGTTATACTATGAGAAGAAATTGTGAAGCCCAAATGGGAACAAGAGACAGTGTAGTTGTATATGACAGTAAATACAGTACAAGTTCACTATCATCATGGTTTTATTTCACTGTGATTTTTTATGAGATCTCTGAAAGCCAACATGCATAGGTTAAATGCTGAGAATTTTATTTTAGGGAAAAGATGATAAAAATAATCTGTACGTGGGGAATATTTTAACACACAATGATTCTTAAGTATAATTACCATTGCAATACAAAATCTAGCTACGCTGGTAAGAATTCCAAGGTAAAGAAGCATAAAGGTTTAAAAAGGGGTATATTTAGAAATGGATTTTATAACACAATCTAGAATGCTTATTTCTTAATTTACTAAAATAGTTTTTAGTATTGTGTTTCTGAAGCCAGATTACATCTATAATACATTGATCATGTTTTCCATATTTTTGTGGTAGTGCCTATGCTGAATTAGCTTCACCAGCAGTAGAATATTTGTAATAGATTTAATTTAAGAATACTTTAAAGTTAAATGAACAAAATAAATACTAATATTGGATGGCTATAGATGAAACAGATTTAACAGGAAATTAAGAGAGCAGCATTAAAAAGCAACCACTCTGAATAAAATAACCATTTATAAACAAATTTTGTGTGGCATTAGAATCAGCTCTTAACAATTGCGGTGAAATTCATGCCTAGTTGTTGAGTGAAGGATTTTCAAGCAGTGAATTCATTCTTCTTTCAGCTTATCTAAGGACTTGGACTGTGTTAAAGTAGAATTATGATGTTTTGGATCTTGTATTTAAAACAATATTAGATGCTAGATAGAGCCTTTGCAGCTGGCAGAGCATTTGTGGCCTCTGCTCAGATGAAATTTTAAGCTAAACACCAACAGATCCTCTGCTTGCTCTGTTTGAACAGGGTTTCCGTTCGTAATCTTGTTTTGTAGCAGCTGCATTCTCTCCACTCTGCCACTCCTGTGCTCTGTAATTTGAAAAGGTGAATTGTTGCTCCTGGAGATTTGTACCTAGCTGCCTTCTAGGAAAGTGAGACAGGTGGTGTTCCCACTAAGGGCTGAGCTAGTCATATCAGTGACATTCAGCTTCCGAAGGTTTGAGAAGGAGAGAGAAGAATTTTTGGCGTTAACAAGCTTCTGTCAACCCCTAGTGCAAGCAGACCTGTGCTATGACAAATTGCAACAGAGCCTGTGACCATTCTTGAGGCAGCAAATATGAACGAGATCCTTTCACATTTCCCAAGCTGGCAATATGTCCGTCAGCAAGAGAAAATATTCTTTAGAGCAGGTTGTCAGAGTGATTTTCATTTTCAAATTCTGCTCAATGATAGCACTCCTTACTTACCGCTTGGCTTTGGAATGCCTTTGTTAATGAGTAAGCTGTATTTATAAAACAAAGTTTACCCAGTGCGTTTAGTCAACAAATTTGAGTTTGGAACAAGGCAGAGGCACAGGCTGGGGGCTTAAATTTCAAGGAGCTCAGAGCCACTCAAAGACCTCATTCAGACTGACAGTGGATACCTTGCAGGCAGGGGCCAGAGCAAATCTATACCCTTCAGTGTCCACCACATAGTGCATGATAAATATTTATTAAATAAGTGAATGAAATATGCAACTATCAAATTTTGAAAATACTTGGAAGGGAGAGAGTGGAAGAGTGTATTACCTGTGTGGGGAAAATGCCAGCCTGTTCAGTAAAGTTTGCTGAAGGAAATAAGCCATAGGCTCTATTTAGATGTGGGGAGTGAGCAATAGGAATATCTTCAAGATTTCCAGGGCAACTGTTTATAGACTATTTCCCAGCGATGAATTAGAGAAAAAATGCACAATTTCTAAATGTGGAGAGGTAAATGTTTCAAAGTAAGGAATTTGATTGTTACTGTTTTCCCACTTGCATGAACACCATAAGGGCGGGGATCAGAACAAACCTGCAGAGCAGATGTTGTCCAGGGGTCTCAGGGAGGGCTAAAAAGCTATTTATTTTTGCAGAAGTCATGTGGCACTTATTGTTTTGAGTGCTGCAAATGTGTAGTTTGATGGACTGTGATGGAGCAAATGTTGTCCAGGGGTCTAAGGGAGGGCTAAAAAGCTGCTTTTTTTTTTTTTTTTTTTTTTTTGCAGAAGTCATGTGGCACTTATTGTTTTGAGTGCTGTGAATGTGTAGTTTGATGGACTGTGATGTGTTAGGTTGGTGCAAGCGTGATTGTGGTTTTTGTCATTGAAAGTAATGGTAAAAAACTGCAATTACATTTGCACCCACCTAATAGATTTTCTGCAGGTGTAGGGATGGTTACTTTCAGGAAGTTTGTCCTATTGTGGATGCTGAGCGAGACAATGGCTGCCTGTTCCCATACATTCCCTGCTTGGCCACAGCCAGTTTTGTCCAGGATTTCTGTTGTACACAGTACAGTTGCAGCTGGATTATGTGATTGGTTTGAAATTAATGTGAATTTGGGGGAGGCTATTAAATATTCCCTAGGTCTTGAAACGCAGACTCTAGAGATGACTCTAGGAAGAGCAAGAGGGAAATGAAAAGCGTGTCTCATCATGTAGGCATGGTAAATAAGGACAAGGTGTCACTTTACCATCCTCCTCCAACTTTCTTTCTTCCCTACACACAACACACATGCACACACACATACAATTGAGTTTCTGCATCGTCTTGAAGAGATCTGGATGAGAGAATGTTCTAATCCCAGCTAACAGATGCGTGGTGAGGCACACTTTTGATCTCAGGCTTCTGGAGAGTGAGTGGTCGGCCAATTGTTATATTAGAAAGCTTGACAGTTCTGCGTCAGGATCCAATGGGGATAGGTAGAAAATGACAATCACAATTTGAGGAATGACTTGAGGTGTGTGATGGGATGTCCTGAGGTAAATGCGCAGTTTATAGACCCCTTTTGTCCTTCACCTTGAGGAAACCCTTTTCAAATCTGTCACAGCTAAGAAAACAATTCATTCAGACACTTTCCCTGCTTTCTGTACATTCAGTTGCTACTTTTGCAGTTCAAGTATGAGCCACTGAGCTGCTCAGGTACAGGCTTTGGTACAAGTATTTAATAATTGAAATTACAGGGCTTGGCTTTTATTACATCTGATGCAATTCTGCACATCCTTAATCAAATTATGCTAAGAAAATGTTGAACTTTGCATAACACATTAAGTTTATAGAATTGGAAACTGTATGAACCAGTGTTTGGGGTAGGGGGTGCTGGTATTGTTTCTAAATGAAGGAGCTTTGAAGGAGCAGGAGCCTGTCTGTACACATGGTAACAGGATGATAAAGGATGGCCAAGGATAAACCTTAACTTTTGGTCAAACCAGTTATCTGTAATCAAATATCAAAAGTATTTTTGGGCTGCTTGAACTTTTAGGTTGGTAATAGTCACCCTACCAAGTGAATGGCAATGAAAATGATCACTGGGGCTAAAAGCTGTACTCAGAACCAGTCTGTAATGGCTCCCATCCCAGGTGTAAAGACAGGGCTTGATAGAAATTCACCTTGAGGCAGTTAGTCTTCTAGACAGGATCAACTACATAATTTGCAGGGCTCCGTGCAAAATGAAAATGCAATGCCGTTGTTGAAAAAACAATTAAGCCTTTCAAGATGGCAGCAGCACAGAATGAAACCAAGTTTGGGGTCCTTCTGAGTGGGGGGCCCTGTGTAACTGTGCAGGTTGTATATCCCTGAAGCTGGCCCTGTTTCCAGATGCAGAGGATGAAATGCCTGGCTATAGGAGACAGCAAATAATGGTGTCCTACAAGTTCTCGGAAAATGAGTGCAAAGGTATGAGTTATTGTGGGTAACTATAATGAAAGCAAAGACAAGCAAGCGCACTTTGCATGATGGAATTCCAAAGAGGTCAGTGCATACATGACAAACAATCCTTGATGATTGCAGCAAGAGATTGACAGTGCCCCCTCAATCATTGGTTGGGCTTGAGAACACTCAGAACTGATCCGGCTGGAGGCTGAGAGAGCGTGTGTTGTTCCTGGGATTCCTCTCAGAAGAACAGGTCAGATGTCTTGCATGAGGATGAAGAACATGGTGTCCTTGTCCTCTGGCTGTTCCCTTCTGTAACTTTTGTAGGGCTCTCCCTTGATTTGCGTAGTATGTAATAGAGACAGAAAGTCTATGCATGGAAAAGCAAAAGGTCAAGTCACAATAAGGTCAAGGAGTAAATGTACAAGATGTGCTAAACAAACTGATATACCTCTTTATTATGTTAAGTATAGTCAGCTAAGTTTTTTTATTGTAGGCTTGATATGTCCCATTTTCCTCTGAATAACTTCTCCACGCTCTCTACTGCACCCCCTGCCTCCCATTTCTTCTCCACTTTGTGAATCTCATTATTAAGACCCTGGATCTTTTTGAAACTTTTATTCATCAGCCCTGCTCCAAGATGCAGAAATGCCTTTCTGTCCTGTTATTCCTCCGACTGCCTCCTGCATAGATCTGTCAGTGTGTGCTGCTACAGATTGGAATTGTTTGTTTATAGGCCCGTTTCCTCTCTTGTCCTGGACTTCATATGTATGGGGCAGACAGAAGCTGAAAAAGCAAGGCAAATTAATATAGACAAAAAGGAATACCAAATAATGCCCATGGAAGGCCTCAAATGTTTTTCCACATTAATGTTTGAAAGAGAAACAAACAAACTGAAGGCCCCAAACGAAAGGTAACAACTGAATTACAGTCCAACACATTTTTTGAGTTGAATAGGAAAATGTATTACGGTCATGTTGGCTGAGGCTGTATTTGTTTTTGACATGTAGAGGTCATGGCCAGTATGATCATCTTTTAACCATTTCAGGAACTGAAAAATTTTTCAGAAACAATGTAGAAGTCTAAATATTACATTTCCATTTTCAGATGTCCCAGTTGCTCTGGCAAGCTCCCAGTCTTTCTATGAATGAACTAGCTCCTGGGAGGAATTAAAATGTTTCATTTCTCATATTGGTGCTCAGTATTTTTACATGAAGGATGCTGTTACATTATTCCTCTCTAAAGGAAAATAGGAATGAGAACATATCTTCTTTCTGAGATAATAACATTCATATCAATTGTTTTTAGTCCTGTTATTTAACCAGACCTACTTGCTGGTGAGACCAGTATTCTCCCAAGGATGTGAGTTCTGAGTTCACATTATTTAGGTTAAATCTTTACTTCACATAGTTTCTCATTTATATTTTCACATTTCCCAAGTGACTTCATGTGCTGTGCTCTTTATAACTTTCTATCACCATTTTCATTTCACTTTCAAATGCCCTAAATAGCAAGAATGATGATGTGCCAGTCACTGTGCAAAGCATTTTATAAGTGTGATTCCATTGGATTCTCATCACGATTCTGTGAAATAGGTATCATTATGGTCCCCATTTTACAGAAGGGCATATAGAAGGTTCACATGGGTAATTTTCCTAAGGTCACACAGCTAGTGCATGGCAAAGTCTCTTTCTTTTTGCTTGGTACATCAGAGACTACCCTGTTTCCATTTAAGGCATACCAACAAAATAGCAAACCCTTTTTGTCCCAGTCAGTGCTTTCTGAGAAACTCATCCTATGGCATTATGCCTTCAGACAAGGAGCAAGTGTTTTCGGTATCTTTAGAGATGCATTTTTGTGCAGCAGAAAAAAAAAAATTGTTAGTTTAAGTGCCTTTGGCCAAAATTCCTCTTAGAATGACTTTTGTTTAGGAAAACACTGTCCTAGGCTGTTTTAGTGGTGGAAACAAGCTCTGTAAAGAACCCAAACAGGAAATTTGGGGGTTGCGGGAAAGAGCTTGAAAGGAGAGGGGAAGAGGTAAAGGGTGGAATAACAGGGAACAAACAAGACAGGATACTGGAGACCAAGAGGGGAGATCACAATGGCTCTCCCCAGAAGAGAAGAGAATGGCCAATGACTGGAAGAGCCAGGGCCCACGGTGGAATTGTTTGCTCAATTGTGCTGCCGTGTAGTCACCTTGGTTTCCCCAAACCTCAAGTAAAGGTTTCCACATGCCTAGCCTTTAGTGAGTGGTGCTTTGAAAGTTGAAGGGATCAAGGTAGTGACAAATGGGATGACGTGGGGCAAAAACATGCCAGTTCCTACAAGGAGGTGAAAGGTAGGCGAATGCAAATTCACGGAAAGGAAATCTGGAGGTAGAGTTGGTCCATGGAAGTGTTGGTTTACCCCAAGAGGTGTCTGGGAGGGAGAAAAGTTTCTCCCCAACTGTGAGATGATGATTCTAGGCAATCTTGTTTAAATTTTACAGGACAAGGTGGCCTCATCAAAGCTTAAGGAGCAGGGCGTGTCCAGGAGGCTAATACATGGCTTGCAACTCTAAAGGCTGCACAGGCAGGACTCAGTGAGCAGGTGGAGATGTAGCAAAGTTAGGAAATGTTGGCATGCCATAAAAGCTGTGTGATAGTGTCAGCTCAGTCATTTACAAGTGTGGAAGCTGAGGTGCAGAAAGGCTGAATGATGTACTCAGTGTCCCATTCCTAGTTAGAGAAAGAGCACAAACTAGAAATTACAGCCTCTGATTCCCAGTCCAGAGCTCTCTGACATGCTCTCACCCTGAGACTTTTTATTTCCTTGGTTCCTACCAGTCTTTTGGTCATTCCAGTATTTATCAATGTCTTTACAGAATGTCTGGGGATCAAAGAAGAAGTGCCCTTTGGGATTCTCCTCAAACTTTAGTAGGAGATGAGGTTGAAACTAAAGCAGACAGCTGAATAGGGTGGTCTGAGAGTGTTAGTTCAGGTTTTTTGGTGCAAAACGGACTCAACTAGATTGAGAAAATCAGGAAATTAGCTGGAAAAGATGGGAAAGCCCACACAATTGGAAGAACAGTTGAAGAACCAGGTGGGATATTCTGGTTTCCTCCCTCCCTCCCCAATCCCTCCATCCCTGCCCTCCCTCTTCCTTCCGTGTTTCTTTCCCCTTCCTCCTTCCCTCTCTTTCTTTGTTGTATTTCACACATTTAGAATTCAAAGTCCTGGAAGAGAGAGTTGGATCAGCTGAGGCTGGGTCAGGTGTTTGTGCCTTGGCACCTGAGCAAGCTACCTTGACTGATAGTCTCACCAATCTGCACACAATGTGGGCAAGTGATTTTTCACAAGAAAATCAGGCTGCAATGATCAAAAGTAGGGGAAGTGCATGCCAGGTGGTCTTAACCAATAAATGTCTTCTGTATTCATTAATATACTTTACTATTATTCTCCTGCTACGTTGACTAATTGGGGGTTATTTTCTTTAGAGTCCACTACATACAAGGTTTTTCACTCTGCATTGCTATGTTAAAATGTGGGCAGAGATGTGCCTCAGTAGTTAATTGGGCCACCATGCTTGTTGGATATAAATAAGACCATTCACTTACTTAGCCTTAAGTAATGCAGATAAATGGGACACCAGATGGAATTCATGTAGTGAAATTCATGCAGATACTGTATTTTATGATATGCCTTCTTTCAGGGTTTAATGATCATGCCGCCTTATACTTTTATAATGCTTCGTAAGTTTAACAAGTACAGCAGATATTGCTGATTTCCCACCCACTGCCCATTCTCCCCTTCTTTCTTATTCGTAGAACCTTGATTTTGTTCAGGGAGGCAATATGCTCAGCTAAAAATATTTCCCAGTTTCCCTTGTAGGTAGGAATGATCATGTGACAGCCAATGAGATGTAAATGGAATTCTGCTGGGGATATCTGGGTAAGTTTTATATATCTGATATAGGCAGAACTTTTTCTTGCCTGTTTTGTCCTTTTTCTTTCCTTTTTTTTTTTCTGGCTGGTCTGCAGATTGAGTATGGAAGTGGGGCCTCTACCTTGTGACTGAGAGGGAGCCAGGGAGTAAAAGCTGCTTGCAGAAAGAGGAGCCAGGGATATTGATGACATCATGAAGCCACTTCATCAGCGTGGACCACTGGTCTCCAGAATACCTATGATGTGGGAACAATAAACACTTACTTGTTTAAGCTGTTGCTGCCGACTTTGTTACTCACAGCCAAGTACAGTCCTAATGGATACAGCAAATATTCTCATTAATATTTTATTAGATCATTTGAAACTTATGATTACTGGGCAGAAATAGGATTATGATCTTTCTCTTATAGAAGAAGCTGAAACTCAGAAGCTAAGTGACTTGCTCAAGGTCACAGAATATGGTATGTATCAGATTTGATGCCCAATTTAGTGCTCTTTCTACTCAGCCAGTGGTTCTCAGCTGGGTGTGGGACGGTCCCTGCAATCTGGTTGGGGGAAAGATTGGGAGACAGCCTTTGGAATTTTTTTTTTTCCATGACTAGGGAATGGGACTGGCATTTAGTGGGCTGGAAGCAATAATGCTGAATGTTCTGCCTTGCTGAGGACAGTCCCACATAATGAATTGTCCTGCTCCAAATGTTAATAGTGGTCCCCTTGAGAAATACCGAGCTAAATTAAGCCAAAGAAAATTACACACTGACTCAGAACTGAGAATAAGGCTGTCTCATAATGATACTCAATAAATGTTAATAAATGATATCACCAAGGTTGTCATCAGAATCATCATTGCTATTTTGGACATTTGTGGCTATAATGAATTTAAAGGTTGCATGATTTTTTTTCTAGCTACATTCTGCTGCTTTTATTCAGGTGTGGAGAAGATGGATAGTTGGATGATGGGTAATGGATGGGGAAAAAGTAGGAGAAATATTGGACTGGAACTCTATGAGATCAGATATTTGAAATATATATATGGTTATGGTATGATAGAATGCAGAAATGTAGTGGGTAAGAATTCTTGAAACCTACATTTCTGGGGTGGTGAGGTTGTCACTGATCAACAACAAGAGTAGCTATGTTGAATCAGAGCACGAAGATGATAAGAAGCTGAAAGGCCAGGATGTCAAATGGGTTCCTAAAATGGATATTGAAATCATGAGTAATGGTAGAAAGGGTCATGGCGGAGAGGAAGTCATTGATCTGGGCACTCAACTCTTGCAGTTGTGCTTGCTTTTGAAGATGGCACTGTCCTCTCCTACAACTCATTTGGTCTTGTCTTGTTCCAATGCATAAACCAGCTCATTATTCCATCTGTTTGTTCAATGCCTGTGGAAGCTTCTATTCTAGCCCACACCAATGTCTCCTTTCTCTTTGCACAAATTAGCACTCAGCTGCACAGTCTTTTATATTGGCCTCAAATTATTAGATGTGTGTCAGTCTGGTCAATATGGCAATTTAATCACCTTGGGAGCAATTAAACCACACTTTTCATTTCTTATCTCCTGCACAGGAAGTAGTGAATGAACTATTTCTGAAGTGACTGATTTGCACCATGGTAGAGGTAGGGGTGGAGGAGGGTTGACTTAAAAGCCCCCAAGAAACCAATCAGCAGTCCTTTCCAGACTGGCACTGTGTGCACTTTGCCATTTTGCCCTGTATCTGGGGACACACACACACACACACACACACACACACACACATTGATAGTGTTTATCAGGTACCGGTGTCTTTCTCCATGCCCTCATTGCCCCCTGCTCATGCTTCTAAAACACCTCTTAGCACTGACTGTGGGACAGTGGCTGCCCAGCATCCAAGCCCTGATTTTCTTTTGGAAATCTGTCTCCTGCTTCTTTGGTGCATGTGGTTGTGTTGGATCTAACTTCACACACAACTCTAGCATTTGCCATGCTGACTTTCCCAAGACCAAAATGATCGGCTAAGGACTGAGCACATGACCCAATTAGAGCCAATGAGATATCTTGATATTTTTGCTCAGATTTCGGGGTTAGGCAGGCATTCTTATTTAAAGAGGAGAAGACATAAGGACTGGTATCCATGGTGCCTCTAGAAGACAGTCAAATTGTGGAGAGCAGAGCCAAAAGATACGGAGAGAGAAACCACAGACTGGTGGACAAAGGGAAGCTAGGTTCTGGTGAAGTCATTTTAGCCCTGCTAAAATGGGTCTGAAGTCAGCCTTACCCTTGGTTTGCAATTAGAGGAGCCAGTTACATTTCCTTTTTGTTTGAGCCACTGTAGATTGGATGTTTTCTTCCTTATAGTGCAAAGAATCTCAACAAGTGCAGAATTTACCCAGTGTGTTATAAGCTGTTTCTCCTATTACAGGACAAGCTCCTGTAAGGCAGGGCTCTTGTCTTATCTGTGTGCTTCCAGCAGAAGGCACAGTGTCTGGCACGCGGGATGCCTCCAAACCATGTTTATTTTACTGTGTATGGAATGGTCTCACTTTACAGCATTGCTCTTCAAAGTCGGGTCCTTGGACCAGCAGTATCAGCCCCTCTCTAGACTGCCAGATCATAATCTGCATTTATTTATTTATTTATTTTTAGAGATGGGGTCTCTGTCACCTAGGCTGGAGTTCAGTGGCACGATCATAGCTCACTGTAGCCTCGAACCCTTGGGCTCAAGCGATCCTCCCATCTACATTTTAATAAGATCCTCAGGTGATTCCTGTGCTTTTGGGAAGGATTGCTCTACAGACTTATAGTCAATTGCATTTTGCAAACATCTGGCCTGGAGTGGTTGTGCTGGCCTAAAGAGTACCACCTCAGTTCAGTAATTCTGGCTGCATTTCAAGACTCTACCAGTAGGTATCTTGTCCACAGGATTCCATAAATTTACAGATAAGATGCTCAGAAAGCCAGGTGTGGCATCTGCAGTAGTCCAGTCCCACAGAGTGAGGGAGGTGAAAGACCCCCACAGCTTCACCATGGTTGCCTGGATCCCTTCCTGGCACCATGTCCTGGCAGCCTGCCAAAGGACTGAGCATTTGTTTACCTATGAATATGTTAACAACCCACTAGATTCTTGGTTTTGGGAGCCTGGAGAAGGCTAAGTGAAACCTGAATTCTGTCACAGTCTAGGGAATAATACATGTTAAAATGAATTCTGGGCTTCCATCCTGCAGCATTTTAGCCATGTGGCTGGGTCCAGGATTCGATTCTTAGAGTCTTTTCAAGCATATGATATTAGGAGGGATGAAGGCAAACAAGCGTTGTATAAATCACATAAAAAGACTAAGATTTCCATTTCTGAGCTTGTTTTTGGGTGATGAGAAAGTTTGGTTTGTCAGACACCCTACAAATTACATTATGTATAAATGACAATGTAAATCTATTCATTTCTTTTCTGATTTCCACTTATCCCCTTTAGTAAGAATATATTTCTTACCCTAAGAGTTTTACACCCAGCTATAACACATTCATTTTGAGTGAATTTAGAAAAACAGAGTCTCATCTAAGGAACATACATGCATGTTACCATACATATGCATATTAACATAAATGATTTGCACAACTTTTAATAATGTGAGACAGAAAGAATGAGTCACTTCTTTTCTGTAACTTAAGAATTTGCTTAAAAATGCATATTAGGAAGCTTCAAGCTGGGGGCAGGAGAGGAACACATTCATATTCCTTGTAGCTGCGGTTTGCTCTCCTGGAAGTGGGAGTGATGACTAATAACATTGTCTCTATGGGGATGTGGTCCTGGCATTGCCATTGGCAGTTGCCCTTCCGGGCTTTTCAAACCATCTGCAATAACTTCTGTCTTCTGGTCATTACTTCTTCCAGTCCCCATTCTACAGACTGTGGGTCAGTTCTCTAACTTACAGTAATGTTATGATTCCCATTCTCCCCCCAAAATATCAGAGGACTTCCAGGAGGTCTTAATTGCTTATAGATGGTTACCTCACCACTCTGATGAAAATATTCTGGTTGTGGTAACTTGCATTTTAATATCCAACATCTTACTTTTTCTTTGTTTCTTTGTGGCAGGTTAAGTACTTTCATTTATATAATTTTTGACAGCCAGCATGGTCTATAACTCCAGTAAATGGCAGAGAACAGAGCTACTACATACTAAACAGAACACATTGTGAAACACACTAGACTTGGGGTATCCTGGAGGAGCACGCATTGGGCAAGAGTAATTTCCACAGTTGGCCACCCTGGCTCTCACCACTGAGTGTGGGGAAAAATCCACAGACCATGGCAATAGATGGTTAGCTATCCATTATATCTAGCTCTCTAGATACACACACAGTCATGTGTGCACAAACATGCATGTGTATGTGTATTTGTAAGGAGGCTGTCTCATAGACAAATAGCATTTTAACATATCAGAGCTGTGCAAGGTGAGGCTAAACAGGGGTCGAGTGCACTTAATGGCCAGCTGATGCAGGTGAATGCATTTTGCTCAGGGAGAAGTACCAGCCCTTTTAGATTAGCTAAGATGATGGTTTGTTCACTTTTTTTTTTTTTTGAGATGGAGTCTCGCTCTTGTCACCCACGCTGAACTGCAATGAAGCAATCTTGGCTCACTGCATCCTCCGCCTCCTAGGTTCAAGCGATTCTCCTGCCTCAGCCTCCTGAGTAGCTGAGATTACAGGTGCCTGCCACCAGGCCTGGCTAATTTTGTATTTTTAGTAGAGACGGGGTTTCACCATGTTGGCCAGGCTGGTCTCGAACTCCCAACCTCAAGTGAACCGTCTGCCTCGGCCTCCCAAAGTGCTGGGATTACAGGCATGAGCCACTGCGTCCAGTGGTTTGTTCACTTTTAAAAAGCAACTTTACATTGGCAATGAATGAGTAGAAAATATTTCCTTCCTTTGACATCCAGAGGATGATTGTTTGCAATCTTGATGTAGTGCCCTGCTCTAGCCACAGTTCTGTGCATATATTTAGTCCTCACAGTGACCCTCTAACATAGCCACTACTCATATCCTTGTCTACAGATGATGCACAGAGAGGAGGAGTAAACTGCTTAAGGTCACACAGCTAGTAATTGGTATAGCCAGTCCATTTCATCCCAGAGCCCATGCTCTTACTGTTCACCTTTAATTTCTCCATTAAAGAGGTTAGGCCAGGCACAGTGGTTTATACCTGTAATCCCAGCACTTTGGGAGGCCAAGGTGGGAGGATCACTGGAGGTCAGGAGTTTAAGACCAGCCTGGCCAACATAGTGAGCCCTCATCTCTACCAAAAAAAAAAATAAATAAAAATAAAAATAAAATAAAATAAAATAAAATAAAATAAAATAAAAAAGGAGGCCGAGGTGGCAGGATCACTTAGGCCTAGGAGTTTGATGCTGCAGTGAGCTATGATTACATCACTACTGCACTCCAGCCTGGGTGGCAGAGTGAGACCCTGACTCTAAAAAGAAAAAAGAAAAAGAATTTACAGGTGTTCTTATTTTAGATTGACATGGCTACATTGCCTGCTGTCAAGTTAAAAACCTAGAATAGGTCTGGTTATTTGCCAAGAAGAAAACATCAGAAAACTCCTTCTCACATGTGGATAATTACTGAAGAATCTTTGTTTTTCTTTTTTTTTAGTTTTTTTCAAGGATACTTCAAGTTATCTAACCCAAATACCCAATTAGGATATAATTTTTTATTTGAATAATTATCATGTATCATCTATATTCTGAAACCAGTGAGCAATGTTAATAGAAATGTCCTATCTAGGGGCATGGGGAAAGCAACTATTTCCATTTTGGTGCAATTTAGAATTAGCTGACATGGAATGATTAGGAAGACTATGTGCTTATTTTCTTAATCAGAATTACAGCCATGGGACCTCAGTGACCCCATTGTTAATAAAGATGCACACTTAACACTTAGTCAAACACGGATATCATTTTTTAGGGATCAGGTCCTCAAGGCATTATGAAGACATCCTGTGATGTTCACAGTAGGTTGGGGAAAATCCCCTCAAAAAACTCCAAACCTGTCATCTTCCACAGTATTATGTACTTAAAAATAAAGACTTTGCTTGTGTGTTTGTGTGACAACTATTACTATTTCATGTGATAACTCTGTGCTCACTGTCAAAGGAGACAGCCACAGAGCACAGAGGTTGTGCATCTCCCAGAAAGTACACTGAGTCTCACTGGCCTGTTGAACAGCCAGTAAGAGACAAGAAGTGAGGGAGGTGTTGATGGATAGAGGTGTTACCAGCTGGTGACATCGTAGTCTAGCATGGGCCAAGGAACAAGAATGATCTGTGGGCTTTTTAATGTCCTTATGAAAGAGTTCTTGGGTGCCCCTTAACTTTTCCTAAATATTCAGAGAAAACATTGTATCTTTTTCTTTTCTTTTCTTTTTTTTTTTTTGAGACAGAGTCTGACTCTGTTGCTAGGCTGGAGTGCGGTGGCATGATCTCAGCTCACTGCAACCTCCGCCTCCCTGGTTCAAGCAATTCTCCTGCCTCAGGCTCCCGTGTAGCTGGGATTACAGGCATGCATGCCCAGCTAATTTTGTGTTTTTAGTAGAGACAGGGTTTCTCCATGTTGGTCAGGCTGGTTTTGAACTCCTGACCTCAGGTGATCGCCCACCTCGGCCTCCCAAAGTGTTGGGATTACAGGCGTGAGCCACTGTGCCCAGTTCAATGGCCTCTCTTCCAGATGGTGCTCTCTGATGAGAAGACACTGTTATGTACCAGCTAGTCACTCTGAACCCTGTTTTATAACCTTTATGTAGTTGGCAAGAAAATTAAATGAGAGGAAACTCCTGATATTGCCCAACACCTAGAATGCCTGGTGTTCTAATATTGAAAGAACTCTACCTTCCCCTCACAAACAAGAGCAAACCCTCAATCCCCAAACTTTTGTTTAAAATTCTGTTTTGGAAGTGAAGAAAATAGCATTAAGCAAAGAAACGAGGGTAAAACAGAAATTCTAAGCCCAGTAATAGAGCTAGGATTAGATTTCGGATTAGATTGCCTTTAATAGAGCAACTTAGCACATGATTACTTCTCTTTATTCTTCCACATGGGCTTGATATTTTTCTCTCTCTGCCCCTTTGTGGAACTTTGGGTAAGGAAAACAACCTAAAACCATATCCTTCACTCTCCTTACTCAAATAAACAAAAACAAACCTCAAATCCACAAACATAAATTTAAGACTTTGATTTGGAACTAAAGGAAATGGTATTAAGCAAAAAAAAAAAAAACAAAAAAAAACAAAAAAACTGTTTTGGTTGAAATGCTCTTTCTCCTTGGCTCACACAGTTTTGCCTAAGGCTCACGGGGCACCAAAGTATAAATTAATCTGGAAAAAAAAATCAAAGGCTTTTAACCATCTGTGCTGTGACTTCAGCCGGCAGAGTCCTGATGCTGCCACACCAACTCTCTTTGCTCAGGAAGTGCATAGGTGCTGTCCTGAGTCCAGAGACAGCTCCTGGTCTGGCTGATTTCCTTGCGGGAGGTGTCAGTGATGGGTCTCTGTTGTCCTGCAGCTCAGCCAGGCAGAAACATAAGTCAAGAGCAGGAAAAGCTTTCCCAGGCCCACCACATCTGAGGTCCTTTCTCTCATAAGCAGTGGGTCTGATTTCACAGTTACCTTCTCTATTACCTGCCTGGGTCTGGCGTAGAGTGGTCATGTTTATGCTGAGAATATTCTTCCATTGGGCCAAGCTTCAGTAGCTTGGAAATTCAAATATAGATTCTCAAAAGTATGTACTTGATAATTCAGCAGAAATTTAAAGAGCTGTAATCTGCAAGGGACACAGACATATAGTCTCTGCCCTTTTGGAATGTATGTTGCAGTAGGAGAGATAGACTAACAAACAGTTCAGGGACAGTGTGACAAATGCCACTGTAAGACAAGTTCAAGGAGGGAGGAGGAGCTAATCCCTACTGGGTGGTTGGGGAGGGATACTCAAGGAGGCTTCACAGAGAAAGTAACATCTCTTCTGGGGCCTGAAGGTGAAACCAGAATTCTCTTAAGTGGTGGGGTTAGGGCCCAGGTAGGGTACTAGACAGAAGGAGCAGTGAGTGCAAAGTCCTGGGAGAAGTCCAGTAGGGCTGGCATATAGAATGTGAGTGATCAAGCTGGAGAGATTGGCAGGATTCCTGGTGCCTTCTGAATCGCATTCTCCCCTTCATCTATAGTCACAGGACCAGCAAGTTTTAGAGAGGCATGCAACTGCCCAGAATAAAGACTACATTTCCCACCCTCCCTTGAAACTGGATGTGGTCCACGTCCAAGTTCTGGCTAGTGAGAAGAAAACAGCGTTATGCGTATATTCTCAGGGCTGTGTCCTTAAAGGGTGTGTCCTTCCTCCTTGTCTTTTCCGCTTCCTGCTGACCGGAATGTGGATGAGGTCAGGAGCCTCCGGGAATGGCCCCACCCCAAGACAGGAGCTGGGTCCTGATACTGAAGGCATCTTACAGTCATGGACTACTCATGTTCAGATGGTTCTGTGAGAGAAAAATAAACTTCTGCCTTATTTAAGTTACTGGTAATTTGGATCTCTGTTGTAACAGCTAGATCTGTGTCCTAAATAATTCACGAGGTCAGCTGGGGCCAGATACTTTTTCCTTCCATTTGAATAGTGTGCTTGTTGAGTGCCCACTCTGTGAAGGCATCGTGTGAGGGGCTGGGGTTACAGTGGTGACCGCGCTGGACAGAGTGCCTCTGGTGAGGCTCTCTAAGCAAAAAAAAAATGGTGATGATGAAGAAGATGACGATTAGAGTAGCCAACGTTTATCAAGAGTTTTCTCTGTGCCAGAAAAGTACCTTACACATGATTTCAGGTAATCCACGCAATAGCCTTATGACTTAACTGCTATTATTTGCTCTGGTTTATAAATGAAGAATGAAGAGGTTAAGTAACTTGTCCAAAGCCCCAAGGCTGTTCTCTATTTTGAGAGCAGTTGCAAATAGGGTGGAGTTGAAGCATCTGTGGGTGATATAGTTTGGCTCTGTATCCCCACCCAAAGCTCACCTCCAATTGTAATCCCCAGGTATGGAGGAGGGACCTGGAGGGAGGTGATTGGATCATGGGGTTGGTTTCCTCCATGCTGTTCTCACGATAAGTGAGTCAGTTCTCACGAGATCTGATGGCTTTAAAAACGGCAGTGTTCCCTACTCTCTCTCTTCCCTGTCACCATGTAAGACATACCTTGCTTCACCTTTGCCTTCAGCCATGATTGTAAGTTTGCCGAGGCGTCCCTAGCCATGCGGAACTGTGAGTCAATTAAACCTCTTTTGTTTATCAATTATCCAGTCTCAGGTGGTAGTCTTTATAGCACTGTGAAAACTGACTAGTGATCAAAGGTATGGAGTAAGGTTGTCAGGTTAGTGCAGGGACTAGGTTTTATCTGAACCCTCGAACTCTCAAGTCACCGCTGTCCTCTATTTGTGGCTGACTTCTTAGCTCTATGATGGACCATACAGTCTGATCTCTACACAGCTGGTTCTTATAACAACCTGCCCCTAACTGCCAACTCCAGGCATAACCTCAGCCAGAACCACTAAAAACATTTTCTTTATTTTTTAATGCTTGATTTTAAAATAATTTCAGACTTACAAAAAGTTGTAAGAATAGTAAAAAGAATTCTCGTATACCTTTCAACCAAGATCCTCCAAATGTTAACATTTCATAAAACCACAGTAAAACTATTAAAAAAATTGATGTAATACTATTGTATAATCTGGAGATCTTATTCACATTTCTCCAATTGTCCCTCTAATATCTTTTTTCTGGTCCAGGTTTCAATTCAGGATAACATGTCACATTTATTTGTTATGTCTCTTATTTTCTTTTAATATGTGACAACCTGCTCCTCAGTCTTTGCCTTTCATGACCTTGACACTTCTGAGAGTACTGGCCAGTTATTTTGTGGAATATCCCTTAATTAGAGTTTGTCTAATGCTTCATAATTATTAAATTCAGGTTATGCATTTTGACAAGAACATCACAGAAGTGATGTTGTGTCCTTCTTTGTGCAACATATGAGGAGGCACATGAGATTGATTTATTCTACAACTGGCAATATTAACTCTGATAACTCGGTTAAGGTGGTGTCTCACAAGGTTCTCTACTGGAAAGTTACTATTTTCCCCTTTGTAATTAAAGAAGTATTTTATGGGGAGATACTTTGAGACCATGTAAATATCTTGTTTTTCATACTTGTACCCATTAGTTTTAGCATCCGCTGATAATTCTTGCCTGGAACAATTATTACTGTGGTATTTGTCAAATGATAATTTTCTATTTCCATCATTTCTTCTATACTTATTAATTAAAATTCTACTGCAAGGAATAGTTTTCCTTTCTCTCTCATTTATTTGTTTATTCAATTATTTATATAAATATGGATTAATGTATTTTATTTTATTCTATCCTATCTAATATAATCACCAATTGCTATGATTATTTCTTTTATTGTTGAAATTGTCCTGAGAGACAGGACTAGCTGGATTTCCTAGGCCCACTAAGAATTCCTAAGCCTAGCTGCAGAAGGTGACCGCACCCACCTTTAAACACGGGGCTTGTAACTCAGCTCACACCTGACCAATTAGGTAGTAAAGAGGGCTCACTAAAATACCAATTAGGCTAAAAGCAGGAGGTAAAGAAATAGTCAAATTATCTATCACCTGAGAGCATAGGGGGAGGGACAGTGATCGGGATATAAACCCAAGGCATTCAAGCTGGCAGTGGCAACCCCCTTTGGGTCCCCTCCCGTTGTATGGGAGCTCTGTTTTCACTCAATTAAATCTTGCAACTGCACACTCTCCTGGTCCGGGTTTGTTCCGGCTCAAGCTGAGCTTTTGCTCGCCATCCACCACTGCTGAACGCCGCAGTTGCAGACCTGCCGCTGACTTCCACCCCTCCGGATCCGGCAAGGTGCCTGCTGTGCTCCTGATCCAGTGAGGCGCCCACTGTGGCTCCTGATCAGGCTAGAGGCTCGCCATTGTTCCTGCACGGCTAAGTGCCCGGGTTCGTCCTAATCGAGCTGAACACTGGTTGCTGGGTTCCATTGTTCTCTTCGGTGACCCACGGCTTCTAATAGAACTATAACACTCACTGCATGGCCCAAGGTTCCATTTCTTGGAATCTGTGAGGCCAAGAACCCCAGGTCAGAGAACAAAAGACTTGCTGCCATCTTGGGAGCTGCCCGCCCCATCTTGGGAGCTCTAAGAAAAAAGACCCACCTATAACCGTCCCAGATTTGGCCAGTTGGTTCCTGTGCATTTTGACATGCCTCATCATTTTTCGAGCATTTATTTTTAGAAGCATAATATGGTCCAAGGTTATCTTTTACTTTCCTTTCTTTGTCTTGGAATCAGCCATTATTCCAAGGAGCCAAATTCCTTTTTATTGGAGAATGGTATTTAGAGATTAACATCTGGATGCTGTATCTGGTCATTCAACCAGAACAATTATCTCAATACAAGAGGGTTTTGTTAGGTGTCGCTGTTTTACATTTTTCATTCTTTCTTCTCAGTTATCTCTTTAGTATCAACTTATTTTTATGGCCTGTAAAGTATCAAGACATAAACTACTATTCTAATAGAAATTTCAGTATATATATATATTTTTACTTACTGTGTTTTAGCAAACATTTATTGAATATTTACTGTTCTAACAATTCATCTATTTACTTGTGAGTACCGACATTTATTGCTGCCACAGCTGAAAAGAGAACAGATTATGGATAATATAACTCTGATTATATACTTGTATGTTTTGGTGTGAATGTATCTATTCAGTTCCTTATCAACTGGTTAGCTGAGTCCATTTTCTTAAGCCACTGGTCAGTTTAGTGGAGCAAAAACCAGCTTGGCTAGCTGTTTGGCATTGTTAGATCTTAATTAACTACACTTTTTCATTTTTTGAACCGTTGTGCTGTTGTGTACATACAACTTTAGTTAAAAATTCAGTTTCCCAGTTGGTAATACATCTGCCAAGATGGTTGAATCATATCAAATCTCAGCAGAGCTGATACGCTGAAACATCCATTTCCCTGAGGGATATCATGGAGTTATATGCATAGTCAACAGGTAATTTATGAACTCTAAGGCCAAATCTTCCAGTGCAAAAGCTAATCTGTTCCATTTTGGTGAAGGATGTCTCTATTTCATTTTCTATGGATTCCTCATCAAAATCACTCTATACATCAAACAGAAGTACGGTGAGAAACCCTTGGAACATGATTCAATCATGTTGATTTAGTCAACAACTTCCCCAGGGCTAATGCAGTTAGAGTAATCATATAAATCAAAACACCTAATTCTTCTTATCTAGAATGTCAAAGACTTTTCTACATTGTGTTTGATGTAGTTGGTGCAAATATAAAGAAGGCAAAATGCAAGATTTCAAGAGAGATGTTAGGAGGAATTCTATATATTATCATAACAATGCACTTTCTTTGGTGTTGCTGTTGCCTCCAGCTAGTTCCTCAAAGGTGAGCAGTTTGTGAAATGATCAAACTTGGGTTGTTATAATAAAAGTAGTTACTGTTCAAGAGATACATCTGAATTGGATGTATACCAGACTTTACAATGGCACTGTCCTTCCAAAGGGAAGGACATCTACAGCAGGCTTGGAAAAGACACACAGATAGCTCTGTTACTTCTTGTGCATTTTGAATGACTCTTTCAACAGAACCATGCTTCTTATGTAGTTCTGTCCTTATAATCGAAAAAAATAAGACCCATTCAAGTCTTCCTCTCTAGCCTCTCAAGACATAACATGATACCATTTGGAAGCCAGTTGGGAGCATCATGTCTTCACCCAAGCCCCTGATGTAGAAGTCAACTTCCCTCATCCCAGCCCATGGAGACTCATCTTCTTATTGGCTCCTGCTGCCCAAACTGGTAGTCCTCAGCTCCAATTTCCCTTTGTAGATTAAGGTACTGTTGCCAGCATAAGAGGTATGGGGCAGGGGAAAACTTGTGACTGACCCAGATCAGCCTACTTGCCAATAGGGTGTATGATTCCTCAGTATTTCTTAAAAACAAATGAGCTGATGTTTGCCAGACACCTTCTCAGAACTCCTTACTGCCCCCCCCCACACATATGCTTCTACTTTGATTCTATGTGTGGTTGCTGCTTGTAATTGTCCTGGAGAATTCAAAAGGGGGTTCTGTAGATCAGTTCTTGCACCTAGAAACTAGCACTTATATTTCCCTCCTGTCTTGGGATTCTGTGTCCATATGATCCCCTAGCAGGACGTCCATTTCTTCAGTAAAGTGGCCATTTTCTGTAGGAGAAACGTGCCCATGTTCTGCCCTGAAGTACTAGACCATCTGTTGGGGAAATGCTGCCATGAGAAGATCTGTTGTGCCATGGACCTACTTTAGTGGTGAAGGAAAGGAACATGGCACAGGCTCACCTCAGGGCCTTTGCACTTGCAGTGCCCTCTGCCTAGAATGCTTTTTACTGAGATTGCTGCATGGCTGCTTCCCTTTTGCCACACATGTCTCAGCTTAAAGATCCTCTCCTCTGAGAGCCTTCTCTGACTACATGGGTACTGTCTTTTCCAACCCCAGTTTTATTTTCTTCACTGTACTTACCATTATCTGATATTTTGTTGGCTCATTTGTTTACTTGACACATGTGGCTAGAATGGGAGCCCCTTTAGAGCAGGGACCTTGCCCGTTTTGGTCACTAGCATTCCCAGGGTCAGTATAGGAATAACAAATCTGTCTTAGAACAAGTCTGCAATGCCTGTGTCAATTAATATCAACTTTACCTAGAAGAAACAAGTCTAGGCTGGTTGAGGTGGCTCATGTCTATAATCCCAGCACTTGGAGAGTCCAAAAGGGGAGAATTGCTTGAGGCCAGGAGTTTGAGACCAACCTGGGCAACATAGTGAGACCCCCATACCACCCCCGCCCCCCGCAAAAAAAAAAAAAAAAAATTAGCCAGGCATGGTGGCATGTGCCTGGAGGTGTGTGCCTGTAGTCCCAGTTACCCTGGAGGCTGAGGTGAGAGGATTGCTTAAGCCTAGGAGATGGCAGCTGCAGTGAGCCATGATGGTACCACTTCACTCCAGACTGGGTTACACAGTGAGACCCTGTCTCAAAAAACAAACAACAAAAAAATCCCTAGGTGCTTCTTTGTTGGCATGCTGCGGTTTCATATATGTCTCCAAATTGTAAATCTGCTCATTCCTATAGCTGTTTGTCTTCTGGAATCTCATTAACACGATCACCTTCTCTAGAGGTTAGAAAAGACGGATTTTGGTGGCAAGTGAAGAGTCATTTGCCTGTTGTAAGTAATTCCATAATGCAGGAGTGCAGATAGGGTTTGCCTTACTATGAAATTCCAGGGCTGGCTGCTGCTTCTGAGGGGACAAGGGGAGTCTGTGCTACTCGGCTGCCTCATCATGCAAGCTGGACTGAGGCCTGCCGTCTGACATCTCTCTCTCCCCACCCTAATTAATATCATGAAAGGGCCATGTTTATGCAAAACCACATGTCAAGAGGCCTTTTGCTCCTAATTTAAACTATTAAAATGCCATTAAGAATTGCACAGTACTGTTTTCCTTCATTATTTCTTGTTGAAGAACAACCATGTGGAAAGGAATGCATTTTGTTTCCATGCAAGTGGGGCTCGTTTTTCAGGACGGTTTATAGTGCCCATTGGCAGAATTTATAGTCCCCAACTCAACCCCTTTACCCAGAGATGGAGTTAGCAGATACAATTTCTGACAGCAAAAATAAGTATAATCAATACAAACATACCAAGGCATTTATTTTAGACATTTGGCTGAATAAATCATCATGGCCACCATGCCGGAGATTTCAACCACCTTCATTTCAACCATGGAACATTTTGGAGCCTGTGATATTTGTATTCTATTTGCTTGTTCCTTTTCAATAAAGCATCAGCATTTACTGTACCGTGGCAAGTACCTCATCAGAGGTTACATCTGCTGCCTGGATGCAAGGCTGGTTATCCAAAGACTCGTTCATATGTCACGGGAAACTTTTCATGAACATAGAGTCTACCCACAAGGCTTGTTATGTTTGAAATTTTGGGCCAATTTACATTTTTTGGAGATTAAAACACACGCAGTTTGATCTCAGCTTTGACCTTTTAAATTGCTACAAGTTAATCTTTGACTAAAAGCCTGGAGAGCGGGAATAATTATATTTTGTGAAAGAAGCAGGTTATGTGCACAGAGGGTGACCACAGTTATGGTAATGTGTCTCTTAGACAACGTTTTGATGCTAGAAATGGCATAAACAAAGAAAAACAGTATTTTCATGCATTTTTATTAAAAAACTGTACTTAGATTCTGGATGGCTGCTTTGCAAACAAGCTGCTCCTGGGTATTTTCCTTGGCCTGGCCTTCCTCCGTGTGAGTGATGGTGTTCCTCAGCAAATACTGCCCACGGCTGCTGTGGCAGGGTGCAAGGATGCGTCCCAGCTCTCGCTCTCCGCATGATTCATTTAGGGAGCCAGTGTGGTTCGTTAGATCTGAAGTCAGAGTCCCTTTAGGCAATGTCTTGCTGACCTTTGAAGAAGGAGCAATTTTTGGCTTCTCTGCCCTGTTAACTCCCCACAGCTGGGTGGAAGTTGCTCCTCTGGGACCCTCCAGCTGGAAGGGACAGAAATAATGGCTGAGCTTGCTCAATGTCACCACTGTGCTCAAGGTTTTGTTTCCATCAGCTCCTCATGCCCTGATGCCCACCCCTGAGGCATGACCAGTTACCCCCATTTTATTGTTAGGGGAACTGAAGGTATTCACCTGGTAGGTGGCAGAGGTGGGAGTTGGTTCCAGGTATGTCTAACCCAGAGCCCACGGCAGGTTCTGCCATTGTGACAGGCAGCCTGTCATCTAAGGGACCCAGAATGTCCTTTTATCCCACCATCTGTTCGATTGAGGAAATGAGCAGAAATTCTAGAAATCTCTAAGCCCCTTATGTCCAGGGGAATAAATTCTACAAAGAGAGTCTGATGTTTTCTCCCTGGGGATAAGAACCACCAAGGTATCACATAATGAAATCTCATGAGTTGTGACTATGAAGTAAATCAGCTGTTTTTTTTTTTTTTTTTTTTTTTTTTTTTTTTTTTTTTTTAAAACACATGTTGCTGTGGCATCCCCCAAAGTCACACCTGAGCTGATGGGCTTATTCCAATGGTGCTGCCAATGCCCACCATGTGTTTTCTCTTATTGCTTCATGTCCTGTGCTGGACCATGGAGCTTCTCTTAGAAATGGAGAAAAGAGCACAGACTTGGTGTCAAAAGATGATGGCTCAAACATGGGTTCCACAGATGACTAAATAAATGACCTCAGGCAATTTACTTAAACTCTGAGTCGTCACTTCCTCTAAATTGGAGATAATTATACTCTTGTCATCGTCTCCAATGATGGCCCAATCTTAAACCTTTGAGGCTGGGTTTGATGTTTTGGAAGAGAGCTAAAAACCCTTTGCAGAAAAGAGCTGTTGGATGAGGTGAGAGGTCTGTCTGCGAGAAGTTGGGCTGATAAGATGTGACTACTGAGTCACGATCTTCCTTTCCTCTTGAGATTTGCGAAGTGACTCTGTAATCCCAGTACTTTGGGAGGCCGAGGTGGGAGGATTGCTTGAGGCCAGGCGTTTGAGAGCAGCCTGGGTAACATAGCGAGACCTAATCTCTACAAAAAAATAAAAAAGTTAACAAGGCATGGTGGTGTGTGCCTGTAGTTCCAGCTACTTGAGAGGCTGAGGTGGGAGGATTGTTTGACCCTGAGAGGTTGGGACTGCAGTGAGCCATGTTTGCACCACTGCACTCCAGCCTGGGTGACACAATGGGACCCTGTCTCCAAACAAACACACAAGGCCAGGCACAGTGACTCATGCCTGTAATCCCAGCACTTTGGGAGGCTGAGGTAGGTGGATCACTTTGAGGTCAGGAATTCGAGACCAGCCTGGCCAACATGGCAAAACCCTGTCTCTACTGAAAATACAAAAATTAGCCAGGTGTGGTGGCGGGCGCCTGTAATCCCAGCTACTCAGGAGGCTGAGGATCTTTATTTTCTTTAAGTCCATGGTTGAATGTTTATTGCCTCTTAAGTTTTCTTTTCTTTATGAGGACCTGAGTACTGGATAGGTACTTAATCTATCTACGATATGGTGAAACTTGGTGAATGGGAACACTGACTCCCACTTACTCCTTGTGGTACAACCTTAGACAGTTCACTGAAATTCTTGATGCTTTTTTCTCTTTCAAAAATGGGAAAAATGTTACCTTCCTTACAGGGTAAAGGATTAAAAATAATGCATGGAAAGCATTCAGCACACTGCTGGCATGAAGTAGGTACCCAATAAACGGTAACTAATGGGACTGGCAAAATTACATCTGTTGTTATTGAAATTCCTTGAGCAAAAAAGGTAACCATTTTTCATAGTTGGCTTTAAAATGTATGTTATTTCCAACAAACTATAACTTTTGCAAGAAATTAAGGACTTTAATGCATTTAAAAATCTTTATCAGTGCCTGTTTTGTGCCCAATTAATGAAGCTTTGAAGGAGATCTGAGGTCAGGACAAGTGGTAGGAGAGTGAGGTCAGAGAAAGGAGAAAAAGATTAATAGGTAAACATAACTGCAGAACTGGAGAACTATAATAAGTTCCTATGTTAATGTGTCAGGAAGAGTAGACGGCTGCAATCCAACCCATTGTGTTGTGGAAACTTCCACAATATGGATGCAGAATAACACAGTGGCTAACATCACAGCGCTGGAGCCACTGTCTGAATTTGAACCCCAGCTCTGTGATTTACTGTACAATCTTAACCTCTTTAAGCCTCAATGTTTTCATCTGAAAAACAGGATGACAGCATTTGACTTATATGATTGCTGTAAGGTTTAAATGAATTAAAATGGTCAAAGCATTTTGAATCATGCCTAATAATAACTCAACAAATGTTTGCTTAAAAAATCATTGAACTGACATACATTTAGCATCTTCTGTATGCCAGGCACTGCTCTGGGCACAGGAGAGTACTGGCAGAGCACCTGCTGTCATCGAGCTTTTAGACACGTAAGAAATACATGTATAGAAGCACCATGAAGGAAAATAAATGAGGACAAGGAAGCATCGAATGTGTTAGGGAAGGTGGCCAGGGATGGCCTTCTGAGAAAGTGACATTTAACTTGATGTATGATAAATGCTGGGTGATCTTAGAGCCTGTATCAACAGTTGGAGGTAGAGAAAGACTAACTTTGATAGCATTTCAGACCTGTGATACAGTCCTGTGGCCAGGAACTCCAAGAGCTATTATGTTGTTCCATAACCATTCCTTTGAATGGAACTGGAAATTGGGTAATTATGGGATCAAATAATCACAAGTGGTAGGCTATGGGCAGCTGAGGAGAAAACTTAAATTAGCTGCACATCCCACATTTTAAGGAGCGTTATTTGCCTGTTCTCTGCACCAAATAATTCCAACTCTGCTTAGATCCATTTTATAGGTTTGAAAAACTGAACTACTGACAAATCTAACCCACATACAAACATATGAGCATTATACATTTGTATAATACATTAACATAAAGTGCCCGTGTTCTTCACACAGCTGTCCTGTAGATGACAACACTTGCACTGAATGGCAGGCTCGTTGTTTTGGCTGCTGCTTGTAGTTGTGTGTGGTATGGTCAGCTCAGCTGTTGTGGTGGACTTGCCAGTTGTCTCTCCAATATATATTTTCACTTTAGTAATAGAATGGTGATTTTGTTAAGGGTTGGCAGTATGTCCAGCTAAAAGGGTACACCTCTCAGACTCTTTCATAGCTAAGAGTAGCCATGCGACAACATTCTGATCACTGAGTTGTAAGTAGAATGCTTCTAAGGGATTTTTGGAAAATTATTTGCATTCTGAATACAAATGTTACGCCTTTCAATTTCTTTCTTTTCTTCTTGCCTGGATGTACATGTGATGACTGAAGGTGCAGCAGCTATTTTGGAAACATGAAGCAGTAAGCACGAGGATGGAGGCCTAAAATACAAGGCTTGTGGTGCAGAAAGAAGAGCAGAGCTGGAGCCCTGCTGTCAGTTAAGTCTCTGAGCTGTTGCTAAGACTGCTGAACCCCAGACTGCTGCTTGCATAAGACCAATACGTATACATTCTTGTCTATTTAAGGCCCTAGAAGTCAGGTTTTCTGTTATTTGTAGCAGAATACATTTCTAACTGATACAAATAGCTTCCGTAACAATGGGCTAGTGAATGCATATACATTTCTCCTTTTTGAAATGGGCACTAGATTTTATGTGAAAACAGAGGATGTATGAGCAGATAATGAAAACAATATACAGTCTAGTTCTCTGTAGAATTGGCCTTTCTAGCTACAGCTTTGTCTTAAATTATGGCATCTAGTCTCCTATATCTTTTGTTTCTTAAAAAATTTAAACTGAAGCAATCTATTGTGAGGAAGCAGATGGGCCACTTGTGTCTCTAGATCTGGCTGGGCTTAGTTCTGCTCTTACTTGGCCTGATTTCTTGTCCTGGCTTTTTTTTTTTTCTTGGTCACACCCTCCAGTTTCTTCCTGGCTCTATTTGTCATACAAATCAAATACTACTCTCTCTGTAACTGTGATTTCAGAGCAGTTCTTGCTCCATCATTTTGGCCAAAAGTGATTTGATCTAAAGCTGTGAAAATGACCAGAGAGAGACCATCTGCAGTACTATTTGCTTGTTCCTGGCCCTTCAGAAAAAAGTTCTTGATCAATGCATCCCAAGGTAATTGTTGTTTCTCACCCGAACCCTTCTGGCTTCAGTCCTCAGTTTACGGGAGGAAGAAAAGGGGCAGGGTTTTAGGCAGTTGCAGCCTGGAGTTTGACGCTCCCCTGCGCATCCCTCGGTGTAGCTTGGCAAGAGCAATGGAAACAGCACACGCACATCCTTTAGCCATCAGCAAACAAGAACTCTATGTCTGCCAAGATGTGACGGAGCATTCAGGCTCCTCTTTGCTGTGTCCACATCTGCTAGAGATTTCCCAGAGAAAAGAAATTTGGATATTTCTTCACCCAAAGTGGTGATGGTCTTATGGAGAGAGCATGGGTGAAATGGAGAAGTGAATATGGTAGTCATGAACTGCTCCTGCACCTGGGAAATAATCTCCCTCTGAGTTCTTCCTCTTCTAATAAACATACAACTACATCCTAAATCAAGAAGTGCCAGTACTGCATACCTACAAATACCAAAAGTGGTAAAAATGTTAAAATGAAATGGACCTCTCTGAAGCCCTGCCACCGTCCCATGTGCTCTGGCAACCACTGCCTGCTGCAGGAGAGATCATCACCTAAACTCCTTTTTGTGAAAAAGAGATCTTTCCCCCCCAGTCTCCAGTTTCATTTTCCTCACCGCTTTGTCCTTGTGTTATTTATGGGACAAGGCCCAGGAGTGAGTTGCTGAGGTACTTTTCTGCATATGCTTCATAAGTTTTATGAACCTCCATTGAATTTGCTTTTTTGTCTCCCCAGTCTAGGCTGAATAACTCCTTTCTGGAATAGAACCCATCAGCCAGCTGAAGGCAGTGCATATGAAACTCCAGTCCTCCAGCCAGCCAGCCTAGAGCCCTCTCAGTCATTGATTTACTTCATTTCCTGACACGAGGGGGCACCTGAAATTGGGCACCCTGCTTCAGCTGAGGCGAGTAGAAGAGGGCATTTGTTGTCTCCTCTGCTTCTCAGCTCGTGAATGCTGCTGCTCACTCCCTCTTCAGAAGTCAGGCGGCCTCTTCTCTGGGGAGCATCCCTCCCTTACACACTTTGCAAAGTGCTAAGCTAACTCGAAGCACTCAAAAATCAGAAGCAAATCCATTTGCTAAACCCAAGCAAATGGAAAGGCAGGTTGGGGCTCTTGTTTACGAATCAGGCAAAATATGGAGTTGAACTATCCAAGTGTGGTTGCCGTTTGTCACTGAGCACTCTTCTTATTTAATGGAAATGTTACATTGTTGGGAGAGTTTTAGAGAGAGGTAGGTCCCAGAGACCCTTGATAAAACCAAAGAGAGGGGCAGATACATCTTATTCTTTACTCTTTATTTGCTTGGAAAATAAGATGCTTGCATTAAGATTTGGCATTTTCAGGGAGTCATGCAAGGATGCAGGGTCTGCTGGAGGTTAGTTGCAGAAGGCAGAGCCGTGTGGCATTGGCTCTGCTGGTGATGACCTCATAACACCCTGCGTGGGAACTTGGCTGTGCTCATGGCAGCCCAGCTTCCCATTCTCTGCCTGTTTTCAAAGCCTAGATCTTTAGTCTTGCAAACAATTCCAAAAGTGTGCATATCCTTTCAATATACCCCCTTTGGTACAGACTACTACCTTTTCTGGCACACCAAAGAAAAATTAAATTCCCTCCTCCCTCCTGCCCCAGTCCTCTAGAGCAAAATCATGAGAAACTGGCCTGCTGTTCCATTTCAGCCATCATCTTACCTGAGATGGACACTGGTTCATTTCTCATGTGATAGGAATGTCAGTACTCCTTCAGCCCCATCATGATCTGAATTAAGTGCAGGTTTGTTTTCTTTAATGCGTTTGAGGGAGGAGTTTGAAGGAGGTGACCAGTTACTGATGTTTTTACCACACAAGTAATACATGAATGCATGCTTCTCATGAAAGACTCCAACAAGGCAGGAATATTCAGGGGAAAACATGATAGACTCGTCCACTGCAGGCCCCCATCACTCTTGCTTTACTCCAAGGGGCAAGCACTATGAACACTGCTTTGCATTTGTATAGTCTGTACACATTTAAAACACATAAATGGGAATACTATGAATTTTGCTTTGTGACTTGTTTTTTCAATGAACAATTTGGGATAACTTTCCATAAAGGTTCAATATATTCTTCTAATGACTGCATAATATTTTTATACTATATTTTATTTAATCTCTTCCATTTGAGAGTTCCTAATTTTTCATTAGTAGAAAAAATATTCCCATGAACACCTTGTATATTTATGTTCATATGTCAATTTTTTTCTAGAATACATTTTTCTAAAAATTGAGTTTTTTCTAGAATGCGATTACTGAATCAAATATAATACATGTTTATAGTTTTGATAGATGTCATCCAACAGCTTTCCAAAAAGTCTTCACCAATTTACAATCCCTCTAACAGAATGGCCTAGAGTTCAGTCCTGCAGCCCTTTCAATGACTTTATAGGCATTTAACATTTCTGCTTAAAATTGGCAAAGTGGTTTTGATTTCCTGCAACAGAACTCTGCTCAAGATACCGTGCTATGATCTTATGATTCCTTTGCTTAAAACACTTCTGTGACTACCAAACACAGATCAAACTAAAGCATTATATGCTTACCTTGAGCTCCATCTTTACTTAAGGATCCACCACAGCTGCTCTTGCCTCTGCCATCAAGAATGACTCAGCCGCCTGCTGGGTATGAGGGCTCACGCCTGTAATCCCAGCACTTTGGGAGGTTGAGGCAGGCGAATCACTTGAGCCCAGGAGTTCAAGACCAGCCTGGGCAACATGGTGAAACCCTGTCTCTACAAAAATACAAAAATTAGCCAGGCATGGTGGCACATGCTTATAGTCCCAGCTAGTTAGGAGGCCGAGGTAGGAGGATTGCTTGAGCCTGGGAGGTCGAGGTTGCAGTGAGCTATGACGGTGCTGCAGCTCTCCAGCCTGGGTGATGGAGTGAGACCCGGTTTAAAAAAAAAGAGAAAAGAATCCCTCAGCCTGCCTTTCAGGTTTTCCAGAATTTGGCTCCATTCCCCGTTAGTCAGTATGGTTCCCCTGGTTCCTCACATCTATTCCATGCTCCAAATGAATGTGTCTCCCACTGATCTGCTGTATCTGCAATGTGGAACTATCTGGTACCCACCCAGATATACTTGTATCTTCAGGTCTCTGCCTCTTCCTGTCCTAGGCTCAATTGCCTCTCTCAGCCCCAAACTTTTCCTTTTTTTCTTTTTTCCTCTTTTTTTTTTTTTTTTTTGAGATGGGGTCTCGCTCTGTTGCCCAGGCTGGAGTACAGTGGATCACTGTAGCCTCTGCCTTCTGGGTTCAAGTGATTCTCCTGCCTCAGCCTCCTGAGTAGCTGGGATTACAGGTGTCCACCACCAGGCCTGGCTAATTTTTTGTATTTTTTAGTAGAGACGGGGTTTCACCATGTTGGCTAGGCTGGTCTCGAATGCCTGACCTCAGGTGATCCACTCACCTTGGCCTCCCAAAGTGTTGGGATTACAGGTGTGAGCCACCGCACCCGACCACCCCCAACATTTTCTTATCTGTGCACACCAAGCTCAGTACAGCCCCACTCCTTTGAAGGCTGCCCCGGGGATGCCAGCTCACATTTCTCTACTTTTGTGTGTGCTGTGCTCTGCTGCACACTGTCCCACTCGCTACTGGATCTTAGCACTTGCTTGTAATAGAATGTAAAGCTATTATTTGATAATTATTTAACATATGTGTACATTTTGTCCCAATTTAGAATGTAAGGCCCTTATGTGAAAGGTACCATATCTCGTTTTCCCTTTGTAGTCTTAAATGTTTAAAACAAGAGAAAAGAAAGGATATTTATTAAATACCTGCCATGGATTAAGTGCTTTTTTAACCATGACCTTATTTAATATTCACAACAATCCTGGAAAGATATTTTCATATTTCAGAGATATTAAACAACTTTGCCCTGAGAAATCCCCAAAGCTGAAATTCAGAATTGACTCAGTCCAGTGCCATAGTGCTTCTTTAATGTGATGTCTGGCCAGTTGCCCTCTAGGACTTTATATACCAGAGTGGCAGAGGTGGTGGACACTTACTATGGGTAATTAACTAATGAAAAGTGAAAGTATGCCTTATTTGCCTAGAAAGATATTTCAGGACTCCCAATGTATTTACTCTGTATGCTTTTATTTTCCTTCAGATATTAAAAAACTTATTTTGAGATCATTTATGATTTACAGAGGAGTTACAAAAATAGTGCGGGGTTCCCATATACTCTTTACCAAGCTTCCTCTAGCATTAAAATCTTAAATAACTACAGTATAATTATGAAAACTAAGAGATGAACACTGGTATAATACTATTAACTAAACTATAGGCTTTATTAGAATTTTCCCAGTTTTTGTTTTTTTTACTAAGTGTCTATTTCTATTTCAAAATCCAATGCATCATACTCAGTCACTCTCACCACTTCTATTTAACACAGGACTGGAAGTCCTACAGCAATTAGGCAAGCTAGAACAACTAGGCAAGAAAAAGAAATGAAAGGCATTCAAATTGGAAAGGAAGAAGTAAAATTATCTCTGTTCACAGATGACGTAAACTTACAGGTAGAAAATTCTAAAGATTGCACAAGTAAACTGTTAAGTAATAAATGAATCGTGCAAACTTGCAGGTTACAAAATCACCACACCAAGAAAACAGCTGCATTTTTATAGACTAGCAATGAACGATCTGAAAGGACCGTTTACATTAACATCAAAGAGAATAAAATAGTAGGAATACACTTAACCAAGAGGGTAAAAGATTTGAACACTAAAAACTACAAAACATTGCTGAAAGAAATCAAAGAAGATGTAAATAAATGGAAAGATATCCCATGTTAATTAATTGGAAGACTTAATATTGTTAAGATGCCCATACTACCCAAAGTGATCTATGCATTCAAAACAATCCCTATCAAAATCTCAATGGCACTTTCTTTACAGAAATAAAAAAAATTCCAAAATTTATATAGAACCACAAAAGACCATGAGTAGCGAAGTCAATCTTGAAAAAGAACAATAAAGCTGGAGGTATCAGCTTTTGGAAATATTTCCTGATACTTTAAAATCAGGAAATACTCCTTATGCCACGCACAAAATTTTGAAATCATGAAATACTTCTTACACCCTGCACAAAAGTTAACTCAAAATGGATTGAAGACTTAAACATAAGAGCTAAAACTATAAAACTCTTAGAAGAAAACACACGAGAAAAGCTTAGTGACTGGATTTAGCAATGATTTCTTGGATATTATGCCAAAAAATAGATAAATTGGATTTCATCAAAATTAATTTTTTGTGCATCAAAGGATACTATCTAGAAGATAAAGGCAACCTACAAAATGGGAGAAAACTTTTGTAAATCATATACTGGTAAGAGATTAATATCCAGGATATTTAAAGAACTCCAAAAACTTAGTAAAAACCACCACAACAAAGCAGTTCAATTAAACATGAGCAAATGACTTGATACTGATATTTCTTCAAGGGAGATATACAAATGGCCAAGAAGTACATGAAAAAACACTCAACATCAGAAATCATTAGGGAAATGCAAATTGAAACCTCAATGAGGTACCACATCACGCCTCTTAGGATGGCTATTATCCTCAAAACAGAAAACAAGTGTTGGTGAGAATATGGAGAAATTAGAACCCTTGCGTATTGCCTTAGGGAGTATAAAATGGTGCAGTCACTGTGGAAGACAATATGGCAGTCCCTAAAAAAAGTGAAATGTAAAACTACCAGATGATCCAGCAATTCCACTTTTATGTATATACCCCAAAGAATCAAAAGCAGAGACTTGGTCAGACATTTGTACTGTAAAGTCCATAGCAACATTATTCACAATAGCCAAAAGGTGGTGGAAGAAGCTCAAATGCCTATTAATGGATGAATGGATAAACAAAATGTGGCATATGCATACAATGGAATATTATACAACCTTAAGGAATGAAGTTTTTATGCATGCTGCAACATGGATGAACCTTGAAAACATTATGCAAAGTGAAATAAGCCAGACACAAAAGGATAAATGTTACGTGATCCCACTTATATGAAGTATCTAGAATAGTCAAGTTCATAGAGGAATGAAAGTAGACTGGTGGTTACTAGGAGCTGGATGGAGGGGACAATGGGGAGTTATTGTTCAAAGGGCATGAACATTTCAGTTCAGAAGGATAGAAAAATTCTGGAGGTAGATGGTGATGGTTGCATAACGATGTGAATGTACTTAATATCATTGCATTGTACACCTAAAAAGGATTAAGATGGTAAGTTTTATGTTATGTATATTTTGCCAGAATAAAATAAAATAGCCATAAGTTCACACTGCTATCTCTGGCTCCAATCCAGCCCCACAGGGTTTATTCTAGCCATCTCCCTTTCTTTATTGATAACTTCTTTCTCTAACAGAAAGAAACTTGGTTTTCATTATCTATAATATGTTTACTTATAATGTTCAACACTAGCACACAAAGTAGTTTCAGAATTGCTAACTTAGCACGCTTGTGAGAAACAAATTTACCAACTAGAGTACAGTATTTATGTACATTCTTTTTGTCTTTAGCCTTATAGTGTCCAGTCAAGATACTGTTTTCCAAAGTGACTTAGTTCAGATCCTTTCTTCCTCACCTTCTTCAATGTAGTTATGTCATTCATTTGTAATTCAGTTAAGTTCATTTGTCACAGTGCTTACTGGACAGCCAATGAGGTCATGCATTTGGAGTGCCTAATGCACTACCTGGCATGGAGAAGGGCCTTAAGAAATATGAGCTGAACCTGAATTTGTGGCACTGATTAGTGCTGTCCATCAACCTCATTACTTTGGCTCCATGAAATGTCAAAAGAGCTTTGACCAGGTTTCAAGTGTCTGTGACTCAGAACTAAGGTAACTGGCCCACAAGAATCAAGTCAGAAGTGCTGCCCTCATTAGCATCATGTTCTAGACAGCTGAGCCACTTATCATAGGACAACAAATCTGGGGGTTTAAATGGTGAATAACAGTGAAAGATGTGAATCATGCAAGGGACAGAAGATTTCAGGGGTGTAGAACTGTGCAGAAACCCAATGCAATCAGAGCTGATTCCCTCATGTCCTTGTCTCCTGAAATAGCCCACAGTTCTCCACACATTAGCTCTTCCACATTAGTCACCTCTTGATTTCTGTAGTGGATTCTGATGCAGTTCACCAGTGCCAAATGATGCATCTCCCTGGTCACTTGAAATTCAGTTAGGATTTTTTTTGGTTGCAGGCAACAGGAACCAATCCTAGCTAACGTAAGAGAAAAAGAAATGTGCTGGAGGCTATGAGGCAGCTCACAGAATTAAAGGAGCAGCTGTTGGATCTTGTTTCGGGACAACAGTGACTGGGGAAACCCCAGGAAGCACAGTAACAGGAACCAGCCATCACTGTGTCCAGGGCATGGCTGCTAGGATGAGTCAAGTCCAGAAACTTCTTTATGTGTCTCTCCCCTCAAGATTCAATTCTTGAGGGTTTCCCTTGGCCATAGCCTGGGTCACATGCTCATCTTTGGTGGGAAGGCAGAACACCTTGAATAGAGAGTCCCCAGTGGGAGCAGGTGGTAAACCCCAAACAGCAGATGTTCACTACATTCTATGAGGTACTCATCTTCCTCCCATTTAATGTGAGAAATAAGTTAATTTATCAATAAAACAACAAAACAATAGACTCCCCTTTTCCATGTTTCCTACAAGTATTCCAATCCTCACTGCCAGGGCTGTTATGAGCAGGTGGGGTTGGCTTTGCTGTTGTCTGAGTGGTGTTCTGGGCCATCCTTCAGGGCAGTACAAAACCTATGGTCAGGACAGGTCCCTCAGACATTTATCCCAGCTCTTTTCAACCAGCCCTCTGCTATAGGGCTTGGGTGTTGGTTTGAAGCACTAGGATTTTCCCAATTTCACATTTTATGAAAACCTCAAATAACATCCAACTAGAAATTAGGTTGGGTATGAGAGTCAGTTTAATCTAATACCAAGCTTAAGAGCATAAGCTTTGTAAGTAGAATGACTGGAGTTCAAATCCTGATGTGACCACACACTGGCTATATATTCTTTGATGTTATTTAACTTCTTTAAGGCTCAGTTGCCTAATCTGTAAAATATGGAGAGGGTCTAGCAGAGTCAGAGGTAGGAGCAATGGGTTTAGATACTTGGGTTGATTCTCTGGTGCACACTCATTAGCTATATGATCGTGGGCAAGTTACTTAGTGTCTTTTCATCTTTTCCTTATCAGTAAAATGGGATAATGGTAGTACCTTCTTCCAAGATTTGATCTGAGAACTAAATGAAATAATGTGCATAAGTTGCCAGTGTTGTTATTAACACTGAGTTTTCTGGAGGATTACATGAGCTCCTGTATGTGAGGTGCTTGTCGTAAGTCCTTCCTTGCTAGGGCAAGACCTTAGTAAATGGTGGCCACTGATATTGTGTGGCTTCATAGCTGTTTGTGAATTTCCTGTTTTTCCTTACATTGGTAAGGAAAAACAAAATTACATTGGTGTGGGTAATTGAGTTGCTGTGCATGTACATATATATTTTAAGCAAATTTCTTCATATCTGGTAGGAGATTCCCCATTGCTGTTGTTTTCTTCAGATAATTCTAAAAGATTGCAAAGACCTGAGGAGACTTTTAGAAAAATGTTTATAGACTGATTTGATTTGACAATCAAACTGCTTCTTGAGTTTCTGAAATGGTGAGACTTGTCCTTCCCTGCAAGACTCTTTTCATTTTTACAAGGTAGAGCTGAGAATGTATTCTCATAATTTAGCTGAAGGAAACAACAGACAGCCCTTTTTTGAAAAAGTCCGAGTTCTTTGTCCCTGGTTTCCCAACAGATTTGCTGAATTCTCCACTTAACTTTGCTTGTGGAAACAGAAATTCTTGACTGTGTCCTGGTACTAGGGGTCACCCACGGATCCCACGAACAGGATTTGGAAGCTCACCTTCTCATTGGCTGTGGAATCAGGAGGGTTTCTCTTCATAGAACCTGGATTTCATATCTATGTCACACACTCTGCCATTTGGCTTTTTAATTCCTTCTGAGTCGCCGGATGCTGCTGTCCGTCCTCACCCCTGTGTTTCTCTATAGGATACCTAACCTCTCCCCGGGGGACTTCGGTCTCTCACGACCGCCCCATGATTTCCTGCTGATGGTGTCCTTGGGAGGGAAACTGCTCTAAGGGACAAGCTGTTTTGCAGAATTACTTTAACCTCTCAGTCACTGTGTTACCCTCTCGGTGGGCCCCAGGCCTGTGGCTTTCCGGGCTCCCAGACATTCCTGTCCTCCAAGGGCTCTGCTTCTCAGCTGCATTTCCTGGGGTTCTTTGAGCTTCCAGTGTGGACCTCCCCGCCCACAGCTCAGCTCTATAACCTTACATCTTCTGGGAAGATTTGCTTTTTAATTATTCAGAACGACATCTTCAGGACTCCTTAGAAGCTGCCTTGTCTGACAGTGCTTCATGATTCACTCCTCAGTTTCTTTTGTAATTCCTGTGTGTCCAGTAGTTCATACACATTTCATATTTATGACAAAGCTATGGTTTTCTGGCAAATTTAGTTTACAAAGCAGCTCACACACACTGTCTCCACTGACCCTCATAAGACAGGTGTGAAGCAGGCTGAGCAGAGCTGTGGCTTAGGTGAGGGTCCAGATTCTAAATATAGTATATAAGGTGAAAATGGCACATGTCCAGAATTACCTTGGAAAATACTGAAATCATCTCTAAAATGTAGCATCCTTGGTTAGGGTATACAACTCTGTGTGGTCATATGTATATATAATTGTATATGTATATATATATATATATATTTTTTTTTTTGGAGACAGAGTTTCGCTCTTGTCACCCAGGCTGGAGTGCAGTGGCGTGATATTGGCTCACTGCAACCTCTACCTCTTGGATTCAAATGATTCTCCTGCCTCAGCTTCTCAAGTAGCTGGGATTACAGGTGCCCACCACCACCCCCAGCTAATTTTTGTATTTTTAGTAGAGATGGGGTTTCATCATATTGATCAGGCTGATCTTGATCTCCTGACCTTGAGTGATCCACCTGCCTTGGCCTCCCAAAGTGTTGGGATTACAGGCGTGAGCCACTGCACCCAGCCATATATTGTTAAATATAGCAGAGACTCAAAGTACTTATGTACTTTGATTATACCATTTTAATTGTTAAAATTATTATTCTTATTGCTTAACCCATGTAGTTGGAATTGTCTAAGAAGGGCATGATGTGCATCTTCTAGGTAACAACCCCTTTTTGAAGGAGGAACCTGGAGTGTGGATGGCTTAAGGGACCAGTGCACAGCTCTGCAATGTGGAGTGGAGCCTTGAACTCATGCCTTCTGACTCTGATCCTGGTATTCTTTTTTTTTCTTCTCTTGCTGCCTTACTGTGGCTGAAGGGGATTTAACTATTATTTTCAAACATTCCTTTTACTTAACCATTCATTGTCCATTTCCTTACTTTCCAAGTTTTATATAGGGAAATTTTCCCACTAAAATGCTGCCAATTTTTCAAAATAAGTCCAGTGTTAGACTTCTGTCCTGAATGCCTCTAAATAGTAAACTGTCTATGAGCTTTAGGAAATGTTGTGTTGGTGAAAACCCATCTCTACTAAAAATACAAAATATTAGTCGGGCGTGGTGGCATGTGCCTGTAGTCCCAGCTACTCGGGAGGTTGAAGCCAGAGAATCGCTTGAACCTGGGAGGTGGAGGTTGCAGTGAGTAGAGATCGCGCCACTGCATTCCAGCCTGGAAGACAGAGCGAAACTCCATCTCAAAAAAAAAAAAAAAAAAAAAAAAAAAAGAAAAAGAAAAAAAAAGAAAGAAAAGGAAATGTGTTGTGGGGGAAAAGTCATTGTATTTGTCAAAATATAACTTTAGTTTTGCTTATGAACTATTTGGCAGTTTGAAAGCTTCTTGAAATTCATTCCCTTGGGTTTCAAAAATCCACCATTCTTCTGCTAATCTGTAGTATCACCTGGCTATCCAAATAGCTGGGGGCATAAACCCATCTGAACACTTGGGGACTGGGGCAATGAAGGGACTGTCCTCTTGTCTTTGGAAATCCTTTTCTGCATCTGTGCCTGAGAGAGCAGCAACTGTCTTCATTTCTGGGTGAACTGAGTCTGGATCTGGTGAGACTTAACCTAAAAGTTAAAGTACCTTGAACAGGGTAGGAGGGGCACAAGACTCACTGTTCAAATGAACATTCACTTTCCCATTCAGAAAAAGAATTTATTGAGCACCTACTGTGTACCCAGCACTGTGCTTGGTGATAGGGAAGACAGAAATTTAAAACCTGGCTTGGCTAACTTCAAAACAATATTGTTGAAAAGGGGAGAAAAAGTTTTGGGAGTTGACATAGGAATCAATTAGAAAATGATGCAAGTCGCTATAATGACCACCATCACCGTAGCTAAATGCAAAGTCCGAGTGGAACTGGAATTTAGAAAAATGAGACAGAGGAAGATGAGATATGTTAGGGAAGTCCTCCTGGGTCTTTGAAGGCTGAAGGCTATAGAGTATAATGTCTGAAAGGATGGCCTTGATATACAGTAAGACTTGAGTATGAATCACACGCCTCATTTTAGAAGTTGTGTGACATTTGTAAGTCACTTCATCTTTCTGAGCTTCAGTTTCTCAGTATCTAAAAGAGGGGAAAGACACTACAGGGTTGCTGTAAAGATTAAGTAGGAAAGCATGGATTGATGGAGGTGCCAAGTTAGTTCAATGGGAGAAAATATGGTCTTTTCAACAAATGGTGCTGTGTATTTTATTGTGTGTAAATTATTCCTAAATAAAAAAAGACAGCGTGGGAAAGTACACAGTACATGGTACCTCCTCATTAATAGTGGCTGTGGGTAATACAGGCATGAACAACAACACTAGGCATTTTAGTTTTGACCTCCTACCCCATTAAGCCAGTGGCTCTGTCAACCATCTCTTTTGCCTGTCAGGGTCCTATGGGACTCACACAGGACTCTGGCCAGATGCTGTGATGTTCTCATTCTCTTACCCCCAATGATGCACTTTGCCCAGACAGTCTTTCTGGATAATTGTTCAGGAATCAAATCTTTCTCTCTCATCTAGATATACATGCACATAATATGGATGTTCCTTCCTTCCTTCCTTCTCTCCCTCCCTTCTTCCTGTTTATCTATCATCTTTATCCTATCTCATTCCAAAGCCAGTTTAATGTGGCTTATAAAAATATGCCAGCCTTTAGACAAATTAGTATAGGAAACAAATATAAAACCAAAACTACAAAGAAAGAGACATCAGTTGGTCCTGAACCCTTGCTATAGGCAGGCAACGGATTTGGCTCTGAGCTTCCTTGCCATAGCAACAAAAAAAGGAAATGTGATTAGTTGCTAAACAGACCACAGAGCAGATTCGCTTTATCCCAAAGTAGCATCTTGAACTGGTATCTGTTATTCAGAGCTCCAGGTTTCCAGTTTGTTTGCCTGAGTGGTGGATTAGTGTAAGGAGAGAAGAAACTGGAGGTTTTTTTGTGTTTGGCTCAGTTTTCCTGGCAGGGACACACTAAGAGTTTCCTTCTGGAAGTGAATGGTGCTGGGGTTCTCCCTCCAGCAGAGACAGCATTATTTGTATTCTGAGCCTCTGTTGTCATCCGCTGTGTGGATTAGCTACCTCACTGCACAGTTCATCCTCATGCTGTTTTTCTGAGATCTCAGTTTTGATGTTGACACCTTTCCTTGAGTTATATTCTGGCGAGACAAGCTTGTCACTGAATGGCCGATCCCAGCAGAGGTCTTTTTCATTCTTCTTGGCTGTTTTTCTTTGATTATGGTAGACATACTTATTCCCTTCCCCTTCTCAGAGTTATTTTAGACTTTGAAACCTCCTCTTAGGGTTTTAACTGGCACTATCAAGCACATAGATGGAGGCACATTTTAGATAGAGAGTCCTTTCCTAGTGACCCTTTTAAGAGTGAGCTTCCTAAGTGTAGGCACTTGCTGGTCTTGCAATATATTATAGATCCATCTTCTGCTTGCCTTAAAGAGTCACTTCCCTTAAGAGTCTGCCATTTGGTAGCTGGAAATGAGATTTTCAGAGAGTTCAATGGAATTAAATCTTGACCTCCAAGAAAGGGCAGCTTGTAGTATTAAGGACACTGAGGATCAAGCCTGGGTTTTGGGGGAAATGGATTCCAGACTAACTTCTGGATGTTAGGCAGTAAGAGAACCTTTCTGGGCCTGCTTTCCTTATAGTGCAATGGAGGAAGTAATTTCAGAAGACTGATGTGAAGGCCAAACAAGATGTAAAACTTGACGGTGCTTTGAAAATCCCAGGGTTTTAAATTGTAAGTATGTAAGGGAGAAGACAAGAGAGAAATATTTTCTAAATTTGAGCACCAGCGTTGAATTTATAGTAAAAATGCAAAACATTTACTGGAGACCTATGCGAAGTAAGTGTGTGTGTGTGTGTGTGTGCGCGCGTGTGTGTGCGCGCGTGTGTGTGTGTGTGTGTGTGTGTGTGTGTGTGTGAAGATTTTTGGGGCCAGAATTTTTCCTTTAATCTTTCTTTCTCCAAATACTGAACTTCTTCCTGTTGACACTGATATCAGGGCATTTCAAAAATATCTCTTTTCTTGCCTCCGTTGAGTAATATGTTTCACATAATGAGAGTTTCATAACTCCTCCTGTTTTCGCTTTGCGTTGGCTACCAGCAAACTCAGAGCTATGTCTATTGCTAACTCTAAATAACCATAATACCCAAGATGCTTGAAACATTTCCTTTTTGCATCTTCTTTTTCCTGTCCTTCTGATTTTTTTGTTGTTGGTTTTGCATTTGAATGGCCTTATTGAATATATCTCTTGTTATAAGTTGTTGCAGATCTTTTTTGGAAATATAAATACTTTATATAAATTAAGTTGGAAGTGTAAATAATGTCAACACATAACAGCACATTATAAACACTGTCCTGTGGGCAAAATGAGTTCTGATTCAACATCGCTCTTCTTGTTTCAGTGGCTGAGAAAAGAGCTCTCTTGAATTCTAAGGCAGCTGTACCAATCAATGGCTCCCACTGAAGGAACTGGGTGCCAGGTGGGAGGCAGCAGGCACTTGAAAATTCTCTAGATTTGTAGAGAAGGACAAATTTGGGCCAGTTCCTTACTAGCAGCTCAGAATGGTCTCCTCAAGCAGATTTCCTTGTCTCCTTTTGTAAACATGTGTATAGTAAATGCTTGGCACTGAGACAAGTACTTCTAAAACTTCATAATGCATGTAAATCACCTGGGGATCTTGTTAAAATGCAGATTCTAATTCATTATTTCTGGGGCTTGAGAATCTGCATTTCTAACAAGTTCCCAGGTAATGCTGTTGCTGCTGGTCTGTGACCCATGCTTTGAGTAGCAAGGACCTAGAAGTCACTCAGCTCAATCTGTTGAATGGAAGAATCTGACTTGTTCATGAGTCATACTTCCCAGTTTCAGAAGTCGTCATATCAGTGGATCTGCCTTCTCTTAAAAATCTGAGATCACATGGACACAGGAAGGGGAACATCACACTCTGGGGACTGTTGTGGGGTGGGGGGAGGGGGGAGGGATAGCATTGGGAGATATACCTAATGCTAGATGACAAGTTAGTGGGTGCAGCGCACCAGCGTGGCACATGTATACATATGTAACTAACCTGCACAATGTGCACATGTACCCTAAAACTTAAAGTATAGTAATAAAAGAAAAAAAAATCTGAATTCTTCATAGTTCCTAATTTCTAACTATCTTCCAAGCATTTTCTGCTAAAAATTTATTATCTCTTCTACCTCGCAATGAGCTTCCTCCTTTCTTTCTTTTTCTCCGGATCCACACCATATTCTGAAATCCATTCCCAAAGAGGATATGCTGTGAGCTGTAGTATCATTAGATAGGAGTCCAATCTCCGTAGTCTTAGAGATCGACTGGCTTGTACTTTCTCATAGACCTGGGGGGGTCTCACAAGGCTTTGCACCTATTGGGTGCTTCCTAGATGTTTATTGACTGATTGATAGACCTGTGATTCTAAATGTTTTAGATACAGTCATGTACTGCAAAACAATATTTCTGTCAACGATGGACCATATATGTAACGGTTCTCATAAGATTATAATGGAGCTGAAAAATTCTATTGCCTAGTGATGTTGTGGCCATCCTAGGGCCACAGTGCAATGCATTACTCACATGTTTGCGGTGATGCTGGTGTAAACAAACCTACTGCACTACTAGTCCTATAAAAGTATAGTCTATACAATTATGTCCAGTACATAATGCCTGACAATGATAATCAACAACTATATTACTGGTTTCTGTATTTACTATTCTATACTTGTAATCATTGTTTTAGAGTGTAGTTTTACTTATAAAAGAAAAGTTAACTGTAAAACAGCCTCAGGCTGGTCCTTCATGAGGAATTCCAGAAGGCATTATTATCGCAGGAGATGACAGCTCCATGTGTGTTATTGCCCGTGAAGACCTTCCAGTGGGACAAGATGTGGAGGTGGAAGGCAGTGATATGGAAGATCCTGACCCTCTGTAGGCCTAGGATCATGGGTATGTTTGTCTTAGTTTTTAACAAAAAAGTTTAAAAAGTAAAAAAAATAAATAAATTTGAAGTAGAAAAAACCTATAGAATCAGGATATAAAGAAAGAAAACATCTTTGTACAGCTGTACAATGTGTTTGTGTTTTAAGCTAAGTGTTATTACAAAAGAGTAAAAAAGTTAAAAAAATGGAAAAGTTTATAAAACAAAAAATTTACAGTAAGCTAAGGTTAACTTGTTATTGAAGAAGGAAAAGTGTTTTTTATAAATTTCATGTAGCCCAAGTGTACAGTGTTTCTAAAGTCTACAGTAGTGTACAGCCGTGTCCTAGGTCTTCACATTCACTCACCACTCCTTCACTGATCCACTCAGAGCAACTTTCAGTCCTGTAAGCTCCACTCTGCCCTACACAGGTGTGCACCATTTTTAATCTTTTACACTGTATTTCTACTGTGTCTTTTCTATGTTTAGATATGGTTAGATACACAAACACCATTGTGTTACAGTTGCCTACAGTATTCGGCACAGTAACATGCTGTGCAGATTTGTAGCTCAGGAGCAATAGGCTATATGGTATAGCCTAGGTGTGCAGTAGGCTCTACCATCTAGGCTTGTATAAGTACACTCTATGATGTTTGCCCAGTGATGAAATAGCTTAATGCTGCATTTCTCAGAATATATCCCCATCATTAAGCAACACATGACTGTAATCGAGAGGAGTCCAGGAAATTGACAAAAATTGGTGACCCTCCGTCAACCTCCCTGGCTTGCAGAAGCACAGGTTAATGTATATTGCAGCTGCCCCAATCTTCTAATAATTTACTGTGAAGATTAAGACCCTAATCTTCAAGAGACCAAGGGGTGAAGATGGGTATTTGTGTTCAAGCGCTAGTGAATTTGAGGCCGACTTTCAGACAATGCCCATAATGCTGGTCACCACACAGGGGGCCATGGAGACCAAAGGTATTCACAACCCGAGGACCGTGGCTGGAAAATGCTACAAAGTGTGCTGTGGGGTTGCACGTGTGAAGCCACTGGTGCCACTCCCATGCCACATGCTCTTTGCTGTTGCCTTTTCCCACTGTCTTTTTCTCCATTGTTTTCCTTCCTGCCTCAGTCAGAGAAGTGAATCAGGGATGTCAGGTGCAATGAGCCAGATTTCTTCCCTGCCCACATGATATGAGATTTAGTAATACACACTGTTGCTTAATACTGACATCCTAGAACTTATATATACCTATAAATGGACCTCTCTTCCATTATTCCAGTTAGTCACACTGGCATATGATTATAATTCCCTGAGCAAAGGAAGGGCTCCATATATGTAGCAAAGCATCGCTTTTGAGGTGTGTCAAAAGAAACTTGTTATTAGTCATGCTTCAAGCATCCAAGTTTGTGAATAATATATTTTAAAACATAAATTAGAGCAGATTCAGATTTCTGTATAATAATTTCATTCTCTTTGACTTGCATTTGACATGATTTTATGAATGAAAGGGAGAGAAATGGTTTATTATAAGTAGTGGGTGGTAATCTGTGTACATAACAGATGTTGAATGACACTTTTGCTATCTTGAAATATTCAGTTAAAGCCCCAAAGCCAATAATGATTGGATAAGAAGCTCCTAGGGAATTGCTGCTTGATAGGTCCCTGTAACATCTAAGAGGTGACCAAACCAGCACTGTGATCTTTAGCTCAACAAATACCTCCAACTTGTGCAAAGAGAAGATAAAGATTCAAGGGGCATGATCAAGGAAATGAATCATACACTCTGGGGGAGAAGGGTTTGGTTCTTCCTCCTGAGCCTAGTGTGGGAGCTTCCCGAGGCCACCAAACTGGGTTGTAAGAGCACCAGTCAGGAAGCTTGTGTGCCCACTTTGCACCATTATCCTTTTCCCTGCTCTAACCTGGAGGAGGGACGGCTGAAGGTGGAGATGCTGTAAAGGGGCAGTGGAAGTGCAGACCACTCTCCATCTCCATGTGGGTCAGGGCAAGGCTGGGTGGGATGGGTTGGGTGTTGAGGGTGAGAAGGCTGAGTATTGAATCCCATGGGATGGATCCATGGGATGGATATTTTGATTCAGACTGGACTGGGCCTGAAAGTGAGTCTTGATGATCAGAATGAGCTTGTTTGTTGAACTGACGGTGACTGGAATGTTTTGGGATTTGTGAAGTTGTGTCCATGGGCAGAGAAGGGAAATGTGACAGAGCAGGTCTGAAGGCAGTGGCTGGGAGAAAATAATGAACCCTGACTGACTCAGACCACCCAATAAGCTGGTTGTCCTCATGACCCTGGGTGCACCGTGGAGTACATTCTGTCGGGGTCCCTCATCTGTGCTGGGTGTCTTAGAGGAAAATGGGCTGAGAACCTTTGGGCTATACCTTCTTCACATCCCCTCAATGAGCCTCAAGAAATGCCATCTTGGTGTTCAAGGAGTGGTCTGAGGAGTGGATGGAAGCCCCTGTCCCTAGAAATGTCCCTTATTCTCTCATTTGACACCTCTCTCACTGCATTAGCAGAGACGTTTTGCTTTTAGGAAGTTTTCATTTGAAATATAAATATTTCCATGTGTATTGAAATAGTCACAGAGGCTGTATCAGTCAGTGACTTTGTGGGGTTGTTTGATGGGATCTAGTCTCTACCCCTGCTCAGAAACATTGCTGGCTCCCCGGTATCTATGTAATCCACTCTGCACCATGTAGCCTGGCAGGCAGGGCCTTCTGGGAACTGGCCCCACTGTCTTCTCACTGGTCTCCTCCTAATTTCTCCATGCTGCCCCAGACGTCAATGTATCCAGCTCTTCTGGAGTCCATGTGCTCTCTGGAACATGCAGCTCACTCTCCCCATCTATTACCATCATGCCTTTCTCCCCAGTGCCACCTTAGAAGAGTCTACTCACTGGGCTGGGTTCTGAGGCCATCTCCTACCATCTTCTGAGGCTATCTTCCTTGAGCCTCCCAACTGATTTTTTTCCTCCCTTAATATCCTTAATGCAGAAACCAGCCCCTGTCTTGATAAGATGACATTACATATCAGGAGTTGGAAAAAGAGAGGTGGAATTTAGCAATACGACAGCTCAGGAAGGTTTTACTGGACAAACTCTGGGACTTCTTTCAAATATATGTTATCAACAACCCCTTCACCTATTTTTTATTTTTAGGTCTAACGTTCACCTTTCCCTCTCATATTGAATCTCATGAGATCTTCCCTGAGAGTTGTGAGGGCCTCCCTGCTGCTGACCCACGAGGTCCTCCCTCACAAGTCTCGTGTGTTCAGGAACTGGCTGATGAACGCTTGCCTCCTTCTTCCTGCCCCGCAGACCTTCATAAACCACAAGGCTTTTTAAAAAAATTCTGATGCCTGTAGGTTTAAGCTTTACACCATCCTATAGCTTTGTCTGTGTACAATTCTAGCATACTGCCAGCCTTAGAATTTTCGGTCAGGTCCCCCTATAGATTGTATACTTCTTGGCAGTTCCTTCCCTTGTTCATTGGGTTCACAGATTCTACTCCATGCAGAGTACTTTGTGCTTTGTAGGTGCTTAATAAACGTGGTGAGTGACAACCCATGATATCTGAACTTACTGAGAAAACATTCCAGAGGGAGGTAAATGAGGATGAAAGGAGGCTGTTGGCAGAGGTGAGGAACTAGGGGCTCTGCAGACCAGCTTCCATGATGCCGCCATGTGGCCTGAGATTGGCCTGGAATCAGCTGCACTATCCCTCTTCACATAAGGCTACAGACTTTGGGGAAAGAGAATCCTTCTCCCTGCTTTACCTCTATACAAGTTCAGGCAGCTGTGTATGTGTGTGTGTATGTGTGTGTGTGTGTAATATTGGAACAGGCAGCACAGATGAGGGCTTGGCAGTGAGAGAAACTGTAGCTTTGACCTCTTACTACAAAGTGTGATGAAGAAGGCTTGAATTTTCAAAGAATTCAACTGTGTCTAATACCAGGTCTGTGGTATAACGTTCTTCCTTGGCTGGGTGCCAAAATGTAACATAAATGCTACACCCAGAGCAAAGGGGTAAAAGAGACCCACTAGTGTTTCCAGGGTTAAATTCTCCCTCCTTCACAGAGCCTTCCAGATTCACACAGTCCACTCAAGTCTCTCCTTTGTAGAAGATCCTACAGCATTTAATACTGGATGCTGCTCAGTTTAGCCCTCAATGATAGTGTCTTGCTATTTTTGGTTAGTTTCTTTAAAAATATAACTTCTGTCTTCCATTTACTTAAATCTCTTCCACGGCTTCTTTGCTTCTTGTTACATGAAGCAGTGCTGAACACAGAGGAGGAACTCAGTAACTGTTAATTGTTTTGCTCTCTAATTAGGCCCACGATAGAGTAGATACTATTGGGTGCTGGTTTTTAGGGGTGTAGGAAAGGAATCTGGGGAGTCATCTTCAAAGATCAGATGCACAAATCTTAACAAGCTGCCTCTCTCTAGTGGCCTCAGGGACTTGAAGCAAGATCAACTGACTTAAAGAAATAAACCACAAGTAGTTAAGAAACACAAAAGTTCAAATTGCATCCGGTGTAGCTCTGTGAGAAAATTTCTGCAGCAGAAGGAAGTCTGTTATTCTTGACCTGAACTTTAGTATTCTGCAGTAATGTGGGGCTGCAAAAATGCTCCTAATCTCTGACAAAGTTAGGTTCTTATCCATATATCATAAGTGAAATGAGAGGAATTGACTGATAACAGAGAAAAAATTTCCCACTTGGCACATACAGACAGTGTATGTATATGTGTATATATACATAGATACTTAAATCAAAGTAATTGGTTAATGTAATGGAAATTTAATCTCAGTTTTAAGTGGTGTTTCTTCTTTATTTGATGTGCATTATTTTAAAAACACAGCAGAGACATAGCCTTTAACCACCTCCCCCATGCCTCTGACATTATTCATACTGAAGTTTTCAAGTAGCAGACTTGGAAAGTGCTTTTTAACTACAGCTCATATCATTAGTGTTTCTGCTGTATAAGCAGAAAAAATTGGGATGCAGCTTAGCAAAAGGCTTCAGGACAACATAAAATACAAAGGGTAATAGATCTGTTTCTCAAACAGTTTTCCTGTGTAATGCGCATCCTAATGATTTCTTTTTAATTAAAATATTTTCACAAGTCTCAGAATGAGTAACCTAAGACTATTTTGTTGGGATAATCTGTATTTCCTGAGATGTGTTAACTTCAGGGTCACTGGTCTTTATTCAGTTCTTGCTCTGCCAGGCCACAGGCTGCCTCATTCTCTCCTTTGCCCTCACAGCTTGGTATCAGCTCCTAATTTTGCATCTGGGCTCTAAACTGGACTTTCCAGCTCCCTGATGGACATTTCAGAAATGTTCTATTGATGTTTCTAACGCAACAAGCCTCATGATATTATCCTTGTGTTAACATCATTGTGACATCCTCCACACACCCAAGTCAACTTGGACTTATTTTTCTGTCTCCTACAAGCAATGGCTGCTAAGTCCTGTTGATTCTGGCTTTGAAATGTCTAGAGAATACCCTCTCATGTAGTCACTTCTATTTTTGTTGCCCTAGTTCAGGCCGTACTCTCTCTTGCTTGCCTGGACCATGACAAGTAGCTGTCTAGTTGGTCTCATGGGCTGCTATCGATTTCCTCTCAAGAGTACCCTTGAAGTTGCCCCAGAGTGCTCTTCCTAAAGAATGACTTGGTGATGTCCCTTTCCTACTGAAAAAACTTGTGGTAAGTCCCAACTGCCTACTGAATCTGTTTCCAACTTTACTCTTCAGCCTCATTTTCTGCAACTCCCTGTCATCTCCCCATGCTGAACCCCAAGAGACAACTCACGATTGCTCGATGAGATGTCCAATTTCATTCCTTTGTGCTGTTGCTTGGGTTGTTTAATGCCTAGAAACTTTAGCAAGACAACATGCAAATATTCTGCAGCTTCTCTGTGCCCCCTCACACCTGCCTGCTCCAAGCGTCATTCTTCCTTTGCAGTTAAAAAAAAATCCGTTTTGGCAGGCTTTATGCAGAATTTGTTTACATTTCTATCTCTCTTACACATGAAACTTGAACTGCTAGACAACAGAGATAATGCAATTTATATCTTTGTTTCTTTAAAGACTCAAGTTGGTGATAGATGCTTATTAAGTGCCCAGTGAATTCTTGTTGAATAAATGAATTGTTGCCTTCTTTGTGAATCTTTATCCAGTTCTCTGAAGCAAACATTATTTTGTATTTATCTTTAAGTTTTTTCTCTTTGTATTTGGTTTCCAGCAGATTTCCATGATGTGTGTTGGCACGTTTTTCTTTCTGTTTATCTTCATGGGGATTGAAGGGCTTCTTGAATCTGTGGCTTGACGTTTTTTTGTCAGCTTTGAAAAATTCTTGGTCATTATCACATATTGCTTTGCCTCCTGTCTTTCCCTCCTCTTTTGGACTCTAATTCCATATATGTTAAATTTTTCTACTAGGTGCCATAGGTCTCCTATATTTTTTTCTATCTTTTTTCTCTGTGCTTCATTCTGAGTAATTTCCATTGTTTTATCTTCCAAATTGCTAGTCCCTTTTCCAGCTGTGTCTAATCTTCTGTTAAGTCTATTTATTGAGTTCTTAGTTTGTAATATCAGTTTAGATTTTTCATTTGATTTCTTTTTTGTAGATTCTAATTTTCTGGTTACTTTTTTTCAATCTTATCTATTTTTATCAGCTTATCAATCATAGGATTTTAAGGTATTTATATAACTCCTTGGATTTCTAGAGAGTCTATTTCTATAATCTTTTAAAAAATTTCTTGGTCATATCTCTTGATATGTTTGTTAACATTTTATCGAATGCCAAATATATATATAAAATAGCAGAGATTATGAATGATACTTTCTTTTTCCAGGGAAAACTTAAAAACTATTCCAGCACTGTAACACTGCTGATAGTCCTGCCCAGTTTCTTATAGTCTCAGAAGCCACTATATGCCTCTCTATAGGTGCTTCTTATCAATCAGTAAATGCCTCAAGGGGAAAAATGTTTGCCCACATGGTTGGGCTCATTTCTTTCTGCTTCCTTTCTCTCCTGGATCTTGACCCTTTAAGTTCTGATTGTCTTGCTGGCCCTGGACTCCTAGCCCTGTTAGGTGGTGAAAGTTCTGTTCTGCTTTTTTTTTTTTTTTTTTTTTTGCTTCTTAGCAGCTGCTTTCTACTTGGCTTCTCAGTCCTTCCACACATGCTGCATATGAATCAGAAAATGCTCTGAAGAGAAAAGTAGTGATTTGGGCTCACCTCAGTGAGTTTCTCTTCACTCTGGACTCCTGGCCCTGAAAATCCTGGCTTCCTTGAGTTTCCAATGTCTTCAAAACAGGTTGTTTTTGTTTTTGTTTGTTTGTTTTCCATTTTATCACACCTTTGTGGTTTGTTCACTGGGATGTTTGCACTGCCATAAAGTAGTTTGCCATGGCTAGATGTGGGAGTCTGTGTGTTCTTCTATTATGATGCTTTCTTCTACTATAAATTTCTTTCATTTGTGAGTTCTGTGAGAACAAGGACAGTAATTTATTTCATTTATCTCTTGTAAAATGCCAACTCATTCATTAATTCACTCAACATAGGTTTTGAGCACCTACTATGTTGCCAAGTAGTTGCCAAGTGCTGAGGACAGAGCAGTGAAGAAGATGGACAAAGTCTCAGCTGTCATAGGGCGCATGTCCCAGCATGGGACAGGGCACACAAACAAACAAATAGCAAGAATATCAAATAGTAAAAGGTGTTGTGTACAGGATTAAATTCAAATGCTGAGGGAGAAGGTGGGTGGCTACTTAAAGCCTTCTCTAAATGGGTAACCATTACTTTGAGGTCTGAATGACAAGAAAAAGTCAGCCATGAGGAGATCTAGGGAATTTCCAGGCAGAGAGAGGAGCAAAGGTGAGGGACCAGGGAGTTTGCTAAAGTGGATTAAATTTGTGGGATTCTAAATTAAAAATTTTAACATAAGCTTCTTTTTTTAACCTCTGAGACTATATATGTATAGGCAAATATCCTATTTTTGTTTAAAAATGAGAAGAATTAGGATTTACATAAAATTGTTGTATTTTTATCAGAGCTCTGTTATCAGTTAAGGTCTTAGCAAAAACCAATCCAATTCACATAGTTCAAGAGACTGCAAAGAAGAGGCTCCTTAAGGGGTGTGGACAGGATTAAGAGAACGAGCAGGGTTGCTGAGGCACCCAGAGACTAGCAACAGTGGCAGTCATTACCACCCCAGGCCTGAAGGGATGAAGAACATTGCAAAGTGCTTTACTCCAGTCTGGTGGGAGCTGAAGTCAGGGAGAGATGTAGTCGCTACCAGAAAACATGCTGCAGGGCAGGGTGGGAGCAGGAAGGCAACATCTTCTCTTCTTTTTCCTCCTGCCTCACCTTGAGGGGTCGGTCTTGGCCAAACCCAACCAAGAGCCAGCTGGCAGTGGAGCCAGGTTGATGTGGTCCAGTGGAGGCAGTCTCCAAGGCTGCACAGAGAGGGGCAAGAATGGGCCTGGGGAGAGGCACAAACCAACCACACCCTCAGGTGCATTTTTGAGATGACAAGCAAGAATGAATTTGGAAAGTTTATAGGCTTCTTTTGTAGCTTCAGCCTTACTAGGACTTACATGATATAAAGTGCCTTTCCTACGTCGAGAATAGGGGGTCTGAAGGGTTTTCAGTCATACATTATGTCTTTAAGGACAGAAATTTTTTTTGAGGAAACTTGCAATTAGCTTGGGAGACTATGAGGACATAAGAATATGTGGAGTTTTGAAGGAAAGTTTTAGGGCAGAGTCTGGCATTTGTGCTAGTAAGAGGAAGAGACCCAGCGAGAGACTGGGGACAAAGCTTTAAGTCAGAGAGAGGTCAGAGAAGAAGGTGCCTGCAGTGGAACATGAAATCCTCAGTGTAAATTCACCAATACCCAAAAAGAGTCCTTTAAATCTGGCCATACACTGAAAATCTGTCTGCTAACAAAGGGTTCATGATATCCAAGCAAATATGGTATATGACCCAGAAATAGCTATTTTTTCAATTCAGCAATTTAAAATAGCAAAATCTTGAAATTTTATTGCCCAGGATATACAAAAGTACTCATACACACTTGTCTGCATACCCACCAACACAAAATGTCAATGTGGACACACACTCCCGCTTGGGCCTCCTCTCTCTCTCCGGCTCCATTTTCTCCGCCGCCGGGGGCCGGGGTCTCCTGTGGGGGGCCCAGCCGGTATCCCAGGTCTCCCTTCAGTGCCGGGGTGAACCCCCGGGGGAGCCGAGAGCCGGGGGCAGACGGGCGGGGGTTGGGGCGGAGGGAGCAGCGGCCCCAGCGAGTTTGTGGGGAGAAGTAACCAAGCGGGGGGAGGGGCTGAGCAGGGAGGGGGCCTCAGGGCCCCCCCCCAGCTATGGACTAACGGCTACTGGGGCCGCCTCCTCCAGGCGGGGCCCGGGGGGGGCCTGGGATTGGTGAGTGGGGAGCCTGGGGGCCCTGGCGAGCCTCCTGGTGGCGGAGACCCCGGTGGGGGTAGCGGGGGGTTCCCGGGAGGCCGAGGGAAGCAAGACATCGGGGACATTCTGCAGCAGATAATGACCATCACCGACCAGAGCCTGGACGAGGCCCAGGCCAAGAAACACGCCCTAAACTGCCACCGAATGAAGCCTGCTCTCTTTAGCGTCCTGTGTGAAATCAAGGAGAAAACCGGCCTCAGCATTCGGAGCTCCCAGGAGGAGGAGCCGGTGGACCCACAGCTGATGCGCTTGGACAACATGCTTCTGGCAGAGGGTGTGGCTGGGCCCGAGAAAGGGGGCGGCTCAGCAGCAGCAGCTGCAGCCGCTGCAGCCTCTGGTGGTGGCGTGTCCCCTGACAACTCCATCGAACACTCGGACTATCGCAGCAAACTTGCCCAGATCCGTCACATATACCACTCGGAACTGGAGAAGTATGAGCAGGCATGTAATGAGTTCACGACCCATGTCATGAACCTGCTGAGGGAGCAGAGCCGCACCAGGCCCGTGGCCCCCAAAGAGATGGAACGCATGGTGAGCATCATCCATCGAAAGTTCAGCGCCATCCAGATGCAGCTGAAGCAGAGCACCTGCGAGGCTATGATGATGCTGCGCTCCCGTTTCCTGGATGCCAGACGAAAGCGCCGTAACTTCAGCAGACAGGCCACTGAGGTCCTAAATGAGTATTTCTACTCCCACCTGAGTAACCCATATCCTAGTGAGGAGGCCAAGGAGGAGCTTGCCAAGAAGTGTGGCATCACCGTGTCTCAGGTCTCCAACCGGTTTGGCAACAAGAAGATTCGCTATAAGAAAAACATCGGAAAGTTCCAAGAGGAGGCAAACATCTATGCTGTCAAGACAGCCGTGTCAGTCACCCAGGGGGGCCACAGCAGCACCAGCTCCCCGACACCCCCTTCCTCTGCAGGCTCTGGCGGCTCTTTCAATATCTCAGGATCTGGAGACATGTTTCTGGGGATGCCTGGGCTCAACGGAGATTCCTATTCTGCTTCCCAGGTGGCATCACTCCGACGCTCGATGGGGCCAGGGGGCTATGGGGATAACCTCGGGGGAGGCCAGATGTACAGCCCACGGGAAATGAGGGCAAATGGCAGCTGGCAAGAGGCTGTGACCCCCTCTTCAGTGACATCCCCAACGGAGGGACCAGGGAGTGTTCACTCTGATACCTCCAACTGATCTTGCCCCTCAGGGTCACAGGGGTGGGGGCTCTCACAAGGCGACTCTTGAAGAGGACGCAGGCTTCCAGAGGACAAACCCCAATACAGGAGAAGCACAAGACAGAGAAGGGCCAATGGGGTCATCCGCTCCCTAATGAGACTGTCTGTGCTGGGGGTGCTAATTACATGGCAGGAAGAATGGGGCCCCTAAGGGGAGTGTGGGGTCTGTCTCTCCCTTTTTTCCAACTTTTTCCTCTCTCGCTTTCTTTCTTACACAGAAACATGCACATACCCAGAAACCTATTTTCTCAGACCCCTTTTTCTCCTCTGTCTTTCTCTCTCCCTCTCCCACACCTCACACACACATACTCCCACTTGCAACTATTCTGTTTCTCTCCTGGGCTCCCCCACTTTCCCTTCCCCACCCCACTTGTAGGCTCTGGAATCTGGAGACGCCAGCCCTGCCCAATCAGAGATGCCAAAAATGGGGACATGACTTCTGGACAGAGGACATGGGACACGCCCCCATGCATCCCCACCCCTGCCCCTCCAGACAGCTTACTTACCTCATACGCAGCTCATCTTAAACCAATAGAATCGCTTGGTGGACGAGAGTGTCTGACTCAGATATCTACCTCGGAGGGAGTTTCTGCTACTTTAGGGAATTATTGACTGGGCTTTGGGGTTGAACTTTTTTTTTTTTTTTTTTTTAAAGAAAGAAAAAGAAACCCTGGGATCCATCTGTTTTTGTTGTTGTTGTTGTTTTTGTTGTTGTTGTTGTTGGTGGTGGTGGTTCTTAATTTTTAATTTAGTTTGGGGAAGTAGCTTGTTTTTTTTTTTTAAATAAATATGTTGATTTCTTGTCTTTTTTTTATTTCTTACTTTCCCATATTAGGGGTGATAGCCAAAGGGGTTCTGGTAAGAGAAAGGGGGACAAACAGAACTGGTAAAGAGGCCCCCCTGGCTCCAGGCCTGTCCATCAGGAAGTAAATTTTACAGGGCACCAAGCTTTGCCCCCTAAAATCCATTAGGTGTTCTTTGTTCATGCAGGCAGGTTTCTGCCGCATTTGATGTGGAGGCAGTGAAGGGCTTGCCCTGCTGGCCTCTCATCCCCCTTCTTCCCACAACCCTTGGGCAGGGCTGGACTCAGTAATTTTGAGGAAATTGAAGATGCCATCTTCCCCTGTGAGTGACATGTCTTTAATTTTTTAAAAAACTCTATTTGAAAATTGGAGGGGGAAGAATGGGAAGGGAGTTATTGCCAAATATGTTAATTATGGGTTGGGGTGCTTGTATATGTATCTTCCTCAATTTCCGCATAAATGAGGTATCTTTTTGTCACACCAAAATCAAGGGGTAGGGAGAGGGAGGAGGTTGCAAAAAGCCAGATGTGGGGGAAAAGTAACATCAACACTGTCCCATCCTCAGCCCTGAACCCTACCATCTGATCCCCTCAGACATTCTCAGGATTTTACAAGACTGTCAGAGTGGGGAACCCCTCCCATTAAAGATCCGGGCAGGACTGGGGACAGGTTGGAAATGTGATGGGTTGGGGGGTGGGAGGCATGGGCCGGGGGCAGTTCTCTCCTCACTTGTAAACTTGTGTAGTTTCACAGAAAAAAAAAATGCAGTTTTAAATAAAGAAATTTCTTTAAAAAAAAAAAATGTCAATGTGTCCCTAGGCCTGGAGACCATGTGTGATTAGGCTAAGTTATATTTAGTTCCTATCTAATATTTTCCCATAAAATATTCCAAACTGAACAATCTCTCATTTCTACATTTGAATATTGTGTAACTTGCCAGTGAATATTTTTTTTGTTACTTTCTAAATTTCCATTGTTTCTTTTTCACATGAAAAATAGGACAGTTCTTAGATGGGGAAAGGCAACAGGATAAATCTGTGGTTCAAAGGATATAAGCACTATTTTATTACTGAAAACTTGAAATGACTTATTATGTGGCATATTATTCTTCTCAAAAGCCTCGTTAGTATTTACCATTTTAAGAACTTTATACATTTTTAACTCATTAAGTCTCACAGAGACAATGTGAAGCAGGTACTAATGTTATTATTGTCATTATAGGCATGGAAAGCTGAGAGCTGTGGCACAGGGAGGTGAAATAACCAGCACAAAGCCGTACAGTTGACAAGCGAGGAAGCCAGGGTTCAAATCCAGGAAGTCTGGCTCCAGAGTCTGTGGGCTAAACCACTATGCCTAGTGTTCAATGGAGACTTGAGTTTATGATAATCTCGCTGCTGTAGGGTTCAGATTTGCATATTATGAAATGAAATGTTTATAAACGTTCCAACCAACGTTTTCTTTTTTATTTTTTTCTTCTTCAACTTTTATTTTAAACTCAGGGGTACATGTGTAGGATATACAGGTTGTTACATAGGTAAATGTGTGCCATCGTGGTTTGCTGCGCAGATCATCCCATCACCTAGGTATTAAGCCTAGAATCCATTAGCTATCTTTCCTGATGCTCTCTCTCCCCCACCCCCTCCCCTGACAGGCCCCGGTGTGTGTTGTTCCCCCTCCATGTGTCCATGTGTTCTCATCATTCTGCTCCCACTTATAAGTGAGAACATGCAGTGTTTGGTTTGGCTTTCTGTTCCTGTGTTAGTTTGCTAAGGATAATGGCCTCCAACTCCATCAATGTCCCTGCAAAGGACATGATCTCCTTCTTTTTTATGGCTGCATAGTATTCCATGGTGTATATGTACCACATTTTCTTTATCCAATCTATCATTGATGGGCATTTAGGTTGAGTCCATGTCTTTGCTATTGTGAATAGTGCTGCAATGAACATACACATGCATGTATCTTTATAAAAGAATGATTTATATTCCTTTGGGTATATGCCCAGTAATGGGATTGCTGGGTCAAATGGTATTTCTGCCTCTAGGTCTTTGAGGAATTGTCACACTGCCTTTGACAGTGGTGGAACTAATTTACATTTCTACCAACAGTGTGAAAACACTTCTTTTTCTCTGCAACCTTGCCAGCATCTGTTGTTTTTTTGACTTTTTAATAATAGTCATTCTGACTGGTGTGAGATGGTATGTCATTGTGGTTTTGATTTGCATTTCTCTAATGATCAGTGATGCTGAGCTTTTTTTAACATTTGTTGGCTGCATGTATGTCTTTTTTTTTTTTGAGACGAAGTCTAGCTCTGTCACCCAGGCTGGAGTGCAGTGGCGTGATCTCGGCTCACTGCAACCACTGCCTCCTGGGTTCAAGCAATTCTCTGCCTCAGCCTCCCAAGTAGCTGGGATCACAGGCACCCACCATCATGCCTGGCTGATTTTTGTATTTTTAGTAGAGACAGGGTTTCACCATCTTGGCCAGGCTGGTCTTGAACTCCTTACCTCAGGTAATCTGCCTGCCTCGGCCTCCCAAAGTCCTGGGATTACAGGCTTGAGCCACCAGGCCCAACGTATGTCTTCTTTTGAGAAGTGTCTGTTCATGTCTTTTTCCCATTTTTTAATGGGGTTGTTTGTTTCTTATAAATTTATTTAAGTTCCATGTGGACTCTGGATATTAGACCTTTGTCAGATGGATATATTGCAAAATTTTCTCTCATTCTGTAGGTTGCCTGTTCACTCTGATGATAGTTTCTTTTGCTGTGTAGAAGCTCTTTAGTTTAATTAGATCCCATGTGTCAATTTCTGCTTTTGTTGCAACTGCTTTTGGCAATGCATTTGTCATGAAATCTTTGCCTCTCTCTATGTCCTGAATGGTATTGCCTAGATTTTCTTCTAGAGTTTTTATGGTTTTGAGTTTTACATTTAAGTCTTTAATCCATCTTGAGTTAATTTTTATATATGGTGTAAGGAAGTAGTCCAGTTTCAATTTTCTGCGTATGACTAGCCAACACTCCCAGCACCATTTCTCAAATAGGGAGTATTTCCCCATTGCTTGTTTTTGTTAAGTTTGTAGAAGATCAGATGGTTGTAGGTGTGCAGTCTTATTTCTGGATTCTCTGTTCTGTTCCATTGGTCTGTGTCTGTTCTTGTACCAGTGTCATGCTGTTCTTGTTATTGTAGCCTTGTAGTGTAGTTTGAAGTCAGGTAGCATGATGCCTCCAGGTTTCTTCTTTTTGCTTAGGATTTTCTTGGCTATTTGGGCTCTTTTTTGATTCCATATGAATTTGAAAATAGTTTTTTTCTAATTCTGTGAAGAATGTCAATGGTAGTTTAATGGGAATAGCACTGAATCTGTAAATTACTTTGGGCAGTATGGCCATTTTCACATATTGATTCTACTTATCCATGAGCATGGAATGTTTTTCCATCTGTGTCCTCTCTGATTTCTTTGAGCAGTGGTTTGTAATTCTCTTTAAAGAGGTCCTTAACTTCCCTTGTTAGCTGTATTCCTAGGTATTTTATTCTTTTTGTAGCAATTGTGAATGTGTTTATTCATGATTTGGCTCTGTGTTTGCCTATTGTTGGTGTAAAATGCTAGCAATTTTTGCACATTGATTTTATATCCTGAGACATTGCTGAAGTTGCTTATCAGCTTGAGAAACTTTTGGGCTGAGATGATGGGATTTTCTAGATATAGGATCATGTCATCTGCAAACAAAGATAATGTGACTTCCTCTTTTGCGATTTGAATACACTTTATTTATTTCTCTTGCCTGATTGCCCTGGCCAGAACTTCCAATACTATACTGAATAGGAGTGGTGAGGGAGGGCATCCTTGTCTTGTGCTGGTTTACAAGGGGAATGCTTCCAGCTTTTGCCCATTCAGTATGATATTGGCTGTGGATTTGTCATACATAGTTCTTATTATTTTGAGGTATGTTCCTTTAATACCTAGTTTATTGAGAGTTTTTATTATGAAGGGATGTCGGATTTTATCTCAGGCCTTTTCTGCATCTATTGAGATAATCATGTGGTTTTCTCTTTAGTTCTCCAACTAACATTTTCAAAAGTGCCCATGATACAAGTCTTCAGTTTAAAAATATTGTTCAATATTGTGAAGAGTATCATAAGAGAATCTATTACTCTTTCTTTGGGTCAATAAAAGGGAAAGATCTAATCTAGCCTTTCTCAAAATATGTTCCCTGAAAAACTGACCCTGCAGGATATTCCCTCTAAAAAAATGTTTCCATCATCAAATAACTTTGGAGAATATCACATGCTATGTCCATATATTTGAGAGTCATAACACACATATTTAAAGCACCAAGGCTAGGTGCAGTGGCTAACACCTGTAATCCTAGCAGTTTGGGAGGTTGAGGTGGGAGGATTGCTTGAGCCCAGGAGTTCGAGACCAGTCTAGGTAACATGGCCAAACCTCGTCTCTACAAAAAATGTACACACACACACATACACAAATTAACCAGGCCTGCTGGTGTGTGCCTGTAGTCCTAGTTACTGAGAAGACTAAGATGGCAGGATCACTTGAGCCTGGGGAGCCCAAGGCTTCAGTGAGCCATGATCACTGGATTGCACCACTGCACTCCAGCCTGGGTGACAGAGTAAGATCTTGTTTCAAAAAAAAAAAAAAAAAAAAGTACAGAAAAGTACTTAAGTGAAGACACATGTTTAGCTTTTTTTCAACCTAGAAGTTAAGTTGATAAACTCTAAAAATAATTCCAAATAATTATTTTTCACAAAGAACTTGTTAACATCCTGTAGACCAGTGTTGCACAATTTTGACCTGGTTCTTTAAAGTGAAACCATAGGCTCTGAGATTTCTAGAAGGCGAGTGGAAAGTGCTGAAAACAAAAACAAAAACAAAAAACAACTAACAAGGCAAACAAGGCTATAGACTGTCATCTTTCTGTCTGTGGTGTCTAAATTCACCTTTTAAGCTGTACCGTAATCTACTCAATGCATACTTCACACCATTGAATTCCGTTGCCTTGTTGGATTTCCTTCTGATCTTAGGGAACTTGCAAAGTGAGTCTAGAAATACAGTGTTGAGCCTTACTTGCCCTCACGGTGTGTGCTGTGGATGTCTCCTCATATAGCTCTGCTCTGTTTGACATTTTAGAGTGATTTCTGAATGCTCAAAAAGGGCAGATTCTAAATCCAGATCTGGTAAGAAATGCTGTTACTTATCTGAGAAGAACAGCCATGGGGTGTACACACATACGTGAAAAGGAGATCTTTCAAAAACACAGAAATACGTGAGGGAAGGAGTGAGGGAGTGGGAGAAAGAGAGAGAGAGAGAGGGAGAGAGAGAAACAGATAAAGGGAGACAGACAGAGACAGAGAGGGAGAGACAGAATGAGAGAGAGATAGAGACAGAGAGACAGAAAGACGGGAGAAGAGAGAGAGAGGAGTTCAAGGTTGATGTGGGGGTTTATTATTTATTGAAGGCTTTGTAGTCATCGTCATCACTCCATGTGCTAATTTACCTATATCTGGCCTGGGGTTCCCAACCACATTCTATGAATATGGTTAAGTACATTGCATTTCTTCTTCCCCATCATACCACTCTCTCTCAGTACCAGTCAGGTTTGGTTGACTGTATTTCTGGACAACTGGTTCTGGCTTTGGTATTGGGACTCTGGCTCTGTTCTCTCTTCCCACCCCTTCCAAGTTGGCCCTCCTGCCTCTTCACTCCCAGTCTTTTGGTCCCTGCTGGACAAGTTAACTGTCCCAAGAGCAACAAGAAAGAACAACTTTGGCTTCTCACAGCCAGTTATTGCTCATGTTTCTCTCTCCCTCAGCTGGGCTCCTGAGGCCCAGGTCTAACAGAAACCACTGTTGCATGGACCCTCAGTGCTGTGCTTCAATTTTTCCATTAGACTTGGCCTGCTCTGTTGGGGAGGAAATTGCTCTCTGGAAGTAAACTTGTGACCTGTGCAAAATGAATTCACTCTTCCACGACACCAGAGGACCATTTAGTAAATTACTTTCATTGCACAGAATACTACCCTGGTGTCCTGGAAGATGGAATTGGTGTCACACGGGTGAGCTATTTTCTCCCTGAGAAAAAGTGTTCTTATACAAAGGGCTCTGGCGTGTCGGCAGAGCCCAAGTCCTGTGGGTGGGTAGACTGAGAGAGCTGTGGCTGAGGGTCTGCTGGGACAGGGCAAGCCTGCCTGAGATATGCTGCTTGTAATGGGGTTGTGTTTTGTCCCTGAAGGTTCTAGAAAGGGATCAGGAGAGTTCTGTGGGTACTCTAAAACTGAATTCCTGACCACAGTTTGCTACAATTGCTATCATTCACGTCAATTAACAACAACAACAACTGTTTATTTAGCTCCTATCGTGTTCTGGCACAATGGAAGATAGTTCACACATATCATGTCACTTAATTTAGCAACAACAGAATGAGACAGATTTTTTTTTTTAATGTCACCATTTTATCAATGAAGAAATGTGACTTTAGAGAGTTCAAGTTCCACGTTTAAGGTAATACACACAGACCACTTCTATGGATTGAATCTTTGTGTACCCCCAAAGTGATGATATTAGGAGGTAGAGCCTTTGGGAGATAAGTAGGTCATGAAGGCCTTGATGATTGGGATTGGTGTCTTCACAAGAAGAGATGTAGAGCTTGCTTGCTCTCTCCCTGCTCTCCACCATGTGAAGGCACAAAAAGAAGATGGCCATCTTCAAACAGGGAAGAGGGCCCTCACCAGATGCCAGATCTACTGGGCCTTGATCTTGGACTTTTGGTCTCTGGAACTGTGGGAAATAAATACCCAGCATAAGGCATTGTGTTATAGCAGTCTGAATGAATGGAGACAGACATGATGGAATGAGCATTCAAATTTATTCATTATTCAACAAATACTTATGTTCTAGATATAGTTCTAGATGCTGGGGAGATCAGAAAACAAACCCTTTAAAAAAGGAGTGCAGTGTATCAGGTGATGGGAAGTGTAATAGAGAAAAATAAAGCAAGGTAAGGAGGTAGAAAGCATCTGTGTGGATGACACTTCTATTTTATGTGGAACAGGCAAAGGAAATCCTCTCTAACAGGTGGTATTTAAGTATAGAGATAAAGGGAGTACATAGGAAGATGTGTACATATTCCAGAGATAAGGAAACAGTAGGTACCAGAGCCCTGTGGTAGGAGGGTGCTTGTCATGGTCAGGGACATCAGGAGATGAGTGTAACTGGAGCAGAGAGGATGAAAGAAAAGGGGTAGGAGATGAGGAGATAGGTGGCCAGCTCATGCAAGGACTTATAGTGTGTTGTCAGTACTTTGGTACTTACTCTGAGGGATATTGAAACCTCAGGAAAGTTCTAGCAGAGGCCTGGTATTGATTTACCTTACATTGTAAAAAGCTGATGTGTTGAGTATAGATGGTTAGGATGCAGGGCAGGAGCTAAGAGACCTACTATGAAGCTAGTGTAACAGTTCAAGCAAGAGGCAGTGGTGAATGAGACCAGGGTGGTGGCATTCAATGTGAGGAGAAGTGTAAGAAGGCAGAGGCTACAGGATTTGCTGATGAATGGGAAAGGAGAGGAGTTGAGAATGATGCCAAGGTGTTTGGCCTGGGAAACCAGAGGACGCCACTGTCATGTATTGAGTGAGGTAGGAAAGACTGTAGAGGAACAGGTTTTGGTGGAGAGAACCTGGGAATGGCAGATACAGGGTTCGGTTGGACAAATTAAGTTGGAGATGCCTGCTAGACACCCAAGTGGCAAGACTGAGTAGGCAGGTGTATGTATGAGTCTGGAGTTCAGGGAAGAGGTCTGAGCTGGAGATAACAAATTCAAGATCTGCAATGTATTTTAAACCACGAGCCAGATGAGATCACAAGGGAGTGAGTAGAAATAGAGAAGAGAAGAGGTCCAAGGTGAGAGCTCCAAGCTAGGGACATGAGAGGGACATGAACACACGAGCCAGGGGGAGAAGAACCAAGGAAGGGTAGTGTCCTGGCAACCAAGGGCAAAGGTATATTGAGGAGGAGGGTGGGATCTTCTGTGTTTAATGCTGTTAATAGGTCCAGTCAGATGAGGACTGGGAACTGACCATGGGATTTATTCATTGAACAACCAGTAAATACACTCAATGCAGAAAATATGGGGTAAGCGTTGGATCAATATGCTTGAGTAGGCAGGAAAGGAGGAGACAATCGTGTGTCCCAGAGGAGAAGTTGGTCTTGGAAATCTGGATGGCTCATCCACTGCAGCAGAAGGAAGGCAGAAAATATGGATTTGGAGTGGGTATTGATTGGGAGTTATGAGTATGTGGAAATTCTGCGATTGATTCTGCTTCCTTAAGGAAATTGTAAGCCACATCATCAACAGAGAAGGAGGATGGGGAGGAGGTGCTGGACGTTGGGACAGAGAAAAGAGGGGAGAAACACAGGAGAGTGGGAGAGTGAGTGGCCTCGGGAAAAGCAGCAGGGATGGCCTGGCCCCAAGGCCTGTACATAATGGTCTTGAGTTTAAAGTGAGACCTACAGCACGGTTGTGTGTTTTTCTCCAGCCACTACCAGGACAAGTAGTGGATGGTATGGCTGATGGCATGCCATTCAAACCTGGGGGTTTTTAGGAAGAAGGGAGATGGCAATGAAGAGCAACCTCCAGGCCCCATTATATGAAAATTGTGTGAGAGAAAAAAGCCATCAGCTGTGAGGGCTGGAAGGGAAAATGTGTCCTCAGAAGAGAGCCAGTTCTGGTTGGAGTAGGGAGGTGACAGGAAGGCTCAGAAAAGATATTGAGATTCAGAACTTTGTTAATGTGCAGTGAGTCACAGAGGACACAGTGGGAGAATTCCAGGAGTTGGGGAGGAGTGGGAGAGAATCAGATTAGGGGATGCCTGGAAAGCGAGCTGGGTTGCAAGGAGTGACCTGGAGTCATGTGTCTTATGGATACAGACAGGGATGAGAGGTATGAGGGATTAATCCAGATGGTCTCTAAGGCAGCTAACAATGTTAAGACTGACAGTGTTGGGGGTGGTAGGGGATGGAAAGGTGTGTGGGATCTTTCCTGGAATACTCAGAGCTCTGGGGCCCCCACTTGTTTCCTGTTAGTGAAGGTGGGGACATATGAAGCTGTTGATTTCCTTTTTCATTCCTGCAAATGGAGGAGAAGAACTAGGAGCCAGAGTTTGTGCTTTGCACTAGGAACACAAGCTGGATCAGTGGGCTCCTGCCTTACTCCATGGTGAGACTAGACTGTCATATGTGGGTGACCTGGACAGGATAAATCATACCATCTGGGCCAGGCAGACTGGCTCATGTCTGTAATCCTGGCACTTTGGGAGGCCAAGGTGGGAGGATTGCTTGAGCCCAAGGGTTTGAGACAAGCCTGGGCAGCATAGTGAGACCCATCTCTAAGAAAAAATTTTAAAAAATTAGCTGAGAATGGGGGTATATGCCTGTAGTCCCAGCTACTCAGGAGGCTGAGGTGGGAAGACTGCTTGAGCCTGGGAGGTGGAAGCTGCAGTGAGCCGTGGTTGTGCTACTACACTCCGGCCTGGGTGACACAGTGAGAGAACCACCACCCCCCTCAAAAAAATGTATCTCATCTGGACACTGTCTCTCTGCATTTGTTGACTCTGCTTTCTTCTAAGTTGTCTGCATTTTCAGGCAGATTCTCTCCATACCATGATGAAGATGGACCTAGCAGTACCAGCCTTACATCCATTCATGTAACCGCCTCTTAAGAAAGAAACCTTTTCCCAATGAGTCTCCAGCAAGATACCTTGAGCTCCTCTCTCTGGCATGGCTTGGTTCATGTACCCATTGCTGACTCAATCACTCTGGTCAAGAAGATGTGGGGCTGCAATTTTCCAGGTAGATCCTCATTCTTGGAATTAGTTTATAAGAATGAGAGTGTAGGAGGGTGGGTCCCCAAAGGAAAAAATTAAAAGGTCTTGTACCAGATTTATTTGGAAGAAATCTGAGTGAGGAGATGGAGGACATGAGGACAGTGTTTTCAGCCTTCCTCTGTTATCCTGAGTAATTCTACATTGGCCCAGTCTTGCACATATGTTCAGCCAAACAAAAGCCCGGCAGTTAGTCAGGCCCACCCATGGGATATGGGCACCTGGTTGAGCCCATAGCCAGCTATGTTGTCTTTGCTATGGGCTGTATGTACTAAGAGGAAGTAAAGCCTTTTTATTCCTATAAAACACTGTGTGCTGGTCAAGCCATGTATCTGGGAGGCTGCATTAGCCAGAAATAAGTGTCTTTTCTTGATTTGCATTAAAGCAATGTAAAGGCTAGTAATGGTCCTTTTTCTTACTATGGAAGATGTCAACACCTGGTACCCTTTAATTGCTCAGGGCCAGGTGACCCAGCTTCTATGCCCCTGGAAGAGAATACTCACCCTTTGGGCTTCCATAAATGGATCACTGATGAATGCTCCAATTCTTCACCTTTACAGCTAGAGATAGATAGGAAAAATACCCCTTTACCACCACCACCTCCCAGGTACCTTTTAAAGCTTAACCAGGGAAGTGAGTTGTCCAGCAGAATAGCCCTGAAGTGGCTCCTGCCCATCCTCCCTACCCACATACCATGTTTCATCACAAGAACGGACACAACTCATCCCAGATCCTCCCACATTTTCCCTTGGGAGACTTTCTAGATCAACCCCATGTGGGTCATTAAGATTTTTTCCTTAATCCTTAATCCCCATTAGATAACCCAACACTGCATGTTCCCTTATCCTCACACTGCTCTGCACATCCTAAAGTTTGACCTTCTTCCATTCCTTTTCATCTGTCCAAACCCCTCCACTATGTTCTTAGGAGCTCATGGTCTGTCACCAGCAGATGCAAAATCTCATCTCTTTCCCTGAATGTCCCCTTTAGCTTCTCACTCCAACTGCAACCTTGCTCTCCCCAAGGACACTGCCTCCCTGCAACCCTTTCAGGTAGACACCTTTGATTTTATACCTCATGGACCTTAAAGCCTGGAAAAAGGGTAAGTCTCTTCCTTACTGTCCTTTGCTGCTTCTAATTAATCATTTCTCTTACTTTCAACTTCAAAGACCTCAGCCCCTTTGAAGCACATCATCAGATGTTACCACCTGCTACCCCACCTGGCTGTCATTCACTGACCTTAGTCCTTGGTGCCTCTGGCACTTGCTTGCTGCCTTTATCTCTACTGCCAATGATAATGAGAGTTGGCATTAGCCAAGTGCTTTCTCTTCTCCTGAAACTCTTCTAAGCACTCTGAAAGCATTATTTTATTTAATTCCTACAATGCCATGAGATAGTTGCTATCATCCTCATTTTATAGATGTGTAAACTGAGGTGTAGGGGGATAATTTGCCTAACAGCACACACCATTAGTGAAAGGGTCAGGGTTGGAAACAGTCTGACCCCACGGCATGTATACTGAAACACTACATTAAGCTGCTTCCTTGTCGGTGTTCCTGGCAACATTAACATCTATGCAGTTGACACCCTGGCCTCTCTGTCCCTTGACCTCCTGGTTTCTCTGCCCTATTACAGCCACCCAACCCTGTGGTCATACCCATGATCTTTTCATCAGTTACAACAGCACCATCTCAAAATACCAATTTCATGTTTTCTCCTCCTTGATGTCACCTCCTGTCTTTACAACTCTTCAATTGTAGTCCTCCCACTTCAGAAATTTCCCAGCCTTATTGAAAATCTCAAATCCAACAATTCCATTGACCCTGCCACTATTTCACTTATATCAGCAGCCCTGGAACTCTTCATTTCCTTTTAGTGGATGACGGCATCCGAGCGGTGGGAATATTTCCTGATCCAGTTATACATTGCTATGTAGCAAATCACCCTGAGGGTGATTCAAAACAACAATGTTTTTATTTGCTCACAACTCTATGGGTCAAAAATTTGAGCAAGGCTTGGCTGGATGGTTCTTTTTTCTCTACATGGCATCAGCTGTGGTGTTTTATGAGGTTGTAGTCAGATGGTGACTGAGGTTGAAGCATCCAAGATGGTTTCACTTACTTGTCTGGAACCTTTGTGGTGATGGCTGGGATATGTCTCTCTCTGTCATTCTCTTCCTACAGGGCTGCGTCCAGGTGCCTAGCCTGGGCTTCTTTACATGGCACCTGGACCTCAAGAGTGAGTATTCTAATTAGCAAAGGTAGAAGCTGCAGACTGCTTAAGGTCCTTCTCCAGAAGTTACCCAGCATCACTTCTGCTGCATTCTATTTGTCAAAACAGGATACATGGTGAGCTCAGGTCTGAAGAGAGGTGAAATATACTCCACCCAAAGACTGTACTGCAGAAGAGCATGTGGAATGATGAGGATTGTTGTGCAGCCATCTTTGGAAACCTAATTTAATAGTGACACAGCACTATGATTTCTCCTTGCAAGCACTGTATCTCCCTTATCCTCTCCCCTTTCCTACTTATATGGCAATATTCCTGACCTGGTCAATCCCAACTATCAGTAGGCTCCATGCCTGCAATTGAGAAGCTGAATATTTCCGGAGAAAAATCACACAACTTCCCTAAGTATTCTGACTTTTACATTATTACCAAATAGTCTCTGAAGACTGCTAGACAATCTTATCAGTTTCCTGGATGTTCACTTTCCATTTTAAGTCTTGTCTCCCTCCTTAAATCCCGAATAGCACTCCACTCCTCTAGCCTACAGTAGTTAACTAGGTAACTAACCCACTCCTCTAGTTAAGCCTACCCTGGGGTTAACTTTATCTCACTATTTATAGAGAAATAGATACAATCAGATTAGAAGTACCTCATTTTTGTACCATTATATCCCTCAATTTACATGACTGCATTTGCAAACTTTGCCTTGTTCTGCTGAAGTGGAAAAATAATTTCTGATACCATCCAAGGCAAACCCTCCCACTTGAACATGGTATCCTCCATCTTTTCTCATCTCATCAAAAATTTCATTCCTACAAATATCTCTTTTCTCTCCAATATCATCAGTTTGTCTCTATGTAATGGATCATTCTCATTGGCATACTAACAGGCTTAATATCACCACCTTAAACGAAACAAATGAGTCAAAATAAAACCCCTCTTTGACTCCGTGTCCCCCCTCAGCCACCAAGACATTTCTCTGCTTCTCTTCATACAACTCCTCCAAAGAATTATCTATACTTCCTGATTCTAATTCCTCACCTCCTGTTCCCTTTTCAAGGCTTTCCAATTGAGCTTCTGTCCCCACCACTGTGGAAACTGCTCTTATCCTACTGAAGCCTATGGTCAGCTCTGTGTGTTCATGTTACTTGACCTTTCAGCAGTATCCAACAAAGCTGACCTTCTTGAAGCATATTCTCTTGTTTTCAGTGGCACAGCAACTGGCCTGGTTGACTTCCTACCTCATCAGCCACTCCATCATAGTCTTTGCTGATTTCCCATCCTCTTCTGGGTCTCTGAATGTTGGAGTCTCCCTGGTTTCTCTCTGGGCATGTCTTCTTGTTGGTGCACTCTCATCTTGGTGATCACATCTAATCCCATGGCCTTAAATGAAATCCCTCCTCTGATGACTCCTAAATTATATCTCTAGTTAGAGCTTTTCTCCTGAATCCCAGACTTGCATATTCTGCTGCTTATTTCATGTCTCCTTTTGAATGTCTAACAAGCATTTTAAATTCAACATGGCTAAAACAGAACAATGGGTTTTAGCTCCTACTTGTACCCTCAATTGCTGCCTCTCACCTTTTCGTTTGAGCAGAGGGCCCCACCATTCATGTAGTATCTCTCAAAAATCTAGCAGCCACAGTTGATTCCTTGCTGTTCTCAACAGTCTGCATCTGTCCATTCTCAAGTCGTTTTTTTCTACTTCCAAATATATTCTAAATTTGACTGTTTTTCCATCTCCACTGCTATTGCCCTAGTCCAAACCACCACAATACCTGGCTGTCTACCCTACTTTCACTTTCACTGGTTACAACTTATGCTGATACTAATTGGGAAAGACATTAGAAAGTGGTTAAAATCACAGCATGTGGCATAAGACTGCCTGATTCAAATGACAAACTTATTAAAGTGAGAGTCAACTTATTGAAGTGAATATCACATCATAGCACTCTCTTACTTAAAACCCTTTAATTACTTTGCATTGCAATTGAACAAAATAAAATTCTTAATCATGGCTTTAAAGACCCAATAACATCTGGCTCCCCACCAAACTTTCTGGATTCCACTATTGCCTCCCCCTTACCCACTCCATTTCAGCCAACTGGCTTCCTTTTGAGCGAGTTGGAGTGTAAACACTTCAAGTTCCTTCTGGTCTCAGGACTTTGAATGTGACACTTTTGCAAAGTTTCGAGTGGCTACTTTCTCTTCATTCACATCTCAGTTCAAATGTCACCTCCTCCCGGAGTCCTCTTTTGGTCACTCTGGATAAACTGAATTCCACATATCCCCTTTTGTAGCCACTCTATATAACATTACCCAGTATTCTTCATAGCAATTACTATGTGAAATTAGTTTACCCAATGATATAGTTTGGCTGTGTCCCCACCCAAATCTCATCTTGAATTGTAGCTTCCATAATTCCCACATGTTGTGGGAGGGACCTGGTGGGAGATAATTGAATCATGGGGCTGTTTTCCTCCATACTTTTCTCATGGTAGTGAATAAGTCTCACAAGATCTGATGGTTTTATAAGGGGAACCCCCTTTTGCTTGGCTCTCATTTCTCTCTTTGCCTGCCACCATGTAAGATGTGCCTTTCACCTTCTGCCATGATTGTGAGGCCTCCCCAGCCATGTGGAACTGTGAGTCCATTAAACCTCCTTTTCTTTATAAATTACCCAGTTTTGGGTATGTCTTTATCAGCAGCGTGAAAATAGACGAATACATTCATCAAATCGTTTCCATGTTTACTATTAGTCTCACTGACCAGAATGTTACCTTTTTGAAACTAATGACTGAATTTTGTTAATTCTCAGAACCTCGACAAGGCTGGGCACATAGTAGGTACTCCATAAATATTTATTGAGTGACTGAACCAGTGCCTTTTGATTTTTTGAATACTGTAAGTTTCAATTCAAGAGCATGAGAAAAGTCTCAAATAGCATCAAGGCATAAAATAAAAAGTAAAATTATACTTTTGTCTGCTTTCAGGACCTCCTTTACCAGGTCCTACTCCCTAGAACTAAGTTGGTTTTAGAAGTTATAGAATTTAGCACTTTACATTACCCCTCTCTTCTCCTGACATTAAAAATCTTATGTTATTATTTAAAATGTCTTCTTTGGGTTACTTTCATAATCATAAACAGCATGCTTAAACCACTATTTCTTGGATACCTATTATGTAAGAAGAGAACATGTATGCCTCCTACACTTCCTTCTACTCTTCTCTGGCCCCTCCTCCTCAGCTTTGATCATTACTTTTACATGATCAAGGTTTATTACATTTATATTCCAATCTGTAACTATAATTAAGTCTTCTGTGCTTTGACGATAGGTTAGTTTCTTAAAATTGAATACCATTAAATAGCAATTGGAAATTATGATTATGTAAATATTATTCAGTGGAGAACCAAGTGGTTTGATTAGACTTGTAGAGAAGGAAAAATAATCCTAAATCACCAAACCTGTGGCACTCAAAGGCAAAAACTTCAGTCTTCAAGGTCAAATGGATTTTCTGTTTTCAGCTTCATATTCCGTCTTCATTTGCTCAAAATCATACTGCATTTTAATTTGCTTTGGCTTGACATACAACATTTCTTGACAGCTTTGTTTTGTTTTTCAAAATCTTGAATTGTCTCTCTTTTCTTGTTGATACAAAAAATACAATAATAAAAACCAACCTTTATAGAGAAGTTACTGAGAACCAGACACTAAATATTTTACATGCATTATTTCATTTAATAGCCACAATGACTTTATGAAGTATAAATTATTATTATTATTTTTGAGGCAAAGTCTCACTTTGTCGAGCAGGCTAGCATGGAGTGGCACGATCTTGGCTCATTGCAACCTCCTGGGTTCAAGCGATTCTCCTGCCTCAGCCTCCCAAGTAGCTGGTTCTACAAGCATGTGCCACCATACTCGGCTAATTTTTTTTTTTTTTTTTTTGTATTTTTAGTAGAGACGGGGTTTCACCATGTTGGCCAGGCTGGTCTTGAACTCCTCCCTCGAGTTCCAAAGGCGGATCGAGTTGATCCGCCTGCCTTGGCCTTCCAAAGTACGGGGATTGCAGGCGTGAGCCACGGTGCCTGGCCCCAAAGTATAAATTATTTTATACACATTTTTCAAATAAGGAAACTGAGCCACAGAAAATGGAAGTCATTGCCTAAGGTCACATATGTAGTTTGTGATTTGAGTCGGGCAGTATGATTCTGGAGGCTGAGGTTTTCACCACACTGGGATATCTTTACTTGATTAGTAAGCTTATCAAGCATCTTAGTTATACTACTATTGAAGTAAATATACTATTATTACTTCAATAATAGTATAGTAAGTATACTATTATTGAAGACCTTTTTAAGGGAGGCTTCTGACTTCCTGTTTAGATTTGTACTTCTGGTTTTGATACTGATGCATGGCCGTCATTGTGAGATTTTATTTTATTGCACTTCTGGTTGGGTCCATGTCTTTCTCTTTCTTCCATTTTATTTAACTTTTAACTGACATCAAATGACAAATAAGTTTTTCAGAAAGGGTAACTGGGAAGTAAAATTTCCAAGTGCTTGCATGTTTAAAAAGTCATTGTATCCTCACACCTGATAGATAGTATGACTAGCTATAGAATTTAGGTTGAAAATGAACGTCTATCAGAACTTAACCAGCATTGCTGCATCTTCTAACATCCAGTATGATTGGTGAAAAGTCTGATGCCAGTTCTTTTGCATATATATGCACACATATATATTAATACACATACAAGCACACATGCATACACATATATATGCAAAAGAGATATGTATCTTGTTAATTCCCAGAGCCTAGACAAGGCTGGGCACATAGTAGGTACTCCATAAATATTTATTGAGTATATATATATATGGCATATATATATATATATGCCCCTTTGGAAGTTTTACTTCTTCTGTTTATTGTTGATATTTCAAAATCTCATGAGAATATATTTAGGTGTAGGCCTTTGTGTTCAGTAATTGCAGCATCCAAGATGGGCTTGCTACTGCTCTAGGAGTTTTTTTTTCCTATGGTTGTTTTATTTCCTTTCTTCCAACTCCTTTTCTTCCTCATCTTTGGAACTCCTGTTGGGTTGGTATTAGAATTCCTGGATTGAAGTTAGAGCTATGATACAGTTCGGATATTTGTCCCCACCCAAATCTCATGTTGAATTGTAATTCCCCAATGTTGGAGGTGGGGCCTGATGGGAGGTGTTTGGGTCATGGAGGCGGATCCCTCGTGGCTAGGTGCTGTTGTCCCAGTAGTGAGTAAATTCTCACAAGATCTGGTTGTTTAAAGTATGTGGCACCTCTCCCACTTTCTCTTGTTCCTGCTTTCACCACGTGACATGCCTGCTTCCACTTTGCCTTCAGCCATGAGTAAAAGCTCCTGAGGCTTCCCCAGAAGCTGAGCAAAGGCAGGAACCATTTGTTACAGCCTGCAGATTTGTGAGCCAATTAAATCTGTTTTCTTTATAAATTATGCAGTCTCAGGTATTTCTTTATAGCAATGCAATAATGGCTTTACACAATCTATCATATCATTTAAGTTTTTCTCTTCCTTTAAAAAAACTTCTTCTTCCTATTTTTTATCTGTAATCTTTCTTTGACTTTGTCTTCTAGCTCTTATATAGTTTTTTTATTTTTAATTTTTGTGGGTACATAGATGATATATTTATGGTGACATATTTATATATGTTTGTGGGTACATGGGTGATATATTTATGCGGTACATGAGATATTTTGACATAGACATACAATGTGTAATAATCACATCAGGGTAAATGGAGTATCTATCATGTCAATAATTTATCCCTTCTTTGTGTTACAACAATCCAATTATATTCTTTTAGTTATTTTAAAATGTATAATAAATTATTGTTGACTGTAGTCACCCTGTTGTGCTATCAAATACTAGATCTTATTCATTCTAATTATATTTTTGTACCTATGGTTTTTATTTTGACAGTTATTTTTTAATTTGCAAAACATTGTATTTGTTCTCTGTCCTGTGTTGAAGTGTTTGGTTCTGTTTTGATGGTTGTAGTCTCTTTTCAGTCTGTACATGCCTCCTTGGTAATCAGTCATTCTTTTTGCCTTAGAGATTCACTTACAAGCTGTTGATTTCCCTTAAATGTTTGTTAAACCTTGGCGGCTTGTTCCTTTTTGTAAAAAAAGGATTAGACTGATTAATATGGACCACTAAGGCAGTTCTAAAGTTTTCTTCTGTAGCTGAGTTGATCCATTTTCACAGCAAATCTCAGCATACTTCCCTTCTTAAAAAATGCCAAAATAGGATGGACGTTACTGTGCAGAACCACTACTTATGTGAAAAAGTCAGTATTCTCAAGATGCTGTGATGTCAGTATTTTTGTCCCCTCCAAAATTCATGCTGAAATTTAATCCTAAATGCAGCAATATCAAGGAGTTGTGGCCTTTAATAGGTGATTAGGCCATGAGGGCTCCCCTCTGGTGAAGGGGAGTCGGTGCCTTTATAAAAGGGCTTGAGGGAGGGAGTTTGTCCCTTTCTGCCCTTCTGCCTTCTGCCGTGTGAGGACACAGCATTCCTCCCCTCTGGAGACCACAGCATTCAAGACACCATTTTGGAGGCAGAGACAGGATCCTCAGTTAAACATCAAATTTGCCTCTTTGCTCTTGGACTTCCCATCCTCCAGAGCTGGGAGAAATACATCTGTTCTTTATAAATTCCTCAGTCTGAGTCTCAATTTATAAATTACCCAGTTTTTATAGCAGCACAAGCAGACTAAGACTTACAAGAGAAATACTCAACATTTTTATAGGACAGAGCTCTGGCTTTATGTGGAGGCCAATCACGTGGCTGACATGTTCACTAATAAACGTGGAAGTGAGAGATGTAGGAACTCTGGTTTGGCTGTTTTGTATTCTGCCCTTTAATTAATCACTCTGATTACAGCCCCCAGATACATTTTTGCTCCCTGAACCTTTCACTCTGAGCTTGGAGGTTCTCTGCATCTCCTCCAGGAAAAATGGTTCCAACTTCTGCTTGAGCCTTATTTTCTTTGCACTCTGAGATTCAGTTTTCTATGCACCATTAGCTTATTCCCTAATAGAGTCACATCTACTTTTGGCTTATATGATTTCACTAAAGTCTCTGGGTTATATGTATTTGGGGGCCAGTTTTACATTTTATCTAAGTGAAATTAGAATAAAGTGAGTATCATGGGAAGACTTTAGGGAAAAGACATCATGGAAAGTCAACATGTGGCTTGAGGAGAAGATGTGAAGGGGAGTCTGTTTTATAGACGATAGTTCTCCCATGGGTTAATGAGGCTGATTGTAAAGATTGCATACATTAAATACCCTAGAGCAAGTTTGTCTAACCTGCAGCCCATGGGGGCTTTGAATGCAGCCCATCACAAATTCACAAACTTTCTTAAAACATTATGAGATTTTTTTTTGCAATTTTTTTTAGCTCATCAGCTATAATTAGTATTACTGTATTTTATGTGTGGCCCCAGACAATTGTTCTTCTTACAATGTGGCCCAGGAAAGCCAAAAGATTGGACAGCCCTGCCCTAGAGGTTTTTTAATGGTGATAAATTTTATTTTATTTTCCCCCACAAACACCAGCAACATGAACTATCCCCTCCAGCTGCTGAGTATCTCACAGAGTCATTCCCCAGCCATAACCTTTAACAGTCCAGTGGACCTCCAGGACTCACAGCATAGAACAATTGTTTGTATCTATATTGACTAGAGAAGGGGCTGGGCATGCTATGCTGGGACCAGCTCTGGCATCTTTCTAACTTGGTATTCTGTGTTTATTTTACAATAGCATACTTTTTCTCCCATAAATATTAGTTTATTGTGAAAATCTGAAAAATTCAGAAGAGCTGAAATATTAAATATCATTCAATATTTCTCCACTCAGAAAAAGGTTAATATTTCAGTGCATGTCTTTCTGATTTTTTGAGAAGAAATAGGTAGCATGCAATATATACTTTTTATTTGACTAAAAAATTCATAGCTCTTGTCTTTAAATATTCTTCAAAAACATGATCCTTTATGGTTACATGATGTTTATCACATGGCTATTTATAGTTTATTTAACTGTTCTCTGCTTTTGATGTTTGAAATATTCCTGAAGTTTTTCTATTATGAATAATACTATGAGGAATTTCTTATTCATAAAGCTTTTTTGTACATTTATTAGTTCATTGAATTAATTCTTAAAATGGCAGATATAGGCCAAAGTGTTTCAATACATTTTGGAGCTTTTGATACATAATGGCAAATTGCCCATCTGTTGAGAGTGTATCACTGGATACCCTTTTTGTTAGTGTGTAAGAATCCCCCTTTGCCTGAACTAGCATCTAAACTTTATTATCTTAAAAGAAAAGGGCTGGGAAAAAGATTTTCCATTAGCATGATAGGAGGAAATATTTTTCAGTGTTTCCCCATGCATTTTTTTTTAATTCTTAGTGAGATTAAACATCTATCTATTTCATTTGCATTTCTTCTTTTGTGATTTTTCCCTGTTCAGATCTTTTGCCCATTTTTTCTGTTAGCGTGCTTCTCCTTTACTAATTTATTTGTAAGGCTTTTAGAGATGAATAATATTGACTCTTCTGTTTTATATATACAAATAGCTATAGATATACATGTATTAATAAGTATAAACAATGTTCAGGTCTATGATTTTGTTTAGAATTTTAGAAAATTGATCAGTTTAACTTTTTTTGCCTAAATACTTTGTATTATGGATTTATTTGCTTTGGCATTTTTGACAGTTAAATCTTTAAAACATCTGTAATTTACCTTTGTGCAAGTGTGGTACGGAGATTTAACTTTATTATCTTAACAAATGGCCAGTTGTACCAACATCATCCACTGAATTATATTTTAATTACCCACCAAATTGAAATGTTATTTTTGAAATATAACTGAGCATTAAGATCTGCTTCAATGATATCAGTATTTTCTAACCTATGCACCTGCTTCCTCCTAAAGCAGTACTGTACTTTAATTAATGTATTTTTATAATTTATTTATAAAAATTATTAGTTTATAATGTATTTTTATAATTTATTCTTATATGTGGTAGATTTGCCTTTTCCAAAAATTTGAAAGCAATTAGTGACTGCTTATTCTTTTGCATAAACTTCAGAATAATTTAACTGTACACTTTCCTATCCCTAATCTATGGAACCTACTGAATTAAGCCTGTAAATTAATTTGAAGAAAACTAACATGTTTATACTGCTCAGGCTTCTCCGTCCAACATGGTCTATCTTTTCATTTATTCAGATAGTTAACTTGTTTTTATATAATTAGCAAAATATTTGCAATATAATATATTAAATAAACCCATAGAATAATGCAGCAATGTGGTTTGGCCCAAGCAGTCCTGGACTAGAAATCAGAAAACCTGAATTTTTGCCCCAACTTTACCACCAACTGGCTGTGTGAACTTGGACAGGAAGTATCGTTGGGCTTTTGTGTTTTCACCTGTAATATGAGGAAGGCTTGATTAAGTTCTCTAAGATTTCTTCCAGCAACAACAGTCTGTGATTCTATGAATCATGATGCAAAATTTGTATAGCACGTGTCCCCCAAAGGAGGAGTAATGTTACCATAGTTCACTGCACCAACGTCACAGGCATCCGCAGAAACTTGATTGGACATATTTACTCCTTAGATGAAATTCACCAAGAAACAGAACTGTGTATACGATGGACATAATTGCATCTCATATATTCAGCTTTCAGTGCTGTAATAAAAACAAATTTAAAACCACTCCGCAATGCCATTGTTGCAGTTCCAAAGCTAGGGTGAGATATGAGCTCTCAATGGGGAGGAGGTGGGCCTCATGTAGGAGGCATGAGCTGTTACCATTTTGCGAAGCTCCAGGGAAGCAAAATAAAAGAAACACAACGGCTTTGAAGGTCTCTGCCAAACTCTTCTTAAGAGCAATAGAATTAGGAGGAAAATGTAGCCTCTAAGAACATAACCAAGAATTTAATACTCCCCCTTGGAGCCTACAAAACAAAAATATAATCATCTTCATCTCATGATTAAAAAAGAAAACACGAAGCACAGTGGCTTTGCTCGATCTCTTTAATTGGATTATAAAGCTGAGATGGAAATTCTTTTGCAGTGAAGTGGCCCAAACGTTATGGCCAGAACAGAATAACTCAAAGCAGAGCTTCAGGTCCACCCAGGACTTTTAATTCCTGGAAAAATGGGGTTTAATTTCTACATCGTAAATGGTTTTAACCTGCAAAACTTTTCCTACTGCTTTTTTGAAACAATTCAATTTCAGGAACAATAGAGGCTTGAACTCAGCTTGGTTTTGGCCATTAATAGCTCTCATTTGGATAAATATTTTTGGAAGCTCTTTTTTTCTCTTATAAAAAATGAACTGGTGATGCATAAGCAAATACTCAAAGAAGGGTTTAATATATTGATATATTAAACACAGATAGAAACACAGGACACACTGATGGAATGTATTATGGACGTAAGCCATAAAACTGTTTTCAATTTCTTTTGGTGTTAAGATACAGCATAAGAAACTAGTCAATTTCTGGAGTCTCTTGAGGCAATTTGCATATAGAATGTTTATTGCAGGATGGCAGATGTGACTTTGAATAAGTGGAGCCAGTTCTGAATTTTGCCTCCCATCTCTGTCCAGGCTACCGGCATCTGGAGGATGTGGCCATGCTGCATTAAGAAAAATGATTCAAGCGATTGAGAAACAGTATTAGGTCTTCCTCACAGAATTTATATAATTTTAATTTAAGTTGTAGCAAATTGATGTAACAATGCTGAAGGTTTCTGTGAGATGAGCCCCCTGAGGAACTCTTTCAAAATCAAGAGAAATATTTGGTTTTCTTCCAGCCCCAGAAACCTTTGATTTTTTTTTTTAAAGATGGTATAACATAAATTCACTCTGTTTGTATACACTGAGATCTTTTCCCATTTTATTGTGAAAGATAGCTTACTGTGAAGCCTCATTTACAGCTAGATTCTAGGAAAGCATTTAATTATATGCCAGGGGATGAGGTGAGGGTTTATGTGGGTCAAAGAGTGACGAAGATCCTATGAAAAGCGATAAGGATCGAAAGAGGTTCATTTGTCAAATTATAAAACCAAACAGATAATTTTCTTTGACTTCATTCCTACCTAAGAAAGATGTAGTGTGAACCAATCTTCCTGTAAACAGAACAATTGTTCTCTCTAGGGGTCCTGGGAAAGGGGAGGAGGAGTAGAGAGAGCTCCACAGGTTACAGCTCATTTCGGACTTTTCATTGCAAATGCAATGGTGGCAGTGGACGAGGTGCACTTTGTCTTCCAGCTGCTTTCGCGGCTATGCCCTAATGCTGCACATGCCCACCAGCCTCTGCTGTGCTGGTCACTTTTCCAGCCACCCTCCATGGGTTCCTAGTGTTTCTCAAGAGCAAATGTTACCTCCTCAGGGAGGCCTTCCATGACCTTGTCATGTAAATGAGATGTACCAGCTGTATACGCTCATGATATTTTGTGGGTGTTTCCTTTTCAGCTCCCACCACTGTCCGTAAACGCGCATTTATTTGTGTGCTTAATTGGCTTCTCTGGCCAGGCTCTACATCCCAGTCAGGGTTCACTGATGCCTTTCCAGCACCTGAAACTGGCCTGCCACAGAGAAGGTGCCAGTAAATCCTTGGGGACAAATGAGTAAGCTTCGTGGTTTTCCAAGGAAGACTGGTCTCTATCCCCCTGCCTTGTCCAGGCAGAATTCGCCACCAGCTTGATTTCCATCTGTCTCCTTTTGACTTTCTCTTTTCCTTTCTCTGCCTTTCTTTTCTTTCCCATGTTCATTTGTAACAACTTTATTGGTTTCCTTGTTTTTTCTCCCATGTTGCTCTAGAAGAAAACAGATGGGTAGAGGATTTCAGATGAATACTGAATATCACATCCCCATTGATGAGATCATTTCAGAATTTTCTAAAATTATTCTTCACGGTCACATGGCCAGGGAGAAAATATGCCTGGGTTTTTGAGAGTCGGGATGCTGCTGCCTGGCTTAAATCATTATTAAAGAGACAAAGGCTCACCAGGTTAAAACTGCTGGAAAGTTTTCTCTAGCAGTAGAGTACATTCAATAAATAGTCCTCACCTGGAGGAACGTGGGGTGAGAGCTCCTTCTTTTGTGTGTGTGTATAATTATTTGTCACTTTATCTAAATGTCATATCTCGGAGAGCTTATCTTTCTTTAGACATTTACAATAGCATCTACTATGGGACTGCCAACAGATTGCTTGGCCTGGGAGAGACTTTTTAACAGTGCAGTGTTAATAGCATGAGATTTTCCCCTCTTCCCTTTATAAAAATGTGGGCAAATGTGTCAGAAGGGCAATGCCATGCCTTGAGCATAAGAAAGGCGTTCCAGGTATTATTGCCTGTTTGCTGTGTTTGATTTTCTCCATCCTTATTCTCTGGAAAATGAAGTGCATGTGGATTTGGCCCTTCCAGATAAGCAATCTGATCATTGTCAGGGTTAAGCTCATCGGTTGGCTAGCATGATATTAGAAGCTGAGTTGCTGGATTCACAGAGCAAGCAAACACAGTCATAGTACCTGGAAACTAAATATCCTCTCTTCCCAGTGATGTCCATAGCTGTTTGGCTGTAGGTCAACTCTCTCCCCACCTATATCTCAGCCCGAGAAAGGCTGCCCTGGTGCAAAGCTGCAGCAAGTCTCAGCATCTCAGTGCAGGCAGGGAGGTCTGTCAGTAACCTAGCAACGTGACAACAAAATTATCCTCGTGCTGTTCAGCTTTCAAATAATGAAATGATAGTCACAACATTTTGCATTTAAACAGCACAGTTTCCAAGGACCTTAATGTCAGTTGTGAATAGAGGAAAGAAATCACAAGAACCTGCTCCTCCAGGGCTGGCTGATTCCATTATACAGACAGGTAAGCAGAAGCAAACAGGGCACAGAGGGCCATACGACATGAGCAGAATTAGTGAGGAAGTATACAGAAAAAACTTCTAACTGCTAGAAAAAACTAAAGGAAAAGAGCTGTAAGCTAGCCCATTTTTTCTCATTAAACTTTACAACTCTAAAGCAGAGATTGTGTTCTTCATCTATTTTGAAAAGTACTAACCTTACTGATTGTTAAATTATAGATGAATTCAGTGGGTAGGTGGTCTATCCTACAGCCTATCTACTGAACAGGGAATTAGCTATAGGAGTCTGCAAGACATTACTAATTTTCTATGTGTGTGATTATTCCGTGATCGTTTTCTGAAAATGTAACTAATTTCTGATCCAAAGGTAGATACTGTTGTTTGTCTACTCCTTTGATAACAGTGGTGGTTTTAAGAAATGATCACAAATTTTTTGATACTCTTTCCATGGAGGCATAGGGTTTTTATACTCTCTCCTGGAGTCTGGGTAGGCTTAGGACTGATTCATCCAATAGCTTATGACTGACTCATCTAACAGAAGTGATGCTATATAGCTTCCTAGGCTGAATTATAAAAGAGGATCCACCTTCTTTCTTGTTCAATGGAACACTCATATTTGGAGCATAGGGAAGCCATATAAAAAGTCTGATTATCATGAGGCTACCTTGCTGTTTGGAAGTCCAAGCCACACAGTGAGGGCGTGTGTGGGTGCTCCAGTTAACCATCCCAGCTGAGCTCAGCCTTTGAGTAATTCCCACTCAGGTACCAGACATGTGAATGAAAAAGCCTCCAATTATTCTGCACCCCCCTAGCCATTTTAATCTTCTGATCTGAAGCCCCAGATGTCATAAAACAGATGCCAGCCACCCTGCTATGGCCTTGCCAAATGATCTATTAGCATAATTAAATTGTTGTTGTTTTATGCCACTTAATTTAAGGAATTTTCTTAAGCAACAATAACAACTGGGACACCAACAGAACCCCAATTTTTCACTCTTCTCTGCATGCTTATGTCCTGGATAAGGGGCTGTGGCCCTTTCTCAAATCCTGAGGGCGAAAGTTTATTTGTCTAAGGCAATATGGTCATTTTATTTGCAATATGGTCATTTCATTTCTTTTGTAATGTGTTTATATTGGGTATCAACAGGTGATGCAATTCTGGCCAATAAGACGAGTGGAGAAGTTGACTGGGGCTGCTTTGGGAAAATTCCCCTTAGTCTCAATAAGATTTGCAAGATGGGATAGATTTCAGTGCTACCTTTGAATGTTATTGTTTGCATATAGTGTTTATACCTGTGGTACCCATCTTAGGGCTGTCAGGGGAGCCACCAGTCTAGGGGACAGGTTGAAGAGAAGAATGGAGAAGCTATGTCCTTGATGATGTTCAACACTAAGGATGCTCAATCTTGGAACTACCTCCACCTTTGAACTTCTTGCTACATAATATAATATTCTCATTGTTTAATCCTTTTTGTGGAGGGTTTAAAGAGATTCAGCCAAAGCTTCATAACTGATCATAGATGTTTCAGAGCAAATGTTCTGGTCCCAGAGATCTAGGTTTAAATTTTGGTTCTGCCACTTATTAGCTATGAAATTTTGAGTTGTTCTGTCTCTGTTTCTTCACCTACAAAATTAGGATAAGAATGTTTTCATTATGAAATTCTTATAAAGATAAAATAACTTATTTAGTAAGTACTTAATCAGTGCCTGCTATGTGCCAGGCATCATTCTTGGCACTGGGGGAAATGGCTTTGAATGAGACAAGCTTCCAACCCTCCTGGTGCCTAGATTTGTGTAAGGGAGACATAAAAAATGAGTAAGTGAACAAGAGAATCTTAGATAGTGCCAAGTGCTATAAAGATTAAGTGAAGTGAGGTATGCAAAATGCTTAGCATGGGCCTGGCACACAGCAAGCAAGCAGTAATGTAACTTAGTTGGGGCTGCTATAACAAAATGCCATAGACTGAGTAGCTTAAACAAAAAAATGCATTTATTTCCCACAGTTCTGGAGGCTGGGAAGTCCAAAATCAAGGCACTGGCAGATTTGGTGTTTGTTGAGGGCCTGCTTCCTGGTTTATGATGGCTATTTTCTTGTTGTGCCCTCACATAGAGGAAAGACAGTGAGAGAGCTCTCTGGGGTCTCTTACAGAGACACTAATCCCATCCATTAAGTCTCTACCCTCATGATCTAATCACCTCACAAAGGTCCCATCTCCTAATACTATCACATAGGAGGTTAGGATTTCAACATATGAACTTTGAGGGGACACAAATATTCAGCCCATAGCATTCTGCCCCTAGCTCCCCAAATTCATATTCTTCTTGCATGCAAAATACATTCATTCCATCCCAACAGCTCCAAAAATCTTAACTCATTCCAAAGACAACACTAAAGTCTAAAGTCCAAAGTCTCATCTAAATATTGTTTAAATCAGATATAGGTGAAACTCAAAGTACAATTCATCCTGAGGCAAAATTCCTCTCCAGCTTCAAACCTTTGAAACCAGACCAATTATGTGCTTCCCAAATACAATGATAGGACCAATGTAGGCTATTCCATTCTGAAAGGGAGAAATAGGACAGAACAAAGTGGTCATAGGTCCTATGTAACCTGACAGGGAAAACAACATGAAACCTTAGGGTTTGAGAATAATCCTCTCTGGCCCCATGTTCTACCCTCTGGACCCATAGGGTGGTGGTCCTGCCTCCATGGCTATCCCTCGTTGGGGTCGGGAGGGCGATCACAGGCCCCTGGCTCTCCAGGGCTTCGGTCTCAAGATATAAAGGGGTCTATTATTTTTATTGTTAAAGTTAATACTATTCAAGTCATCATTATGGAAAGCGAGTGACAAAGAAGGCATGAGTGAAGTTTGACTTTGGCCTGAGGGTTGTAGAAAAATGAAGCATGTTCCCCCTGTTTCCACCCATTAGGATTAAGTAGTTGAGGCCTGTCCTCCGCAATGCACTGGTCTGAAATTTTACTGCTTAGGATCATGGAACTGGCTCTTTCTTTGGTTCTGTTCCACCTCAAATAAGCTGGGGAGAGGTGTGTGGCTGTCATTGGGTGTGGCAAAGCCAAAGAAGGAGCTAATTCATGATTCTAAGCATGTGAGGGCTTGGCTTGTTATGAGACTATTTTAGCCTTTGCAGCAGCAGTAGTTCTAAATATTCCAAATACCTAGAAATTGGAAAATAATGACAAAAATAACTCAGTGTGAGTTTTTGTAGGAAGGTATGAGCAAGGCATTTATAAAGTATCTTTAAATTGTAATGATGTCCAGGACAGGTTAATGTTTGAAATGCCTTGACCCCCAGCTAAAAGTGGTAGAGAAAATTCTTTTGTCAAACGGTCCACTTCTAATCCTCATCATTGACAGAGCCTGGAACACCTTTTTTCCTTTCTTTTTTTTTTTTTTGCACTGTCTTATTTATTTCTCTAGTAATGTCTCCAATGACGCTTTTCAGGTTTACTTTTTTTCCCCTGATATTCTCAGCTTGTGAGTGATAAATAGTGCTTAAGAACAATTTTGATACCCACATACTTCCAGCTGAGAGACTTAATTGAGGGGTTTCTTTGCCTGTGTGTTTTGAAGCGTTGCCTATGCCGTGGTGCTGGTTATGCTGAAGAATAGCTCCTTCTCACATTTCAATTCTCTGAACTGGGTTGGAATTCAGTCTGGCTGGCTTGCTAGGCAGCCCTTTATACTGGGCTGAGGTCTTGAGGCTGCTTCAAGCCCATGGACTAAAAAAACCACCAACAACAAAAATCCCCCCCCAAAAAAACAAGTAATGTCTGCCTGGCCCTGGCTGCCGGGCTCTTGAGAACTGCAGCTGTGTGGCCATCCTGCCATGAGTGATAGGCCATGGCTACTGAACTGTGCAAAGTCTCACCTCCAAAACTGCACACACAACCATTTTTTTTGGTGTGTGCTCTTGATTCTGCTCACTGAGGCATTTCCTTGGAGCTCAAGATGTGCATTTTTTAAAAAGGGGATTGCCTATTCCAAGGGCTGCTTGCAGCTTTGCAAAGAAAACCTGCTGAGTCACCAGGGGTGGCCAAATACTGTGGTCAGAGCTGACATTTGATGGTGGTTTGATGGAGGAGGCCACCTGAAAGTCAATTGTTAAGGCCTTTGAGAAGGAGTGAGTGGGTTCTTCCTAAAGAGGAGTAGGTAAGTAGTTGCCTTCTGGGACTCTATCTTTCAACCCATCTTTATCACTTCCCTATTTAGGTTATCAAGAAAATAAATGGGCTAATGAATCAGAGAGATTTAACCTGAATTTGCCATTTATACTGTTTGACCTTGGACAAGTTACTTAACCTCTCTGAGTCTGCTTTTTTTCTTCTTTTTTGAAAAATGGAAATGAAATAATACTTAACTCACGAGTTTGTTGGAGGATTAGATGAGCTCACTGCATGGCACAGTGCTCAATAAATGCCTCATTTTAGTTGTCTTCTTTGAAAATGCAAGTGTCACATTAAGGATTCCCCTAGTACAATGAGTACTCCCTGTCTTAGTCCGTATGGGTTGCTATAACAAAGTACTATAGACTGGGTGACTTACACACAACTGAAATTTTTATCACACAGTTCTGGAGGCCAGAAATCTGAGACTGGGGCACCAGCATGGTCAGGTTCTGGTGAGGGTCCCTTTCCAGGTTGCAGACTGCTGACTTCTTGCTGTGTCCTCACATGGTGGAAGGAGCAAGAGGTCTCTTTGGGGCCTTTTTTCTATAAGGGCACTAATCCCATTCATGAGAGCTCCATCTTCATGACCTAATCACCTTTTAAAGGCCCAACCTCCTAATACCATCAACCTGGAGGTTAGGATTTCAACATGTACATTTTAGGGAGACATGTAACGCTCTTTTGTCATCTAATTATCATTAGATAATAGATGTCAATCCATTAAAACAAGGATTGACAGGAATTGGGTAGAATTCCTAATTAGGTAGAATTAGGGTCCAAGGAGAGAAACAGGATCTTGCAGGGTAATAATACCAAACTGGTAATGGTACCAAAACACTGATTTTCTCATCTTACACCTTTCCCTGGGGTCAGGCCCTTTAGAGGAAACTACTATATATATTTAAAGAAATATATATATTTAAGAGTTCTAAGGTACATACTTTTTTTCAGTTTAAAATCTCTGAATTTATGGCATTCATAATTAAAATGTTTAAATGGTATGTGAAATAATGCATCTTATAACTGATAGCATCTTAGTTTTCATAAATATGTAATACTTTTAATAAACAACAATAGTTTCAGGAATCTGGGGCCTTCATTGGGATTCCTTAGACCTGCACTGTCTAGCCGCTGGCCACACATGTGTTATGAGCACTTGAAATGTGGCTACTTCAAATTGTGATGTGCTGCAGTGCAATATGCTCACCAGCTTCTGAAGACTTTAGTATGGGAAGAATAATGTTAATCTATCTCATTAATACTTCTTTCATTGATTACATGTTGAAATAATAATATTTTGGATATATTGGATTAAATAAAGTATATTATTAGAATTTATTTTACGTGGCTTTTAAAAAATTTTTACTTTTTTAGGGTGGCTTCTATTAATGCTTCATGTGCAGCTCACATTACGTTTCTCTTGAATGGTGCAGCCTTTGAACACAGATGCCAAAGATTATCTGCAGTCACTGTGTAGAAACTGGAAGGACTCCCACCCCAAATTTGGTTTAGATGTCAAGGCTGATATGCTGCACACATATCAATAGTGTAAAAAAAGGTTAGTTTCTTATATAATGAGGCTTTCTGGAGAGAGCAGGATAGATCCCAAGCAGGTCTCAAATGGCTTGAGAGCAGGGAAAGAAGACTAGCTTGGGTTTTTATGGTGATTAGGGAATGGGGCCAGGGTGAGAGTTCTGACATCTAGCAGGTGCTTGCATTGCATGAAACTCCAAGGGAGCACCTGGGCTTTCTTATCAGATTTCTCAGAAGGGGGACAGAAGGGGAAGAGGGAGGGGGAGGCTTAAAAGCTGTCAGTTTTGAGGGCTGATAATAAGTAAGTCTTATATATTATCTAACCCTGTGCCTTCATTTTACCCATGAGGACTCAGAAACAGAGAGGGGATGTGACTTGCCCAAGGTCACACAGCTAGCTAGTGCAGTGCTGGTGCTGGAATCCAGGCCTCTGGAGACCAGAGATTTACCCTCTCTTCCATAGCACCGCATGGAAAGCCACTGGGAAGACAAGAAGATTGTTTCTCCAGGGGCTGCTTGCCGTATTTTGTGAATCTGTTGAGAAGGAGAAAGTGCTGAAGGATGATGGTGAGGCATAGAGCAGCCACCAGGGTCTCTCTCTTGCTAGGCAGTCTTGGGTCAACTTCGCTGATATTGCTGACAAGGTGGCTCGAGAAAGTGACTTGAAACTTAAATACTAACTCAACATAAAATGAAAAGGAAGTTAAGAGTCTGAAAAAAACACAATCCAAAAACAAAAACAAACTTGTGAGAACAGAGTGGGCATTGTGCACTCACTTCTTTTGACATTAAAGTGGCTTTGACTCGAGCCAGGAAGCTCACACACCTACATCTTGCTTCAGGATTAAAAACTTCCAAGAGAGGTTATTAGTCCAGGGACAGAGGTCCCTCATTGCAGGAGCAGAGCTTAAATGCTTTACAAAGAAAAGGAAATAAACTCATTGGAATTTGTTTTGATCCTTCCAGGAGAGTTGTTTTGAGAGTACAGTGTGCATTTTGGAAGCCCTGACTGCTTAAAAACACACTTGGGAAGGAATTGGTTTTAAAACCTGAATCTTTGCCTGGCTCTTGGCTTCTCTCAAGTGTTGGTAGTTAGCGTTTTCTGTTTATTGTACCACACAAAAATAAATCTGGATTTGTTTTGTTTTTCTGATTTTTTTCTACCCTGGAAGTAGAGCAGATTTCTCAGTGAAAATGATTTTGGATAAAGTCTCAAATAATTAATTGCTGGTTCCAGCTGACAGTCGCTGGAACACTGGAACACACTCTCTCTGCTGCCTTCCAGGAAGAACAAGGATGGAAAGAGTTGACTGAGAACCAGATAGAGCTTCCTTTACCATGGCCAACCGAGAGAATTTCATAAATACCTGCACGTAGGTTCACAATTGTCTGGTGAATGGAACACAACGGGCTTAGAAAAGTAAAAGCCATGGACAATACCCAATTATATAGATTTAGTTTTGAACTGTCTTTTATTTGGTACTGTCGTTTGAATCTGGGGGATTTTATGGTTAAAATAATACCAACATATATCAAGTACAGATTCCATGCCAAGCCTGTGTAAGGGAGTTTCACATTGGTGATATTATCTCTATTGACTCTCTTACTTACTATCTGAGGTGGGGGCGGGGGTTGTGTTTGGAGGGGAGCACTCACTACTACCTAGCTGTGTCAGTTTTAGCATTGCTGTAAAGGATTACCCGAGGCTGGGTAATTTATGAAGAAAAGAGGTTTAATTGGCTCATAGTTCTGCAGGCTGTACAGGGAGCATGGTGCTGCCGTCTGCTTCTGGGGAGAACCTCAGGAAGCTTCCACTCATGTCAGAAGGAGAAAGGAGCAGGCACATCACCTGGCAAGACCAGGAGCAAGAGGTTGGGGGGAGAGTGCAACACTCTATTTAATTTAATTAATTAATTAATTTTTATTTTTTGAGACGGAGTCTCGCTCTGTCGCCCAGGCTGGAGTGCAGTGGTGCGATCTCGGCTCACTGCAAGCTCTGCCTCCCGGCTTCATGCCATTCTCCTGCCTCAGCCTCCGGAGTAGCTGGGACTACAGGCGCCCGCTACCACGCCCCGCTAATTTTTTGTATTTTTAGTAGAGACGGGGTTTCACCATGTTAGCCAGGATGGTCTTGATCTTCTGACCTCGTGATCTACCCGCCTCAGCCTCCCAAAGTGCCGGGATTACAGGCGTGAGCCACTGCACCCGGTCACCACACTCTTTAATCAACTAGAACTTGCTTGAACCCAGAGCAAGAACTCACTCGTTACCTTGGGGACGGTGCTAACCTATTCCTGAGGGATCCGCCACATGATCCAATGCCTCTCACTAGGCACCACCTCCAACATTGAAATTTGGACAGGACAAACATCCAAACTATATCATTAGCTTTCCTTTGATGCTCAACTTATTAACTTTTTGGATTTAATGAAACAATAAACATTTCTTTAATTATTAAATAACTAATATTTCTCTAAATAAACACACTACTTAACAACTAATCTGCCAAAACTTAGGAGTTTGAGATGTTTCTCCCCATTTAAACGTAGATTAGCAATTTATTTAATTAAACCCCTTTCAACAGTTAATTTTCACAAGTCCGATGTATCCCATTCTGTCAAACACTCTAAACACCCTTAAGAAGGAGATAAAACACGCAGTGATTGAAGATCTTATTCTTACGCTTACACCATGGACTTAAATGTTTTATTATTTTTATCCTACTTGTGTCCTTATTTTCACTTTTATTCTCATACCTTCTCAGAATAGCAGTAATTTTACCCGACTAACTTAGACGGCAGATTTCGGGATGCACCAGCTGATTCTTTGTCTGGACAGAGGACCTTTTGGTTTTTAAGTTCAAAATGATTTAAACTATAGCCCTGGTTAGTGGCCCTGGCTGGTTCCACTTTTTAAAAAATTTGTTTCTTTTAGTAGTCATGAGATTTTAGGTTTTTGAGGCTTTTAGGCTTTTGATACTCGACTTTCTCACTGTCCTGAATTGTCGTTATGTCGGCTGGGTCTTTAAGTATTATTGGAAACACAGTTATACTTCCTAGTATCTCATTATTATTAATAAGTCCACTTAGAGGATTAAGCTTGTGTAGTAAATTATCTGGGCTATACAGTGGATGCTACATGTGCCTTTCAGCTCTGCTCCTCAGGACTGAGGCACTTATTCCCTCAGTGGCCAGGCCCATTGCCTGCTAACCGCTCATAGCACAGTCCTTTCCTGAAATTGTCCTAGGATAAAGGGAGCTGCCTTACTCCAGTGACAAGTTGAAGTGGGGGTACAAATGCCGATCCCCTGGCTTCAGTATGGGACATCTCTGAAGAGCCATTTCAATTTCAGAGCTCCCCATGGGATCAGCTCAGGGGTCTGTTCCTCTCTGCTCCATCACTGGCTTACAGGAGCCGTTCCCAAGAGGACACACAAGGAAACCTCCATCTCAAGAGTTTGCTTTGAGGGAATGCACCTATGAAGGTTGGTGCCAGGTATAATTTTAAGAAGCAAAATCCAAACTAGGATTTTGAAGCTGGACCACTGACTGCATCTGCATGGGAGACTCCAAGCAAGACCTACAGAAGACTGATTTAGTTAAGTCCCTATTAAACTGTAGAATTATGCCAAATAACAAAATAGCTGCTGTTTTAAGCCACCACATTTTGGAGTGATTTGTTATTCAGTGTCAGATAACTTAAACAATTATAAGTAAAAAACAACATAGCATTCTGGGGAGAACGGCAGACATTATTATAACTGATAAAGATCTCAATCATCTCAAAGGGCAGAACATTGAGTGGTACATATGATTGTAAACTTTTACGAAAGGAGAAGTGGTTCAAGGTGAGACTATGAATGCACTAACAGGCAGTGGTAAATGGCTTGGCTTTTTAGTCAGAGGTCTGAAAGAAGAAATACTGGAAGAACGGGGATAAGGAGGTCCAGGAAAGAGGCACATAAATGGACCTATGGGAATGGTCACAAAGTGTGAGAATCTCTGTAATGCAAGTTGATGCCAACCAGAAGGTATCCCATGGAAGAAGCACTAAACAACCATGAAGACGGAATGATGTGTTCAGTTGTCATTGGCCATCCTTTTTACTATTTACCTTAGGGCTGACACAATGCTGTCACAGTGAGTATATCCACAAGGATGGAGTAGCTGTGGTCACTGAAATAGAGGCTTACATATGGGCCCAATGACAGGTGTTCCCACTTACCATGGCTGATCTAGCTACTGTCACTACTGAATGTGCTACCCTCCCGCAACAGAGACCAACACTAAGTTCCAATATTGCCCCATCCCTTGATGGCAAGTTGCCTACATTGGGCTCCTTCCACTGTAGAGGAGGTGGAAGTAATTAATTTTAACTAGAATCTACGCATATTCCAGGTACAGGCTTGCCTTTCCCACAGGACTCAGCCAGCATCACTATCCAAACAAAACTGAGTGTTTTGTTCACTGACATGGGATCTGACATAACAATTCACTGGACTGAGGAGCTTGCTTTATAGCAAAGAAAGTACGAGAGTGGGCACATAACCATAGGACCTACTAGTCCCACTATGTACTGCATCCTCCAGAAGCTTTTAGCCTGATAGAACAACAAAATAGCCTTTTGATGGTACTGCTGAGGTGCTAGCTTAGAGCAGATACCCTAAAAGGATAGGGTGACGTCCTCAAGGATAGAGTATATGCCCTAAATCAACATTCATTATATGATGCTATTTCCCTAATAGGTAGGGTACATGAGTCTGAGAAGTCAAGGGTACATATAGTGGTGGTACAGTTTACTGTCACTTTCCGTGGCCCATTTGAGGAATTTTTGCTTCCATCTCTACTCTAGGTCTACAGTTCCTGAATTTATCCACTAGGCAACACTGTATAAGTCTCATTAAACTTTAAACTATGAGTGGCACCTAGTCGCTTTGGAATCCTTATACCAGGAGACCAGCAAGTAAGGAAAAAGAGTCACCATTTTTGCAGAGTTAATTTACCATAATACCCAGAAGGAAGGACTAGTGTTTCACAATGGGGCAGGAAAGAATATGTTTGGCACCCAAGAAATTGAGTTGACTCTTGTCTGGCTAATTTTGAGGGTAAGTGGTCAGGTGCAGCTTGATGGCCTAAAAAGAGCATGGTAACCAGGAATTTAGATCTGTCAGGAACAGGGAACTCAAGATTGGCAGCGTTGCTAGCTCATGGTGTGGGACATCTAGAATAGGAAGCTGAGGTATCAGTTGAAAGGCTGAGTATCAGTTTCTGCCAAGGTAACAGCCCCCCCAGTTTGCCCCAGACTGTCCTGGTTTTATGACTGAAAATCTTGCATCCCAGGAAACCTCTATGTTCTAGTTGCAGACTGGAGACCAGCTGCAGTGGTGGGATCTGTTAAGTTCGCCCCACTAACCTTTCCCTTGCAAGCTTTCCCAGGAAAAGAGACCAACTGGAATCCTGGAGGAGTTGCTTCTAAATGGGATAGACTTACAAATATGAAGGGAGTGGATTTGAATGGTACAAGGAGTGGAGTGTAGGGAATGCTGTAGTGCACCCAGATCCTTCCTTCCCTATCAAGGAACTCATTCCCCAGAAATGTTGCCTGCTTATGGCTCATAGATAAGTCCCTCTTCAAGAATTTCCCTCAGTCAAAGGGAAGCTACCTTGTCCAAGGTCATGATCTAGGGTAAAGCCTGATTTAGTAACTGGTCAATGCAGGGGTAGGAAAGCCTGGCCTATTGCTTCACCTTGGGCCACTTGGAGGGCCATCCCAACTTTATGATTCCCCACGGGATTGCCTATGGCCTTTCTTGCAATTGTATTTCATTTCAACTTCTTCCTCTGTCCTGTTTCTTTCACTCTCTTATGGGAATTGTTCCCAAGAACACTCCACAGTAAACCCCCTGCCTGCCATCTCCATCTCAGAGTTCGTTTCCTGGGAAAGCTAGTCTGCAACATGCCATTTCATCATCTTGTTGCACCTGGCTGAACCCTTTGCAATGGGTCACTGTATGCAACCACCATAGTTAACAGATGTGATATATAACAGAGACTCCCCGTGTCTCTGGTTATGATACACGGCCACTAATTTTTCCATAATTTTTTGGCTTACCGACAACTTTTTTTATGTTCACTATTTCCTGCCAACCCACATTAAGGAAAAAATGCATATATAGTTGCCTTATAATCTCCAGAACACATTAAAAACACTCAAAACAATACTTTGGTTTTATACTTGTAATAAATCAATACAGATTAAGCATAATTTATTATGTTCACATTTCTTTTCCATTACAATTGCCATTTTGAATAATTTATATTAGCATTTTTGTTTTGAGTGTTATTGAGAATTCATGGCCTTTCATGTACACACAAAAACTTATTTAACTATAAAGTGTGATATCAATCTGTGCTCAAATTATCATAAGTTCCCCAGTCAGAGTCTCTTCACACAGGTTCCATTTACTTTTAATACTGACCATAACACTCTTTAAAGCTTCCTTACTTATTCCAGACTCATCTGAATTTTCCTTTTCACAAAATATGGAATCTTCTACCCTCAAAGGATCCTGATTCTTCTTATAGACCAAGATTTGAGTGCTAGGAGTAATATCTTGAGTTGCTGATTGGCAGGATGCAGTTGCTGCTATTGGACCACTTTCAGAAATGACAACATTGGAGAAGATAAATTTGTGTTCTCAAATTGATGTTACCAATTTGACACTTCATGTTGTTTTACCTTCTTTACTCATGGTTCCATTGATCACTAAGACTTTGTATCATATTTACAGCCTTATTTAATTTTTATGATAATTCTCTGAGGTAAGCATTGTTATCTCATTTACAGATGAGGAAGACGAGGCCTATAAGTTTAAGTGACTTGTCTAAGGCCAGAGGAACAAGTGGCTGAGCAGAACTGAATCCTAGCTTTTCCAAGTCATACTTTCTTGTAGGACTATACTTTTATTCACAGGGCTGAAGTCCCAGAAGCCAGGTTTCCACTTCCAGACCCTGCCTCTCTGGCCAGAGTTGATTGAACTAAGAGTGGATACCTGACCCAAGCTGGACCAACTAGATTTTTTTCTTCCAAAAACTCGGAATTAAGAATATGACTAGTCAGCCTGGGCTGGTCTTTTGAAGAGATAGGATGGAGTCTTGGGAGTTGATATTGTTACCTTCTGCTCATACGTATATAGAGACGCTTCTAGGCTGGCCTGCAGAAAGAAAACAAGAAGCAGATTGCCAGATAGATCTCCTCTTTTTGGCTTCCATCCTTCCCTTATTCCACCTTCCTTTTGGCTCCTGAGATACTCCTATATCTTCCTAAATTTCTTTTTTTTTTCCATATTGAAGCCAATTTGAGTTACTTTTCGTTACTTACAACCAATGAGACTTAACCAAGACAGAGGTCCTCTTGTCTGGTCATGTTTGTGGTGCTCAAGTGTTGCTGCACAACCTTTTCTCCCCCTCTCCCTCCTCCCTTCCTTCATCATTTCTCCCTTCTTTCCTCCCCCTTTCCTCTTTTTATTTTTTTCTCCCAAGACTGCATTATAATTGTGCATTCAGATTACAGAGAATCCCTGTTCTAACCCAAAGCCATTTTCCTGCCAGGAATCCCAGAGCTACAAACTCTCAGCTTCAGAGGGAAAGTGAAACTGAAGAGTTTACCTCCCAGAATATAGCTTATAATCTGTTGTCTGAAGAAAATAAGCAAAGTCATTGTTCTTCCCTAAAGGCAGCCTCCTCTTAGTTAAGTAAGTATGTCTAGTTCTATTTACGTGAGCGTCTGCAGCTCCTTTCACTGAGAAGGAAATAACAAGCACCTAGAAGACAAGAGAAAACAAGACAGGATTGTGGCCTTTTACATGTGTTTCGTCATCCTTCTTCAAGAGTCTTTAATATAGAAGAAGAGAGATTTGACAGTCCCTCCACCTGTTAGTGAAGAAGAGTTAAAATGCAGTAGGTTTGTTTAAAAGTATTTGATAAATTCCCACTCAATATCAATATTCTTGCTTGCTGTGGCAAAGGGAAAACAAACAAAAAGAACCTGGAAATAACCCAGATTTTTGGAAATAGGTGAATGGCTGGGCAAACTATGATACAGCTGCACTTTAGAAAGCTGAGCAGTTATTAAAAAGAATGATTTACAGCAACATGTATTATAGGAGGTGCTCTATCTGGGGCAAAGCCTGCTTGTTACACCTCCCCTCCTAGCTCCTCATAAGTCCACCCCTTTCAATGATTTTTCACTGGGTACATAGCTGCCAGGAAAAAAAGATTATACTTCCCAGTTTCCCTTGCAGCCAGGTATAGCCATGTGATCAGTTAATGAGATATGAGGGAAAGTGAGATGAGCAACTTCTCTGCTGTGTTTTTAAAAGGAGGTGGAGAGTGGGGTGGGATGCCCTTTCTTCCCCCTTTCCTCCTCCATCTTATTTCCTGGAACCTGGCTGTGATGGAAAACTAACTTAGGCCATGAGGATGAGGGGTACTGCTTGGAGAAGGTGAACAATAAAACAGAAAGAGCTTGGATTCTTCAATATATGGCACAGAGTTCCAGAAAGTCCCTGGACTTCTGTTAAGTCAGGCAGAAATAGACTCCTTTTTTAGAAAAAAAAAATTAATTTTAATTCTAATTTTATTTTTAGAAAAAATTTCTGTGTTGTTCATTTGAATCTCTGTTACCTGGAACCAAAGCCAGAGTCTAATTAATACCTTATCTAAGTAGAAATAGTAATTTAGTTGTGCAGTAATGTGTGTGGTATAGTATCTTTAAAAATATCTGTGAAACAAACAATCCACCTTGTACATATGCATATGTGCCCAGAAACATTGAAATGATCATGAAAATGGTGGGAAAGTATATGGCCAAGTTTCTAACTTGGATGCCCTTAGGGGTGGGGAGGGAGGAGGGTGTTCCTGTTTTTCTTTAACATCTTTTCTTCTTGTTGTTTGACTTGTTATAATAATAAAATCTCTTTTTAATTTACAGAAAAACATTATTTCAAGTCTTCTTGAAATAGGAGCAGCTAACATGAAATTGCTTATTTAAACCATGCAGTTGAAGGCTTTTGAGGCAGAGAAGCCCAGCATGTGCTGCTATGGTAGGGAGCTGCATCTGTCCTAGAGCTTCCTATCTGTGGGGTCGTTCTCTCAAACTTGCTTCTAGATAGAGGTCTTGCTGGCTCTTTTATGTGGTTGGGTAAGTGCTATTGGGGGAAGACTGATTATTTTGCATTTAAAAAGAAGAACTATTGTGTTTTTCACAAAATTGTCTCTAGATTTGCTTCCACTGTGGAGTGATTACGGGAAGAGGTGGACAGAATGAGTGAGGGGAATAATTAAGCTGCAGGAAGGCATCTTTCTAGTGATTCCCAACCAGCTGGCCACATGGCCCAGGCTCAGGGTGAGAAGCTCAGGGTGTGTCACACAGCCCTGCATTTACTGCCCATGATGAATACAACAACATCACCCACAGGGTGCAGAGACAGTTACATATTTGTTGATATGGCCTCAGTTGGAAATGAAAATTTGGAAATCATAGGCATCTTCCAGGTCAGTAAGCAGCAATAAAAGCTTTCAAATGCCTTTTCCAAGTTTTGTTAGAATTGTATGTGTGTTTGTGTGTGTGTGTGTGTGTGTGTGTGTGTGTGTGTAGAGAGAGAGAGGAAGAGTATATATCAGACTTTTAAAGTGTCAGACTCAGTTCATCTCTCCTAGATCCCAGAAAGGCCCAGAAAGGAAACACCTGGGTGCATTAATGGAGATTCTCTACAGATGCAAATTCCCCCACAAAAGGCAGTTTTGCAAGACCACTTCAGTCTGCTGGCAGCCATTTCAAAATATGTCAAAGAAATATGTTTTGGGGTAAAGTATTTTGATTTCTTTCAGTTCCCACTTTGAACTTAAAATAAGTTTCACGTATTAAATGCCAACCTGATAGCTTTGGAGAAATTTGGGTTAGAGGTTGTTAGATAGAGACAAAGGAATGGAAACACAGATTGAGATAAACAAAAAAAGAGCAGGTTTTTTTGTTTGTTTGTTTTTTTGTTTTTTTGAGATGGGGTCTTGCTCTGTTGCCCAGGCTGGAGTGCAGTGGCATGATCTTGGCTCACTGCAACCTCCACCTCCCAGTTCAAGCGATTCTCCTGCCTCAGCCTCCCAAGTAGCTGGGATTACAGGCACCTGTCACCACACCCAGCTAATTTTTGTATTTTTAGTAGAGACGGGGTTTCACCATGTTGGCCAGGCTGGTCTCAAACTCCTGACCTCAGGTGACCCACCTGCCTTGGCCTCCCAAAGTGCTGGGATCTACAGGCGTGAGCCACTACACTTGGCCAAAAGAGCAAATTTTAATATATCATCCCATATCTTCTTTAGCTGGTCTCTTAGTCCTGAGAATAGATCACTTCAGTTAAACAGTTGTGTCCTATTCCAGGAGGTGGCATTGCAGATGAGTGAGGCCTCTATACATGATGCTGGCAAACAGATCTTTAATAAGAGACATTTCTATAGAAACAAATGTTAATGTCTGGAGAAATCTACAGACTAGTTTTTCTACAGTCTCTGAAGCATCTTCAGATTACAGTGGCAATCTAACAGATTCTTTTTGGATTGTAGTTTGGAATTAGGCATTCAAGTGAACTTTCTGAGAAGTCCATATATTATTAGGCAAGAAAGTTGTTTATATATAAGTTGCTGTTATTTCTCCTGAAGTTCAAGTTGTCTAGCGTCAGTCTGAGAGTCTTTAAGAAAAGCATAGTTTTAATTTCTAGTGATTCTAAAGGACTATATTTTGACAATGGTTAATGCATTATAGGAGCATAGGAGCTAATTAATTTCCCTCCCACTTTATCAAGGAAAGGGAAACCAATGGCTTCCTTTGGCATTTCGTCCCTTCATAAAGTAGGAAAAAAAAAAACACCTTGGTTTCTCTTTTCTTCATAAAGTAGAAAAAAAGACAGTAAGAATGAAGGGTGTGGCTCATACACATTTGGAGGTATCTCTTTTAGGACAAACAGAAGGCTGTCAAAAAAGTATTAAATGAATTTGAACTGGCATCCTTAATTTTACATTGGTAGAGGTTGTCTGCCATAATAAAAAGAATATGCATTTTAGGATCAGGTAGATCTGGGTCGAAATAGTTAATTTCCAAGTTACATTAGTGTAATAGGATGTAGAAATAAAACTTTTTTTTTGCTATTAGTTTCAGCTAGACCCTCTAGACCATGAAATAACTTACACTACAAAGTGAGGTATGAGACTGCCATGCAGGGCTTGAAAAAGGAGGTGTTTAAAACCAGTTTTGGATTTCTTATCCTCTTCAGCCATCAAGGTTATAAAAGGGTTAAATAGAGATTAGAAGAAGATTTTTGTTGGGAAAGTTGAAGCATTTTTCTTTTAACTCCAGCCTAGGGAGAAGGTCTTCAATGGGGCAACCAGTGGGCTTGACATGTGGCCCAGTGGACAGGCACCTGAGTCATGTTTGAGACATCAGAAAGGCAAGAGACTATTGTTGCTTTGCTTCTCTGAGAGAGGAGTGAAAAGATATTGCTGCAAAGGGGATGACTTTACTCCCCAAGTTGACTGGGGCAGAGAATATACATTTCCTTTTTTTGTTCATGAAAGAAAATGTTCTACTGATATGCTTCCTTTTGACCAGATGTTGCACAGGTGTGTGAGAAAACCAATGAGGGGTTCTCTTAAATAGCAACCAAGAACACTGCCTGGAAGGGCAAGTTGAACCCAGCAGAGAGTGCTGTTGGGTACTGCTGGACTCAGTCGCACGGGAGAAACCCAGTACAGTGGGGGTCGGTGTGTCTCTGAAGAAACCAAAAAATGCCCCTCAAAACAAAGAGTCAGTTGTATGTAGCTATTAATCCTAGAAAGCACTGACATCAATCACACTAATGTGGCCTTTGGGGCTTACTACTAAAGGAGACTCATAGGACCCCAAATGACAATACCTATGGATCTATATTCTATTATAGGAAAAGGATAAAATATAGCATCATCATTAAAGCAAGGATGTACATCTTGGGCAAAGGCTACCTCCCAGCAAGGGGTCTGGAGACACCAAGGGCAAGCTCCAATCGTCTTCCCTCTGTCAGGCCATGGCAGGCTGCACTTGCTCTCTCAGATCAGGAACCACTGATGTGTTCACGGAATACCTAGTAACCAGGGAGCCCAAAGTGGAGTTTCAGCTGGGGTTTCTTATACCCTGCTGATGATATAGGTATATTTTTGCTATGCAACCAGTTGCAATGGCAGAGGCTTTGGGGCAGGGGGCGGAGGGCAGTCTTACTAAGACTAGGTCCAAATAATCAATCTTACTGCTGTCAATAAATAATGCTGACAAGCTGATAAAAAGCACCCAAAAGCTCCTTGGACATGTGGTTATAAAGTGACATTATTAATCAGTTGTTGACCGGAATTGTGCCATGCTGGTAAAATTCTTTTGAGTAAAACAGCTCAGGCTTACTCCACACCTGCTGGGGTTAACCTTCATAACATACTAACTCATGACGGTATCTGTCTAGTAAGAACATTTCTGTCCTTTACTTCTTGCTGCTCTCTAAGCCAAAATGGGGTGGAAGTAGCCTAGAGAACAAAGAAGGAGAATAGAAACTCCAAATGGAGAAAGAGAAAAAGAGTTGACCACATCTATTTTTTTTTCTCAAAGCATATCTGATTTGGGGGGCAGGAAGATTTAATTCTAAATGAAGTTAAATCTTGTGACTATTGCATAGGGCGAGAAATAAAACTTTTTTTTTTTTTAACTAAACTGGAACTGATTTTATTATCACAAGTAGTTGGAAACTTTTAAAATTAATGATGAATGACCATAAAACCACAAGACTTGCCTTAAATTTCATCTAGAGGGCTGGGGAAAAATTACCTTGACAAAATGGGTTTGAATGGGTAGGAGGAGAAAATGATCAAGTCATTTGTTGATTATATCACATGAGTTTTATTCTTTTAATATATTGTCTATAAGATATATTGAAAATAAAATTGGAGCAGTGTTAAGGAATGTTCAAGCAAAATTAGAGATGTTAAAAACAAGTAAGTAAATAGATACATAAAACTTCCCCCTTCCTACTCCCAAACCTAACTATAAACAAGCATTGGAATCTTTTTGCTTTCTTAATAAGGCAAAATGTTTATATACATCATTTGGTCTTAGGGTGAAGGATAAGGGATTAAGGTACAAGTTTCATGAGCTTAAGAGCTGATTAGCAGGATTAGGAGATATCTTGCACAGCTGAGAAGATTGCAGGGTTGAGCCCTGAAAGATGTTCTTCTAGGCCATTAAGGCAGGCAACCAGAAGCAAAATGTCAACTACTTTTTTTCCAGCTCCCTTACGGTTAGTTTGGGACTATGTGGCTGGGTTCTGGCCATCAGATGCAGGCAGAAGTGGTGTGAGTCACAGACCTTGGTTTTTAAAAGCCTGCTGGGTGGACCCTCCAGATTCCTCTTTATCTGCCACTGAGACCTTTAAAGGTCATGCTTTTAGATGGAGTAGCTGCAAGACAGAGGAACTTCTGATCTGTATAGGGCTTTGCAAGAGCACGTTGAGCCACAGAAATGTTGGGTTAAACACAGGTTAAACTATCCCGACTATTTCATGGGAAAAGAACAATGAAGAAAAGGAGAAGGAACATGAAATAGTTTTCACAAACAAAAGTCTAAAGGTAGAATCAATATTTCTTTTAGGTCAATGGTTGATGGAGAGAAAAGGAAATAGGGAAAGAGAGAAGAAAAGACATTAAATAACTCTACTTTGTGGTTGTATTAAAAATCTTTTAAGGAAGAAAAACATACATATGCATATATATATGCATAGAATTTTCACAAGCTGAACATGTCATATAACCAGCACATGAGTCAAAAAGCTGTAGCCTTACCAGGATCTCAGAAGCTCCCTTCATGGCCCCTTTCAGTCACAGCCCCTCAGGAACACTCACCATCCTGACCTCTAACCGCTATGGCTGCAGGTTGACCTTTTGCTTGACCATGTGGTTAAAAAAGAATATCACTCTCCAGCTCCACTAAAGTTTCTGTATTACCCAGAAACCAAGTTTCTTGAAATTTCTTAATTTTTCTAGTTTTTTTTATTACTAGTAGAGAAACAAGTAAAGACAACGAGGAATTAAATGAAACAATGATCACACTGATTTTGATCCTTAGTAAATTCTGTTTTAGTTTAATTTTATTTTCTTTGAATAAATCTTATACATTTTTGTGTGTCCATAAGAATTTATAAAATTAGTTATACATATTTCCACAAAAGACGTCTTATTACATTTAAAGTTAGAGATTTTATGAGGCAAGTTGTATGGTCATAATCCAATACAATTATAAACAAACAAATACTGGAGAGTAACCAAAATAGCACTACCTAGAGAATAAAAATAAATAGATAATACTTGGTCCAGTTGGAAATAAAAATGGAATTTACAATCTATTTAAAAGCAGTAAAAATAATACTTTATACAAAAACTTTAATGATCACTGCAAAAGCTAGTCTCATAAAAAATTTATAGCCTTAAATATCTTTACTATTATAGAAGAAAGACTACAACTAAACATATTCCCTATCTTAAAGATAGCAAAAATATAAAGTAAACCAAGAAGTGAGGATTACCGTATCTCATCAATTCAAGGCCTGCTTTATTTTTTATTCTGACATCTCTGAAATCGGAATGTGTCCTCAATTTCTGTTGACCACGTAGCAGTGTAACCTTGTTGTTATTGCCTATGCTTGTAAGAACCTGGCTGTCTTTCCTGGTGACATGATTGAAATCCCTTGGCATGTCAGTCAAAAAACCATTTAAGCACTGTTTGGGGAGGGAGTATGAGTACTGGTTGATGTCTGCAATATTTTGAATGACACTTCCAGAAGAAGATAACTAGCATTGAAACTTACAGAGTAAATATCAACAGTTTAGAATAAATCTTGGATGCAACAGCAGAACACTCTTAAGAAATACTACATCACCAGCACAGAGGACAATATTATGTGCAAAATATGAACACTGAAGATTGAATCCACAATGATTTAAAAGACCCGGACTCTCAAGGAGAAGACATTTTAGAAATACCTTAAGCAAAATTATTTTTTCCTTTTATGGAGGCACAAAAGACATGATTAAAATTCATGCCTAAATACATCTAAAAGAGCTCTTCTAATAAACACAAATAAACATTTTAAATGATAAGAAGGCCTTATGTTCTAGATTATGTGAAAGCACTTTGTCTTTCTAAGTGATATCCAAAATAATGATGAAATGTGATAATATAGCCAAAAGCCACAGTTAAAGAAATAGAATACTAAAAGATTTGCATGCATAAATAAATGTGAAAACTAGTTTTTTGAAAAAGTTAGGCTCTTCGTGAGCCTACTTAAGAAAAAAGCGTGAGAGCAAAAACAGACAAGACTAGGAGCAAGAAGAGAGAGCTACAGATAAGGCAAATATTAAAACTGTAAGAGCATATGACATGCAGCTCATTGGCAGTCTATTTGAAAATCAAGAACATGGACTGGCACACTTTTTCTGTTGGTGGGTCAGGTAGTAAATATATTAGCATCTGTGAGCCAAGAGGTAAAATCAAAGCCATTACGTGGGCATTTAAATAACCATTTAAAATGTAATCATTAAACAGTGTATAAATCATTCTTAGTTCAGCGGCTGTAGAAAAACAGGTGGTAGGCCTAGGCTTGTGCCCATGGGCCACTGTTTGCTAACTTGATCCAGAGAAAAACAATGATTTCCAGATAATTACCACTTCCAAAAATAACTCAAGAAGAGGTAGAAAATTTGAATAGAACAATTACTGTGGAAGAAATCAGAAAGGCACTTAAAGATTGCCTAGTAAAAACACACCAGGATCGGATGATTTTACAGCTGAGTAATATCTAATCTTTAAAGAAAAAATAATGCCAGTGTTAATCCAGATCATAGAAAACGATTAAAGATCATAGAAAAAAGATGAAAATCTCCCAAACTTATTTAACGAAGCCTTTGAATTAACATTATATCAAAACGAGTTGTTGCAAAAATAGTACACAAAATATGTAAACCAACGTTGCTTATGGATAAAGCTGAAAAAAGTAAAAATGAAATATTAGCAAAAAGAATACAGCAAAGTATCAAATGGATGGTACATTATAACCAAGAAGGGAAGGCAAGAGTGATTGGATATCAATAATTGATCATATCAACAAATTGAGAAAAACCATATGACCAGAGCAATCAGTGCTGAAAGGCATTTGATCAACAAAAACAACAGTAAGAACAGTCCACAGCAGTTATTTATACCAAGAAACTCTAAATGGCAGTAAAGAAAAACTACTTAAATATGATAAAGACTTTTTGAAAACAAAATAGAAAATACCATTCTAAGTACTGAAATGCTAAAAGCCAATCAATTAAATTCAGAAATGAGACAGTGGTGCCAACTATTATCTTTATTATTCAATATTGTTTTGGAGGTCCTGGTGAATATACTGAGGCAAAATGAAATAATACACACAAGCATGGCAGAAAAAGAGCTAAACTGATCATATGATTTTACACCTAGAAAAATAAACTCTAGTTCTAAATGTTTCTAGAACAATTAAGAGAATTTGAGAATGTTGGATACAAGCTTTTCTTTATTCTAGAAATAAGAACCTAGAAATAGAAAGGGGAAAACATTTCACTTACAATGGCAACAAAGATGGCATTTTAAAATACGGATAAGAAAGTTCAAAACCTATGTGACATAAATGATAATATCAAAATGGAAGAATATAAATTAACATCTGAATAAATGGAGAAACTTATGTTCTTAGACGGGAAGAGTTAATACTATACAAAATCAATTATGTCAATATTAATATAGAAATGCCATGGGGGGTGGGTAATTGATGATGATGATCTTAAACTTCATATTAAGAAATTTTTCATCGTGGAAGAAAAATGCCTGTGAACAGCCAGTAAAAGTGCAGAAGGAAGCATGATGTAGAGGCACCTGCTTTACTAAGTATTAAAACACTAAGAGCCACCGTAATAAATCGATATGATATAGGCACAGGGATAGCTCTATAGATTAGAGCACAGATGGACAATTCAGAAACAGATCCCAAACTGTTATATTATAGTAATAAAACAGCACCAGACTGCCCATGACAAGAGTTCTCTGAGATATTCAGCCTTCTGCTTGAATAAAGGGAACCTGAATATCCAAAATCCTGATTTTACCTGGGATATTAATGGTTTCCTTATTTTTTTAAGCCCCAAAATATCTATAATATAACTTTATTACAGATCTCAAACTTATATGAAAATTCTCTATATTAAAATGTGCTGTTTCAATTCAGTAGAGGAAGAATGGTTTATTTAATAAATCATGTGAGTGCAACAGACTATTCATCTGGAGGAAAATTAAAAATGATTCATGTCTAGTATCATTTATAAAAATAAATTCCAAATAGATGAAAGGAATGAGACTTGTAGGGTCTGTTTAACCTGGTGGTCGTCATATCTTGAAAGTCAGCTTTGACTCCCGCGTCTCAAGTTATCCTGTCCCAAATCCTCACAGGCAGAAAGAAGGGAAGCTGAAGCTGGCAGGGCAACAAGTGTGGCCAGTCAGAACTGCTTTGCTGTGAGGAGCTTGGAAGTGAAGGGCTTCAACATGAAGGAGACAAAGAAACTGGATATTGAGTAGGCGACTGGCGGTGTCTGCTAAAGAAAGCCAGTTGCAGAGAGAGAGAAAGAAAGTCTCTATTGGTATATTTTGGGCATTGGCTGGGATCAATTGCTGTTACTACGAGACAGCATGGCTTACACGTGCTTCGATTTGCTTTGGCTCCTAGCCAGCCCTTTACTGTGGTACCTGCAGCTGCCCCTGGAAGGGCGGGAACACAAACTTCTATCTTAGGGACAGTGGGGAAAAAAAGTCCAAATATATTGTCTAGGAATCTCCCCAACTTTCTAAGTACAGCTCTTTGGCAGGAAAGAAAAACCATAATTACAGCTGCCTCTTCATACTTAACGTATTTTCAAAAAGGAGATGAAAACTAGAAAACGAAGCAGAAAGGCCAACTGCTTCCTTCACCTACTCTTTTTTTTATTATTTTTTATTTTTTTATTATTATACTTTAAGTTTTAGGGTACATGTGCACAATGTGAAGGTTAGTTACATACGTATACATGTGCCATGCTGGTGCGCTGCACCCACTAACTCGTCATCTAGCATTAGGTATATCTCCCAATGCTATCCCTGCCCCCTCCCCCCACCCCACAACAGTCCCCAGAGTGTGATGTTCCCCTTCCTGTGTTCATGTGTTCTCATTGTTCAATTCCCACCTATGAGTGAGAACATGCAGTGTTTGGTTTTTTGTCCTTGCGATAGTTTGCTGAGAATGATGGTTTCCAGTTTCATCCATGTCCCTACAAAGGACATGAACTCTTCATGTTGTGTGGCTGCATAGTATTCCATGGTGTATATGTGCCACATTTTCTTAATCCAGTCTATCATTGTTGGACATTTGGGTTGGTTCCAAGTCTTTGCTATTGTGAATAGTGCCGCAATAAACATACGTGTGCATGTGTCTTTATAGCAGCATGATTTATAGTCCTTTGGGTATATACCCAGTAATGGGATGGCTGGGTCAAATGGTATTTCTAGTTCTAGATCCCTGAGGAATCGCCACACTGACTTCCACAATGGTTGAACTAGTTTACAGTCCCACCAACAGTGTAAAAGTGTTCCGATTTCTCCACATCCTCTCCAGCGCCTGTTGTTTCCTGACTTTTTAATGATTGCCATTCTAACTGTCTTCACCTACTCTTCTGCCGCACAGCCATCCTCCGCACGCCCGCTGCTTCTCTCAGGTGACTCCTGGGCCTGACTGTCCCACAGGCCAGACACCGGAAGCACAGGGAATTGGAAGTATCTCAGGCTATCCCCGGCCTCAGCTTCTCCCTTCCCAGCACTCCCTCCCTGAGGGTCCTCCTCCACAGGCTGCTGGGAAATGAATCCGAACCCCAGCACCCGTCTCTGGTAACAGGGCTAAGGTCCCTTCACCTACTCTTAAGAGACCTTAGCCCTGTTACCAGAGACGGGTGCTGGGGTTCGGACTCATTTCCCAGCAGCCTGTGGAGGAGGACCCTCAGGGAGGGAGTGCTGGGAAGGGAGAAGCTGAGGCCGGGGATAGCCTGAGATACGTCCAATTCCCTGTGCTTCCGGTGTCTGGCCTGTGGGACAGTCAGGCCCAGGAGTCACCTGAGAGAAGCAGCGGGCGTGCGGAGGATGGCTGTGCGGCAGGGCGCAGGAGGCCTGTTCACTGCCCCTAGGGCCTGGTGCTGGCTGGGGATGCTGGGAGAAGAGCTGGCCTGAGCTGTGGCCCCCCGAGGGAGGAAGTGGCACTTTTCCAAGCTGGCTAGGGAGTTGGGGGACATTGAGCTCCCACCGCAAAGCATCAAGCATCGCTGCAGCCATGATACCCATCGGAAGGAGTAAAAGGTGCTGGGGGGAAGGGGCAGCCATAAGAACACCCTGTCTTAGAATCTAGATAACCCTGCCCCCAGCGAGAGAGACATTTAAAGGCGTGGTAAGTGAGGACAAAGACAAAGCATATCTAGACCCTTCAAGGCTGCTGTTTGGAGTTCTCTGACAGCCAGCTCTGAGTGGGGCTGTGTCCCTGGGTAGTGACAGAGGCATGGCACTAACAGCACAGCCCCATCTCTCTGGCTCCTGCCAACCACTCCCGTTGGCTGAGCTTCCCCAACATGACCTCCTCAGGGTGGCTGCCCCTCAGGAAGCGTGTTTGAAGGAAGAAGTGTGGCTTTGGGGTCAGACAGCCCTGGGCTTGAATCATAACTGGCTCACTCATTCATGAGCTACCTGACCTTGGGCAGGTGGCAAAGCACTTGAGGCTTAGTTTCCTTGTTGTTGATATAGAAATGACAAGCCCTCAGAGAGCTGTCAGAATGATTACACAAAATAATGAAATGGGCCAGGTGTGGTGGCTCAGGCCTGTAATCCCAGCACTTTGTGAGACGGAGGCAGGCAAATCGCTTGAGGTCAGGAGTTTGAGATCAACCTGTCCAATATGGCAAAACTCTGTCTCTACTAAAAATACAAAAATTAGCCAGGTGTGGTGGTGCATGCTTGTAATCCCAGCTACTTGGGAGGCTGAGGTGGGAGGATCACCTGAGCCTGGTAAGTGGAGCCTGCCGTGACTTGAGATGGCACCACTGCATTCCAGTCTGGGTGACAGAGTGAGACTCCATCTCAAAAAAAAAAAAAGAAAAAAAAGAAAAGAAAAGATAATGAAACAGCCCTGGGCACAGAGTTTGGCACAAAGTCGGCCTTGCATCCATGTGAATTTTCTTCATTCTCTGAGGAAGCAAGGGCAGCTCCCAGGAGCCCATGTGGTCCACTTCCCTTCAGTCAGGCTTACCTGGCCCAACCTCAGGCCAGTGGGTGAGTATGGCTTGGTGAGCTGTCTTTTAATTTACTCTTTCATTACACTGGTGTCTGCTACTTTAACTGTTTTACTGTTTATTCCTTTTCCCAGAATAGTGCCTGGCACATAGTAGGTGCTCAATCAGTATTGCTGAATGAATGAATTCATTAGTTTCTTTTATCCTTAGACTACTTTGAGTAAAACCCTAAAAAAATCCATAATTTTCACCCTGAACAGTTACTGTCACCTGGACAGTCATCCCCTTTTTTCAGTTTAAAGTTTTTCACAAAGAACTGCCACATTCTAAAGCCAGTGCCAGGCTTCAGAACTCACATCACCTTATATATGTATTATCACCTTATATATGTATTATCACCTTATATATGTATTATCACCTTATATATGTATTAATACGCATATAAAGACTGCATCAAAAAGATATATACTTAGATGTAAAATCAGACAAAAATTCTGTATTCTTTAGAAATGACTGGCTACTGGAAATTTACTTCATTGGCCACTTGTTGGTATTTCTTGGCAATCATTACAACTTGCTCTGGAGTTTTGGCAAGGTGAGCAAATCTAACGTTAAAATGGTTTTCAGATGTAATGAAATTTGTATAAAAACTAAACTGAACAACTAATGAGGTTAAAATAATATATTTTGACAATAAACATTTATTAATTTCTATTTTCCTAGTTTATTTTCACATTTGGGAGCCAGTGGTTTTATATTGTGGCCTCAGACATTTTCATAGGTCCCTGAAGAACTCACATGACATGGGCCTTGCACCTAGAGTGCCTTGATGGATAAAATAGTCTCATAGAATTGTAGATGCAGCATGTTCATAATTTATTCTTACATAGAGTGGTTCTAGGTGTTAAAGACATCTGAGGACACTCTTCTAGCTCCGGCCTCTTCTCCACTGAGTCCTGATTCTCTTTTTAGGTCCTACCCCCACCTACCTTTTTTTTAGTTTTCACCCTCTATATTGAAACTGTCTAATACATCAAAGGTGCAGTTCTCAGTTAATCAGACATACCCATTTGCATTACGAAGTCATTCATTTTTGTATTCCCTTAAGAAGACAGGTTAGTGAATGTGAGCCGAAGGTCGGAAACAGTGGATGAATTCTTTGCGTCACTCAAGGGCATCTTCCCTTCCCAGGTAACCTGGCTGTCCCACGTGGCCTCTGGTAAAGGTGCTTTTGTCTGGAAATCCCCTGGGTGTCTCTCCTCCTCACTTGGCACTGGCTTCTCATCTCTCCAGTTCAGAGAGCAGATGGCAGAATGAGGTTGGAAAGGAGTGGTCGAAGGGCAGATATTTGAGACCTGTTTACTAACTTCCTTAGTAGATTTTTGCTATTCAGACTATGGTCTGAGGCTAAAGAACCCCTGTACCACCTGGAAGCTTGTTAGAAAAGCAGAATCTCAGGCCCTGCCCCAGAGCTGCCAAGTTGAAAGCTGCATTTTAACAAGATTTCCAGGTGGATTTGTGTGCACATTAAGGTTGGAGAAGCCCCGTACTAGTTAACATCACCTGGCTATACCTTAGGCACCTCAAACGTCTACTGCTATGAATCTGACCCAATCATCTGCCCCCACAGCTTGTCCCCCCTCCTCAGTTTCCTCTCTTCTGAATATCTGGGGTGCCTTAAACATAATTCTATCATAGAATTTGTTTATTATATGTTATGTTACACTTTTACTGCTTTCTCCCGATTAGATTATAACCTTCTTGAAGACAGGAATTATCTCTATTAATTTTCTGCCACCAGTGGCTTGCACTGAGCCTGAAATAAGTTTTTGCTTCTCTAGACCTCAGTTTTCCTAAGTATAGGCGCTGGGCTTCATCTCAAAGACTCCTTCCAATCTTAAATTCTGTGATTCTATAGAGCGCCTGAAAAAAATCAGAACTTTAAGGTTAAGAAGCACCTTGGAAGTCACCCAACTCAACACCTTCCTCCACCCCTGTCTTGCCCCACAGTACCCTCATTAAAGTGTAAGGCCTTTTGGCAACATCCACATCAAATGATTGTCCAACTTAAGCTTGGACATCCTAGTGACAGAGAATTTAGTACCTTTGTAACCAGTATATTCAATTTTCAGAAGGCTCTACATTTTTAGAAATGTGTTTCTGTATTTGTGAGGCTACATTGTCAAACTGAAAGGGAATGCATATTGAAATAAAATAGAATAAAATTCCACAAGAGCCACTTACCAAGTGTGAGTTGAGTGGGGCAGACACAAAGGTGACCCCAGGGCTTTTGCCCCTGGTGTTCATGCCTTTGTATTATATAATCCTTTTCCTTTGAGTTTAGATTAAGTCCCATGACTTACTTCTAACCCATAGAATATGGCAAAGGTAATGGATTGCTAATCCATTACCTTGTGATTACATTGTATTACGTGGCAAAGATGATGCCATTCCCATAATTATGTTACATTATATAAGTCTCCATGTCCCTGCTGTATTGTCTTGTTATCTCCAGTGGTGGCTTTAAAGAAGCAAGCTGTCATAACTTCTATAGCCACAGGGAATAAATTCCACCATCAGCCTGAGAGAGCTTGGAAATAGTCCCTTCCCCAGGCAAGCCTCCAGATGAAAACCATCTCTGACTGACACCTTGATTACAGCTTTGCAGAGGACCCACTTAAGCCATTTCTGGCCTTTTGACCCACAGAAACTGTGTAATCATATATGTGTGTTGTTTTAAGCGGCTAAATTTGTGTAATTTGTTACACAGCAGAGAAAATGAATACACTGCATAATTTTAGGCATGGTTCTTAACTTCACTGACTTTCTGTAAACCAGAGATGATAATATCTACTACCTAGAGTTGTTGTAAGGATTGGAGACAATTTGGTGGCTGATAGTAGAAAATAAGTGGCAACTTTTCTGCTTGTTGTTATTGTTATTTTCTCCTCGCATCTCCTGAGCCTCAGAGCCAATGTCATGAAAGAGTTGTCTCCATAAGCCTTCTCTACTTTCTTGCCACTCAATCACTGGTCAGCCTTCTCCCCTCTAGTCTTGTCTGTACCACTATATTGAAACAGCTCTTGTCAAGGCTACCAGCAACCTCTAGTTTATATGTCCAATGTTACTTTACTCTGTCATCAATTTACTTATCTTTCAAATGATTTTGCTGTAGCTGACAGACCACTCCTTGAAACATCTGGTTGACTTCCATGATAGCATGCACTTCTGTTTTTTCTCTTTGCTGTTCTTTCTTTCTTTCTTCTTTTTCTTCCCTTTTTTTTAACTGTCTTTGGCTAACATCCCACCTCTACCCAGTCTCTCGGTTCCACAGAGCTTGGTGTTAAACCATCTTTTTCTTACATACTCTTGCCTTATATGAATTCACCCATTTTTAAAATCCATGTGTTTAAATAGCATCCATAAGTTAATGGATCCCAAGTTTGTAGGTCCTTTTCAGTACACTCTTCTGAGCTCTAGACTCATATATCCAACTGCCATCTGGACTCCTCCATTTGGCTATTTCACAAGCATCTTAAATTAACATATCTAAAATGGAATACTCCATTCTCCATACTCCCAGACCTTTTCATTCAGCCTTCTTCTTTATCTTGATAAATGGTACCACCTTCTCCCAATTTGTTTCAACCAGAGATTAGGGAATCACCCTTGATTTCTTGCTTTCACTCATCCTCCCTGCCCCTGTCGGCAAGTCCTATATTATAACTAAAAAATATGTCACGAAAGTGTCCATTTTTCTCCATCTCTACTGCCACCACTGCAGTTTCCGGAACAGTGGTGACATCCCCCAAAGAACTAATTTTCAGACCACAGCCAGTGATCTTTTAAAAATTTAATTTGAATTATATTATTCGACTTTTTAGAGACTTTTAATGGCATGGCTTTCCTTTGTATTTAAAATAAAATTCAAACTTTTAGATAGCTTAAAGCTCTCTACTATGTGGGCCCCCTCACCATTTTCCTGTTCTTTCTTTTCCTCCATGTCCTCATTCAGCCACACACTCTGGCTGCTTTAGTGTGGCCCAAATGTCAAATGTCAAATTTCCACCCCAGTCCTGTTTTAGGGTGTCTTTCCGCATACACGATAGTTCATTGTTTGATTGCCAGTATATAGAACAATATTTTTAGGATCTTATAAATTTCATTGAACCTCAATACCTGTTGTTGCAAACACATACTTAACTGAGTTGAAAGGATGGCAATATAAACAGCAGTGACCACATTTGCCGCTCAGAGGCAATGACAACCATACCATAATTGCCTTGATTCTAAGGCCAGGTTCTTTCTACCTCAGGGCCTTTTTACATGCTGTTACGTCCCCTGAAATGTCCTCCTCCCTGCTCTCTGAATAGCATCTTTTCATTGTTTAGGTCTCGGTTGAAATATAACTGTCTCAGAAATGTCATTTCTTTTTCTTTTCTTTTTTCTTTTTTTTTTTTGAGACGGAGTCTCACTCTTGTCACCCAGGCTGGAGTGCAGTGGTGCGATTTTGGCTCACTGCAACCTCCGCCTCCTGGGTTCAAGCAATTCTCCTGCCTCAGCCTCCTGAGTAACTAGGATTACAGGTGCCCGCCACCACGCCTGGCTAATTTTTGTATTTTTAGTAGAGATGGGGTTTCACCATGTTGGCCAGGCTGGTCTCAAACTCCTGGGCTCAGGTGATCTGCCCACCTTGGCCTCCCAAAGTGCTGGGATTACAGGCGTGAGCCACCGCGCCCAGCCTAGAAATGTCCTTTCTTATTGTGTGATTTACTTTAGAATTCCTTCCCTCTTCTCTCTTACAGCACCTTATTTTATTTCCTGTACACATTATAGTTTGTAAGAATTCATTTGCTTGTTTGCTTGTCTTCCATCTGCCCCACCAGATTATTGGTTTCATGAGGGCAGGTTCTGACTGTTAGGTCAGTAAAACTTTGTTGATAGAATGTATGAATTACTAGGTTGGTGTAAAAGTAATTGTGGTTTTTGCCATTACTGTAATACAAGACTGTATTCTAGTTTTATCTGTTGGAGTCATTCAGAAACAATGTCATCCCTCTTGTACAGGCTGCTCCTTCAATTCCTGGAAGAGACTCTGCTCCCCTATCCCAAACAAAAGTTCTTTTTCCCATGAGATAAAATATTTTCAACCCTCTCTTTCTCACATGATTTTGATGTTACTTTATCATTCTGGCAATTTATTCAACAAATGTATTCAATAAAATTACGAATACCAGATTGTTCTTTTGGACAGGTTCCAGCTGTATTTTGTCAATGTTTTTTTTAATATGTGACTCCCTCATCCCTCAAGAAATGTGAGGTCCATAGAGTTGAACAAACTCTAGTAGATGTTGACTGTCCAGCTCAGTTGAGAGTTGACCATGCTTTCATATTCTTTATTTTAATGTCCATATTCTATTCATTCATCCCAAGTGGAAGTTTCACAAAGTCTAGATGAGAAGGTGGCTTCATGGCATTAGTGGGGACATGGGACTGTATCAATTACGGGTCTTTGGGTGCTAGCAACACAAAACTCAATTACTAACAATGGGCTGAACAATAAAGATGCTTAGTGTCTCCCATAACGAGAAGCTAAGGCTTTAGGCTTGGTTAAAAAGTGGCTCAGTGATGTCATCAAGGACCCAGTTCCCCCCTCTTTTCCTTCTCTGCCATCTTTAGTATGTGACTTGTCTTCAGGTAGGCTCCCTCATAGTTTCAAGTTGGCTAACGTAGCTCCAGGCATCACCAAGCCCAGAGTCTGTAGAAAAGAGGTTTCTTCTCATGCATCTTTTTTTCTTTTTTTTAAAGATCCCAGAAATCTTCCCCACCCTCTCACTCTCATCCCTTCTCATCTTATTGCTCAGAACTAGGTTACAGGCCCACTTCTAAAAAACCAGTGGGAAAGAGAAGAGATTGAGATCACCATGATGGGATCAATTCATGAAGATCCTCTGAGAAAGGCCAAGTCTCCTCTGAAGCACAAGACCCCTAAGCCTTGAATCAATTCAAAGTTCTGTTAGCAAGAAAAACAGGGTGGGGGATGGCAACCAACCACATCTGCTACAGGGTGGTCATGCCTTTTGGTGCTCGGAAGCTAGCTCTCTCTCAAAGTTAGCAAGTGGCTACTGTCTCATGAAATGAGAGCCACCCTTTTAAAATTCTCAAGTACTTTGAAGGGAGTTATGTGTTTTCCTGGGTGTGAAAGTTGTGGTCATACTACATTTTGTCAAACCTAAGAAACTATCTAGATGTACTACTACTTTATGAACCTCTAAGATTAAAAAGTTATTTTAAATTCTGACATAATGTCTTAACAGTAGTTGCATGACTCTTGAGTCTGGAATACTGGCCCCTTACTGCTTGGAAATTTCTTTCCTCTCTTGTGAGAGACCTGGCTATTACTCTTACTTTCCGTTGCATTGCTCGATGTGGAGCAAATGTAACTGCTTCATTTTTTGTGGATTTTTTGTTTTATTAGGTGTTATGAAACCATTTGTTGTTGCTTTGTGAGAAAGTATGAAATTGCATTTGTTCCTATAATAACAACAATTTGCCTCACAAATGTAAAATTTACCTCCCAGCCCTGTTCGTCTTTCTGCATACACAATAGCTCATTGTTTGAATGCCAACATGTAGGAGAACATTTTGAGGAACTTTTAAACATCACTGAACCCCAACACCCATTTCGCAACCACATATTTAACTCAGTTGAAACTATGACAATATGAACAGCGGTGACCAAGTTTGCCACTCAGACGCAATGACAACCATACCATGATTGCCTTGATTCTGAGGCATATTGTGATTTTAAAGATGTTAAAATGTGGGCAGAGAAGCTTGTGGTAGAATTGATAAAACATGGTACATCTGACAAGCTTGCGAGTCTGTGGCTTAATGAAAACTATCGATGGCTCCATGTCCCTCATTAACGCCTGAGAGAGCATGAGCACTGCAGCATGTGGAAAACGCAGAAGGCAGGTCACTCGTGGCATGAGTGGTTCTAATTAGATCAGCGAGACATGGAGCAAGGCTCTTTGCTGAGCTGGTTGTTCAACATGAGTGGTCACCACCAGTGCTTATAATTTTCTTATTGCTAATTGGACACATGCTTGTGTCTCTGTCACTTCCTGCATTTGTTTTCAGCTTCACTGCACTCTTCATCAAGGCAATAAGATTGTGCTAGAAAGGAAGGAGTGTGTGTTCGTGTGTATGTGTGTGGGAGAGTGAGAGAGAAAATGAGACATACATATACACAGAGAATGAGAAAATAAGCCCACACAAACAGAAATATTGGTCAGTCTTGTGTTTAGTGAAGAGAAGAAAAACACTCACCTTAAAAAAAATAAAAAAAACAATTCCTGAGCTGATTGGCTCCATGAGCTGATTGGCTCCAGTCAGCCATGTGAAATGAAGGAGGAAAACACAAATCCTTTGTGGGATTCTGTGGAAGGCTGCATCAGCACGGTTGCCCTCAAGGACCCCCTTTCTGAGATGAGGTCAGGCTCCTGCTGAGCCTGTGTCTGAACACCGCAAGCCGTGGAAAACAAAACCAGGCCCAAGCCCAGACCTCCCTGCTGAGATACAGATTTCCAGGAAAAAAAAAAAAAAAAAAAAAAAGAAAAGGAAAAAACATGTGAGAACCATCTTGTCTGATGTCGAGGAATTGAAAAGGCACTTTCTTTTTTGGTGATTCGCTGAAGAAAATAAGCCCTTTTGGCAAAGTTCCACCCTGCCTTTAAAGTTTATTGTTCTTTGGCATCTTGGTCCCTGGACCACCCATTCTGCATGAGTCTTTCCCATGTGGCATGAAGTAGACTAAAATATCATCTTGCGCTTGTCACATCTAGAAAGGAAGAATTGTACTGACTGACATCTGTTCTCCACGTTGTCCTTTCCCCTCGCCCCACAACACAGGCAGGCTGTGGCCAAGGCAGTTTCTGATGTGATCTTAGTGAACCATGTCTTTTTTCTTGTTTCTCCTAGCCCTCAAATCATTAAGTTTGTTATTTTAAAGTTTGATTTTTAAAATTATACCACTTTTCTTGGCAAAGAACAGAGAAAAAGAAAAATTGTTTTTTGCAAGTACTATGTGGTATTGAACCACCACACATTAGTTAAGATTTTGTACTCTGCTGAGTGATAAAATGAAGTTTAAAACCTGGCTCCTTCACTTTAGGCCAGTTAATGCATCACTTTGGTCTAGTTTGTTAAGTTCTATAAATCTCAGTTTTACTTACCTGAAAAATGGGGATAATAATGGAGGAAGCCTCCCCCAACCTTTTTTTGAGGATTAAATGAGGATTGCTCATGCACAGCCATGCACTGCCTGGCACCTGAAAAATGTTTAATAAATGCTAGCCAGCACTGGCACATTGAAATGTTTGCTGGGCTTTAAGTTCCTTATTAGGCTTTAGACATTTCATCACTGTCAACCCATATATTCCCAGAAAGAGGATTCTGGCCTTGACCATGTTTCCATCCCATAAACATGCCTTCCATGGGCAGTTGCATCTACCTCCAGCCTGTAGATGCTTCTCTTCCCAGCCCCAGATGGACAAATTCACTTGCTGATGAAACCCAGCTTACAACTAATACTAAAATGAGACTCACTGATCTTGCCCCAGATGTGCTTTTCCTCTGAGGTTTCTCTTTTTCCATCACTTACCAGTCATTTAAGGCAGAACTTGGGCCTTGCCCAGTCCCCCTTCCACTGAGTCTCCATGTGCCGTGTCCCTCTGAGTGTCCCCTGCCCCTCTGCTCTACCCTCCTCACTCCTGTCTTGGAGACCCTCGATTTCCTTGATTACAGTTTTGCTGTAATGAACATTTTTTTTTGTTTTTTGAGACGGAGTCTCGCTCTGTTGCCCAGGCTGGACTGCAGTGGTGCGATCTCGGCTCTCTGCAAGCTCCGCCTCCTGGGTTCACGCCATTCTCCTGCCCCAGCTTCCCCAGTAGCTGGGACTACAGGTGCCCACCACCATGCCCGGCTAATTTTTTGTATTTTTAGTAGAGACGGGGTTTCACCGTGATAGCCAGGATGGTCTCGATCTCCAGACCTCGGGATCCGCCCGCCTCGGCCTCCCAAAGTGCTGGGATTACAGGCGTGAGCCACCGCGCCTGGCCTGTAATGAACATTTTTAACTGGCCTCTCATTTCCATTTTCTCCATCTTCCAATCCATCCCTCATTCCGTGGCTCTATTCATCACGATGCTTCAGACCTCCAGTGGCACCACATTACCTTCAGCCTAAAATCTGAGCTCTGTAATAGGCCTGCAAAACCCTTCCTGATTTGGTCCGCCCCTTTAGCTTCGCCCATCTCTCATTTTAAATTCTTCATACTGCAGCCATATTGGAATGCTTGGAAGCTCTTCCCGATCAAAGGACATCCCTTAATATTGTATAAATGCTTCCCTTTAGAATGCACTTTCCCAATTTTTGGGGGGATGGTATTCATTTCTTCAGTGTTCGGCTCAGTTGATAACTTGTGTACAGCCTTTCCTGACCCTCACATCTGTGTTAGGTTTCCCTCTCATTGCATTCTAGGCATTCCTTAATCACAACTCTTACCATACTGCTGGAATGAAGGGAATTTGTTGGTTTTTTTAAGCTCTGTATCCATCATACTTTTCTTCAGTCTGGCACACAATAGAAAAGAAATATTTGTTTCCTGAAAGAATGAACGGAAGAAGGAAGGAAGGAGGGCATAAGATGTTAATCATTGTTTTGATGGGACTAAGTCTAAGAGTTAGATTGTCTTCTAAGGTACAATGTCTGTACATTGATACTTGACACAGGGGTCTTTAAATTATGAAATGAATTGCCTTTGCTCCATCTCAGTTACCTGCACATGAAGAGCACCCCAGTTGCTCATTATACTCCTTAGAATCAAAATTACATTGCCCACTAGGGCTAGGTCCTTAGGCCTAGAAGGAATTAACCAGCTTGCTTCCCAGGTTCTGTCCTTCTGACAATGGAGCTCACATAAATAGTTTAAGTCCGCCGGGTGCAGTGGCTCACGCCTGTAATCCCAGCACTTTGGGAGGCTGAGGCAGGCGGATCACTTGAGGTCAGGAGTTCAAGACCAACCTGGTCAACATGGTGAAACCCTATCTCTACTAAAAATACAAAAAAAAAAAAAAAAAATTAGCCAGGCGTGATGGCAGGTGCCTGTAATCTCACCTACTTGGGAGGCTGAGGCAGGAGAATCACTTGAACCCTGGAGGTGGAGGTTGCCGTAAACCGAGATCGCGCTACTGCACTACAGCCTGGGCAACAAGAGTGAAACTCCATCTCACAGGAAAAAAAAAAAAAAAGAGTTTAAGTCCACCTTCTCAGCTACTTGTCTTAGGAGTACTGAAGACTCTCAAAGAATAAATGCCAAGATGCATTGGTATATCAACCTTGACTCTAGTCTTTCTCACTGTATATTATTGTTTAGTTTTTTTTTTTTTTCCCTAGACGGAGTCTTACTCTGTCACCAGGCTGGAGTGCAATGGTGTGATCTCGGCTCACTGCAACCTCCGCCTCCCGGGTTAAAGTGATTCTCCTGCCTCAGCCTCCCGAGTAGCTGGCGCTACAGGGACGTGCCACCATGCCCAGCTAATTTTTGTATTTTTAGTAGAGACAGGGTTTCAACATGTTGGCCAGGATGCTGTCGACCTCTTGACCTTGTGATCCACCCGCCTCGGCCTCCCAAAGTGTTGGGATTACAGGTGTGAGCCACTGCACCTGGCCTATTGTTTAGTTTTTATGTGCTAGTTTTCATTGTCAAGTGGCTTTGCAATAGTTAATACCATCTCCTCCACTTCAGTTTTATTATTATTTCCTGTTTCTCTGTAACAAAAAAGAAATTTTGACAACACACAAATACATCTGTAGATCTGGGGTACTCTTTGAAAACTTGTGGGTTTTTACACTTTTTAACAGATTAAGACTTCTGAATCTTCAATTTACCCTGAACATAATTCAGTTCTGAGTATCTCTGGATTAGCTTACTTTTCAAAGTATTTATCTTCAGCGCACTGAGGGAGCCTTATATTCTCTACCTAGTTTGTTGCATTTCCAGAATTTTTGTACCTTGTTCCTTTAAGTAACAGAATTAAAGCAATGGGGAGGGGGCTAAAGGTAGCATTTATTAGGAGGACTTGCCCCTCTCTTCCATTAACTTCTGCTGACTGCTTTTTCATTCAGTTATTATAGGTCAAAAGTTAGTTTTAGATAATGGTGAATGCCTCTTGTTTCTTTAAAGGATCTCTTAAGTACCACGAAGGTCATGCTCATTCCTTAAGTTAGTAAACTTGGCAAGGGAGGGTACTAGATGCATCCAAGGGCATATAGCAAATGAGCATCCAAGTCTGGGAAGAGTGAACATGTTGACGTGTTGTCACTGCAAGATTTTGCTAATTGTACCCAGATGGTCTGATCTTTTATACTTTTTGTGACAAACTTCCTCTATCAGTCATTGTCCTCCTTTATGACTGGATAGAGTTGTTGTTGTTTTTTTTTTTTCTCTCATAAGCACGGAAATTTGACCTCCTTTAAAGCTGACTCAAGATCCTTTAATTCATAAACTTGTACTCCTTACATACCCAAGACACGGTAAATGGGACTCACAGCTCCTCAGACTTTTTTCTCAGGTGACACCAGCCTGAAGATGAATCATAAATGCCGATTTGGACTCAATGTCCCGAGATCCCCAACATCTTCTCCTAGTAGTTCTCAACTCCTCTGCACACTTGAAAGAAAATTCCGGAACTTAGGCCCAAAATCCAAAGATGTGTGTTTAATTGGTTTGGGGTGAAGCCCAGGCCTGGTTATTTTAGAAAACTTCCTTGAATGATTTTCATCTGTGGCCAGGGTTAAGCATATTTTTGGCTATCTTGCCAATTTGGTGCAAAACCACTTCATCCTGAAAAGCAGGCGATGTAGAGCCATGGCCAAACAGGTCAGAACTTTGCTCTATTTTTAATTTAAGCCACATTTATTTTACACTGCAGATGCCAAAGCAGAATCCTTGGCTTATCCTTGGGAATTACAGACTGATGATATAACTCCTCTGTAAGGAGACAGACGACGCAAACAGAATCACTGAAAAGTCTTCTAAAGCAAGGGGTTGGGTGGAATTTGAACAGAACAAGCTGGCATGCCTTGGGAGTGAGTAAAATTATGCTTCTTGAACCTGTCAGAAGTCCTTGAAATAAAGCAGTAGATAAAAGGAACTAATGGTTATAATTTATTTAGTCTTTCCTGAGGCCCTTGGTTGTTCAAAAGAAGGGGACTCGGTAACCATGGAAGTAACTGGAGAGCTACTAGGGATTAAGGGCTGATTAGGAGATGGGATGCCTTGAGTCAGGAACACATGGCCATTTTCAATGTGGTCAGGTTCGGTGGGGACCCACACAATAAACTGATCAACAAACTGATTTTTAAGATTCTTTTCTTGTTTTTATTATCCATTTTCAGAGCATCCTTTGAGAAACAAGGTGACTCAAGCACCGGGGTTATCAGCTCTCTGACCTCCTTCTGCCCACCTGTCTCAGCTCATATCCTTCCTTTCACCCCTGCTTGTCCATGACAGAGCAGCAAGGTCAAATGACTGTTTGTCTGGCTTAACCCAGACCTTGATTCACATTCTGAGAATGTAAGCTCTTCTAAAGTGCTCTTCATAGCACGCTGTTCTTTATAAAAAGAACCATGGACATTGTAGGAACTGTTTTGAAAGGCTGATGGGTTGTGGTAATCCACTTAATGACAGGCAGACAAAGCAAGAACTGTAACCTGAAGAGCTGCTTAGAAATTACGTGTCTCTCCTCCCACCTCCAGGGCCTGCTACATTGGCCTGGAGACCTCATGTTGCCAGGCTGACCCAGGCCCCATGTATCTTAGGTCTTCTGGAAGATTTTGCTTCCCCAGCATCTGCTTCTACTTCTTTTAATCCTAGCACTGTTGTTTTGGCAAACTCCTCATCCCCCAACTCTCAATCCATGGAATTCAAGCGGGAGCTGATACTACTTCCTCTTCCCCTCAACATATATATCTGAGCTCCAAGGGTGCGCACGTTCCTTGGCCTGGCTAAAGCATGCTACATTCCTTTGGCTAAGTGACTGGTCTAGGGATGGTTACCTGTTTCAAAATGGTTCAGTGAACTTTGGCCTACAGATCTTGTTGGAACTATTGAGAAAGAGACTCTCTCTGTGCTAAGCTGGTGATCAGGGACCACCCTGAGGCGGATTGCTTCTTGACAAAGAGAAAGAGAACAGAGGAAAGCAAAGAGATGGAGCAAGACAATTCTTGACATCTTTTAAATACCTGGATCCAGTCATATTTACCAGATATGCTTACCGGATTTTTCTGTTATGTGAGTCAACAAATCTCTCACTCCACCTTTTTCTTGTTAAGCTTGATGAAGCTGTGTTTCTGTCACTCATAGGATCTTTCAATAAGAGGCCCCTAGTATATACCTTCTTGCACACCTTAGTGTCCTGTCCCATTGGAAACAGTTTTCCCTGTCTCCTTAGGGGCAGGCTAAGGGCAGGGGTACACGTTGAGATAATCTGAAAAATGAGTCTATGCCTCTGAACCGGCAGGAGAGGTATAGGGTGGGGTGGAGGGTTGTCTCAGGTGAAAGGTTGATTTTGACAGCAGTTTCCTGGAGCCGATGGTTCTCCCTTTTTGATAACCTCAACAGAGTAATTGTGAGGATGCAGGGAAAGAGGGGATTGGGAATGAATCCTTACGAGCATCTTCTAAGTGTCAGATACTGTGTCAGGTGCTTAACATAAGGTATCTCACTCAGTTCTTACAACAATCTTGTGTATATCATTGTCCCATTTTCACAGGTCAGAAAAACATATCAATAACAATAGCTACTATTCACTGAATGCTATGCTCCAACATTATTTATAATTCTACTTTATCCATTACAATCATAATAATCTGCAAGATATACTATAGATATATTTTAAAATATAGATTATTATCTATATTTTATAGGTGATGAAACTAATGTTCAGAAGAGTTAGGTAAGTTGTTCATGGCCATGCGGCCAAAGAGGACAAGTCTGTATTCAAAGAGACCTCATTTGGAAGCCAAGCTTGATATGAAACAGATTTTGACTTACAGTCTTGTGACAGGTGTGGCTGGAGAGATATTCAGGCTAATGAGGGCCTCTCAGCATGCCTGACTTCGGAACGGGAGGCACAGTCAACAGGACTGTCATGTGTGGCGTTGACCCTCAGTGCCACCTTGGACCTCGGTATGCTGACCACCAGCTTCAGTTAGGACCTTTGGTCAGGTTACTTGCCAAACAAGATCTAAAGGAATTCTCTACCCAGAACTCTATAAAAACAAGAAGAAGAAATAATTAAGAACACCGTGTAGAACAACACAGCTTTCATTCCAGTTTATATATTGTAAAATAAAGCCACACAGATCCTAAACATGCTAGGTGCTCTTTATATTTGAGAATCTGGTGTCAATTACTCATTAAAATGTCAAGTTGGCCGGGATTGGGAGGTGTCTGTTGGGCCCTATTAGTATTCTCTCCTTACATCGTGCCAGTCCTGGGAATTGTGTTGGTCCATGTGAATGTCCTGTGGTGACCTGAGTGCCACACTAACCCAGGCCAGCCCACTTCACATGTGTATCTTCTTCCTGAGGCAGAGTTGGTATCTAAATTACAAAGACTTCTCTTGTCTTTGAGAATGCAGCCACTCAGAGCTCAGCCTTTAAGGATTAGCAACTGTATTTCAGTTGTGTGATTTACTCCTGTTCCCACCCATGGCTGTGACACTTGTGGTGGGCTGAATAATGGCTCCCAAAGATAGCCACATCTAAATCCCTGGAGCCTGTGAATATGTTACCTTACACACTGAAAGGCACTTTGCGAGTGTGATTAAGGCTATTGAGATGGGACTATTAGGCTGAGCATCCAGGTGGGTCCAATGTAACCACGGAGTCCGTATAGAGCAGGGATCAGGTGATCCCAGTTAGTAGCAGGAAACGTGATGACGGACGCAAGAGGTTGGAATGATGCGAGGAAAAGATTCTGCGCCAAGGAATGCAGCTAGCCTCCAGAAGCAGATAAAGGCAAGGAAACAGACTCTTCCCTCAGATCCTCGGGAAGGAACCAGCTTGCCTACACCTGGGCTTTAGGTCAGTGAGACTGATTTTGGACTTCTGACTCCTAGCACTGTAAGGTAATAAACTTGTGTTGTTTAAGTACACAGCACACAAGGTAATAAACTTGTGTTGTTTAAGTACACAACACAAGTTTATTACCTTGTAGTAATTTGTTACAGTAGCCATAGGAAACTGAAACAATGTTTCAGACCAAAGCTTAGGTGCTGGAGGAATTTTTTTCCTCCAGCAAATGCCTTCTGCAACCACCTGCCGCACAGTGTTTTAATTACACATTTGTGAAGACATACAGCTAACTCCCCTTGTTTCAGGTGGATGGACCTCATGCTTCTCTCTGGCTCTAAGGAGGGAGATAATAACTTTTGGTTTGCGTGCATCCTCAGAAATCCTTCCCTTTACTTACAAGGCCTTTACTCTCCTTTTGCTACTTGAGTTGTGCTAGTCACCACTTCCCCGACCACAGCAGGTGCAGGTAAAAACTGTCCACTTGCTTGTTCACTGGGTTTTACTGTGACAGAAGGGTTCTCATCAGTTGATGAATTCAACGTTAACCATTTAATTCACACTTACATGTTGCAATGTGAAGATATCCATAGAAGGATAGCCAATGGGTCACTGAGTGTCTTGAAGGGGGGACAAATTTATCAGAGGGCTGCCTCAGCCGGACAGGAGGGTGACTTGACTTGGAATGTGACTTGGGTATTGGAGCCAATTAAACTCAGAAGAGACTGATTATGCTGCATTTTATGTCTACAATTGGACATATTTAATGCAAGTGACTAACATGAATACTTGCCGTTTGGGAGCCTTCTTCTCTTTAGTAGGGGAAGAAGAATTATTGGAAGGTTTCTTAGTAGCTATGAAGTCAGGGCAAAGGGAAGTAGTAATATAGAAGACAGTCTTAGAGATATTTAACTCAGGACAGCTGTTTTCAGATGGAGGCACTCTTTTTTAAAAAATGAAATGTTTAGTGAAGACCTGTATGTGGGAGTTATCAAGGGAGAGCTGCTCTGGGTGCTGCAGGGGTGGGAGTTCCAGAACGGCCACAGGGTTCCTCCTCCTCACATGCAGTGGCCTCTGAGTGGCCTGATGGTTCAGTCCTGCACCATGGCGGAATAGACGTCCTTGGTGTTATGGAGCTGGACAGGCCCTGCTGACTGTGGGCTCTTTGGGCTTCCCTCTTTGTGTTCCAGGCTACCCGCTCCCCTTTGTGTTCCAGAGTCTGTTCTTAAACTGGGTACAGTGAAATTGATTCAGATTTATTTTGCTAAATTACAATCACATTTGAGTTTTGTTTCTCTGAAATTACACCCTGGCCCCCTTGATTGGAGTTTTCAACATTCCCAATCTTTTCAGTCACACGTTTACAATCTTTTGGTTTATTTCCACCGATGGCTGAACTCATGCATTATGCATGGGTGTTGCTGGTGGTGTCTCAGAGGGAAAATTCATTTCTGAGTGTTTTCTGGGTACCACAGTCATTGCCATGTTTTATGCACATGTGTGGTGATGGTCCCCATTGGGGGCGATGCCTACTCTCCTAACAGGAAAACCACCCATCAGCCTAGCAAGAATGGGGGGGCGGGGTGGGGGACAGAGAAAACATGTTTCATGTTTCACTTTTTCCCCAAATTCCTGAATGAGGAGGGATTCTAAGTGTTGAAATTAGATAGTGTCAGAATCAAACTCAGCTTCAAAACTTGAGAAACTCAAGTTGTGATTCTCTGTTCTGTGGCAGTGCAAAATCCTCACGTTTCTCACAAACCTATATGAGAAATACGATCTGAACGTTCTGGTACAACTCAACTGACAATGAGTACCAGCGTCTATCTTCCATGCTTGCACTGAGTTCTGCTTGACCTCATACCCATGTTCTTTACTCCAATCAGTTGCTATTTCAGCTATAGTTGGTTGTGACTTCTTTCTTGTAATTGTGTTTAATGGAAAATGATGTTGAAGCAATAATTTTCTTTTTGCCAAGTGTCCCTCAGGGGCTGCCCGTGTATTACAGCTTCTGGTCTCCCTCTTTGCTCCTTCTTGCTTCTGCCCATGACCAGCTCTTCCCATACCTGGTTCAGAATTCCTATGAATGGTGGAAGAGGAACCACCTGTGTCCCAGAGGAGGAACAGTTAGGCCGGCACACACCTATTTGTGTGTGTGTGTGTGTGTGTGTGTGTGTGTGTGCGTGCGTGCACGCATGCATGCATACTTTGGTTACATTCCATATGGTTTAAACTGTTGTCCTGTCTCCCAGGGAATCAATATTTATTCAGAGACCCTCAGGCCTACCCCTCTCCCCACAGAGAGCTCTCTGCAATCTTATGCAGCTATGCTACCTGCCTTCAGCACTTGAACTTGACCTGCTAATGCTGCCCTCCAGAATATCAGCCCAGCATGGGAGATGCATCAATGGGCTAATTACATACCATAGAGGAAAGTTTACCCCGCAGAGCAGGAACTCTTTTGAGGTTAAAGCCACCGTAAGTGCTTGTGAAATGCTGACGCCTGGAGAGAAAGAGCTAATAATTCCCCTGTCATTTCCAGGCCACCAGAGAAAGCCAAATCTAGCTAGTGTTAGAGGGAGGAGCTGTCATTGTAACAAGTGTGATGACTAGAGGTCATCTTAATTGAGCTGCTAAATGGAGTTGTATTTTTTTTTCCTTTTTAATGTAGAAGGGTCACTGTTTTTATGGCCGTACTTGTTTCATCTTTCTTATAGCTAGCTTGGCTTATTGGCACAGTTGAGTGTTGTGGACTGAAAATTATTAGGAGTATTTTTTTTTTACCTTCAAGTGGAAAGCTGCCTGTACTTCTTCCTAGGCTATCTGTTAAAGGTACTTAGTATAACGTGACTTGTGGTAGGTGAGAGAATGAATTGGATTTGCTTGTAGCTTCCTGGCATGTGTTTCTCAATGTTAGCGCTATATGAGCTACCTACCAGGAATTTGGTATGCCTGTAGACCACTATTATCAAGGAAAAAAGGATTCACTACTACTTCATCGTAAAATTGAAACTGCATTTAAAATGCAAACCATAATAGTGTTGTGCCAGTAAGAAACATGATACAGTTGATGATCTTTCACCGATATGTCCATGCCCTGTTTGGTGGAGAGTGAGAGCCACAGATGAGTTTTTCTATCTGGTCCATTGCTATTCCTAGTTTATACTTCCCTAAATTTGAAAATCTTAAGTCGTAATTATATCTTTGGTAATGAAGGGACATGGAGGATGGCCCTGTCAGATTGTTCTGAGTATCTGAAAAGTGCATGACCTCCAGATTCTAGAGGACTTTCTATAGTCTTGGTGCCCACCAGCCCTGACTGTCCTACTGTAGAAATCTGGATGTTTCAACAAGGAAGGTAATGGTGAATGGATCCCTCATTTATTCTTTGGTTGTATTTATAACTTTTCTTCCAGTTCTATCATAACATTTAGATGTGGCTTTGAAATATGCTCATTAATAAACCATATATTTCTCTCTCTCAGAAGACAAGAAAATAGTTTTAGAGAATAGCCACTTCCAGGGATGGAGTTGTCTGAAATTTGTTTTTCAAAACTCCAGATGTCTTATCCCCGACGTTAAAAATATGGTATCTCAGCTCTTGAAGTGATAGGTTCAGGACACCGAATGTAAACTGTTGTATGTAACGTGAGCAATGCAGTCGAAATAATTAGCTTTTAAAAAAATGACCTCTTGGCATCCAGTGTCATGAAGTATAAAGTTATGTCTTATCACCCGCTTAAACTGTGAGCCCCTTTCCCCTTGACATTTAGATCATTTTGGTGAGTCAATGCCCAGAAGATCTTCACATGGCATGCTGAAAAACTCTACACTCAGGGGCCACGATTTTGTGTGATAAGCAACTTTAATGTTAAATCAAGATCATGGCTTAAGATGCCATCTACAAGCCAATGATTCCCATGAAAAGAAAATTTCTGTTGTAGCCTTCTGGTCCCAAGGAGGCTGAGAGATGGAGCAGGGAAGAGGAGCACTCGTCCCCATTGAGATGGCCTCAGGGGACCCAGCCTAGATCACAGAACTCCAAGTGACACACAGACACATGAGCTAAATAAATTCTTACTGTTCGTGTTGCTGAGATTTGGTAATTGTTATGTAGTTGACCCAGATACCTTATTTCTATTACGAACTCTGGAGTCTGTTTTCATGCAGCAGCCGGAATGAGCCTTTTAGTCATATTTTTCATTTACTTATTGCCCCCCGTGATTGGCTGAAATTGGTTCTCACTTCACTATGAATAAAAGCAAGGACTTTACCAGAACCTACCTGAACTGCCCCTTCCCCCTACTGGCTTCCACTCTGACCTCATCCTTCACAGCTCTCCGCACTGCATGCTCTGCTCTGGCCATGCTCTTTCCTTGCTGTCCTTGAATGTTCCAGACAAGTCCAGACACATCTCCATGGTTCATTCTCTCATCTTTAAGTCTTTGCTCAAATGCCATCTTCTCATAGAGGTCTAAACTGATTGTCTTGTTTCAAATACTAACATCCATCCTACTTCCCATCCTATATTTTCTTACACTGCTCTATCCCCCCAACCCCACTGTGGTGCTATCACTTGGTAATATACCATATAACTTACTTTATTAGTCTGTTTTCACACTGCTATAAAGAACTACTGGAGACTGGGTAATTTATGAAGAAAAGAGGTTTAGTTAGCTCATGGTTCTGCAGGCTTAACAGGAAGCATGGCTGGGGGGCTGCAGGAAACTGACAATCACGGTGGAAGGCGAAGGCAAAGCAAGTGTGTCTTGCCATGGCCGCAGGAATGGCAGCGGGTGGGGTGGGATGGGATGAGACCCCTGCCCCTTCACACTTTTAAATTATCAGATTTCCTGAGAACTCACTGTCATGAAACCAGCATGGGGAAAACTGCCCCCATGATTCAGTCACCTCCCACCAGGTCCTTCCCTTGACATATGGGGATTATAATTCGAGATGAAATTTGGGTGGGAACACAGAGCAAAACCATATCACTTAGCTACATCATTGTTAAAGTCTGTCATCTTCTGCTAGAATGTAATCTTTATGTGGGCAGGAACAGTGCCTGGCATATTGTAGGCACTTATTAAATATACCTCTTGACCTTTATTTAGTCAATAAATATTGGTGAACACTGAGGTTCTCTCTGACTAAAGCAGGGTGTGGAAACACATTTTCATTTGCCCAGCAAAGACCTTCCTGGCCACCCTAATAGTATTTTGTCAGGATGTTCCCAACGCATCTTTCCTGGTCTGTCTCACCAGCACAGGGCAATCATCTTCAAAATGGAAAGCCTTTTCTTCACGCCTGTAATCCCAGCACTTTGGGAGGCCAAGGTGGGCAGATCACCAAAGGTCAGGAGTTCAAGACCCGCCTGGCCAATATGGTGAAACCCCATCTCTACTAAAAATACAAAAATTAGCCAGGTGTGGTGGTACATGCCTGTAGTCCCAGCTACTTGGGAGGCTGAGGCAGAAGAAGGTTGCAGGGAGGTGGAGGTTGCAGGCAGCCGAGATCTTGCCACTGTACTCTGGCCTGGGCAACAGAGTGAGACTCTGTCTCAAAAACAAAACAAAACAAAGCCTTTTCTGTAGCAAGGTAATATGGTTTGGCTCTGTCCCCACCCAAATCTTAACAGGAATTGTATCTCCCAGAATTCCCATGTGTTGTTGGAGGGACTCAGGGGGAGGTAATTGAATCACAGGGACCGGTCTTTCCCATGCTATTCTTGTGGTAGTGAATAAGTCTTATGAAATCTGATGGGTTTATCAGGGGTTTCTGCTTTTGCTTCTTTCTTATTTTCTCTTGCTGCTGCCATGTAAGAAGTGCCTCGTGCCTCCCGCCATGATTCTGAGGTATCCCCAGCCATGTGGAACTGTAAGTCCAATTAAACCTCTTTTTTCTTGCCAGTCTCGGGTATGTCTTTATCAGCAGCATGGAAATGGACTAATACACAAGGGCTTTCAGTAACAAAAGACAAAATGTTATTGTGCATTTTTACTTCATTTATTTATCTCACATAAGCTAAGAGCTGATTTATACTCATTGGTGGTTTTGTCCAACTGAAAAGTGAAATACTAACTTGCAAACAAACATGATCAAAAAGGCTTTTCAGCTTGAAAATTGTGTCCTGGAGTTCACTTTTGTTTCCCCCTCTAAGCATAATCTTTTAACTGGTTCAATAGACTTTTGGGCAAAATTCTAGCTTGGCCCATTTTTGCTGTTATACAACTTTGAATAATGTTCCTATGGCTTATGCTCTTCAACTGTGGGCCAAATTTGTCAATTTATATTGGAAAGTATATTAGTTCATTCTCACACTGCTATAAAGAATACCTGAGACTTGGTAATTTACAAAGAAAAGAGGTTTAATTTGCTCCTGGTTCCGCAGGCTGTACAGGAGATATGATGGATTCTGAGGAGACCTCAGGAAACTTTAAATCGTGGTGGAAGGTGAAGGGGAAGCGGGCATTTCTCACATGGCAAGAGTAGGAGGGAGAAAGAGAAGGGGGAGGTGTCGCACGCTTTTAAACAACCAGATCTCATGAGAACTCTGTCATGAGAACAGCACCAAAGGGGGAAATCTGCCTCCCTGATCCAATCACCTCCCAGTAGGTTCTGCCTCCAACATTGAGGATTATAATACAATTCAACATGAGATTTGGGTGGGGACACAGTATTATGTTGTACTTTCTCTAGAAAAATTCTAGAGTCTTAGCAGAGTAGGTAAGAGAAGATTCCCTCTGTGCTCTAAAGATGAAGGCAAAGCTTTACTAACCTCATGCCCACTTCTGGCAAGTTTCATAACAGAGGGTGTCCTGTAGCGGGGAGGGGTGTACTGACAATCATGGAGTTCCAGATACTTCACTTTTGTGGTTGCTTATGTGCAGTTGACCTCCTTGTGTATTCCCCTGCCTGGCCACCCGAATGACATCCTATGCTGTCATGGGAGTCTTGCTTACTATACACATCTAACATTCTAAATTGTAGTATTTACACTACTATTGCCATCTCTACTTTTCTGCGCTAGTGAACTACATTTGAGTCATGGACCCATTTTTATTATGGTCAGTACTAACAACCAAAATGCATATTTGACAAATGTAAACAATGATGTCGAAATAAGGTGAAAGTATATTGATCAAGATGAGCTCTGCCCTGTTAACTGAAAGATTAGCTGGGACAAACTGACCAACACCATCCTGATAATACATGGACAAATTTTAAAAATAGAAGGACTGGCTGGGCAAGGTAATGCCAGCACTTTGCAGGGTCAGGCAAAGAGGATTGCTTGAGACCAGGAGTTCAAGACCAGCCTGGGTAACATAGCGAGACCCCCATCTCTAAAAAAAAAAAAAAAAAATTAAGGTTGCTGGGCGTGATGGTGTGTACCTGTAGTCCCAGCTACTTGGGAGGCTGAGGTGGGAGGATCGCTTGAGCCCAGGAGGTCGGGGCTTCAGTGAGCTCTGATCATTTCACTGCACTGCAGCCTGGGTGACAGAGTGAGACTTCCTTCTCCTAAAATACATATAAAATAGAGGTAACTGTGAATCACAGTTAATACTACATTTCAAATGAATGACATGACTAGATGAAATAGTTCTGTTGCTTTATATCTGAGACTGTCAAATTGCCTGTAGACCCTTGACAGTTAACCAAGCCTGATAAATACTGCTCCAGCCTTGGGGTACTGGAAGTGTAGTCCAGGGACCAGCAGATCAGCATCACCTGGGAGCTGGCTACAAATGCATACCCTCCAGTCCCACCCAGGGGTTCCGAATCTGTATTTTAACAGGATCCTCGGGGCATTCAAGACTCAAAGATTGAGAAGTGCTGCTCTAGACATCCCTTTCTGATTATGATGGATAACAGGAGGGCTGACTTACTCTCTTAATAAAGAAAAGCAGCAGGTCTTTAAGGATGGCAGTAAACACCAACTTAATTGGCAAATCCTAATTGAATCAATAATCATCTCTTCATTTCTAGCTGGTGCAGACTATGGGGTGGGGCCGGGGGACCGAAGGGGGTTCCTGGTCAAGATTTCACCAGGAAAAGGGTGCCCTTTGAAGACCCATAGCCAAGGATAACTGAGCCAGGATTGAGCCAAATTCTGATGCCGTCCTCATCTTTGGATCTGGTGTTAATGAAAAGGAGACAATTGAAAGTAATGTGGTAGATGACGTTGCATGGTCACGGGGGCTTGAAGGGAGCAGTTTTTTTTTTCTTCTTTTGTTCAGGCAGCAGCTGTGGCTCCCTAAAATGATATCCCAAATGTGTTGCATGCCAGGGATTTAGAACTTGATGATTCACAGGTTTTGTGAGTTGGTGCTTTTATAGCCAGACAGTGGTGGCGGCAATGCATGTAGTTACAGCCTGAGGGTTCAGAACCAGAATATACACGATAGCAGCATCTTCATCACTTTGTAGCTACTTTTTAGCCGATATGCTCCTTATTGTCCCAGCAAACATGACAACACCTCTACAGTCTCAGCTTGCTCATGCTCTTGCTTTTTCCTACCAGTCCTACCTAGCTTTTGAAATCTTTATAGCCTATCCCAACTACTGGTTCTTCTAGGAAGCCTTTGATTTTCTGTAACAGATATCTCTCTCTCCTGAAAAGTCTGTCTAATTTAGTGGCTCTCAAACTGGCCGCACATTTTAAAATCACCTGGGAAGCTTAAAAAAAAAAAAATTTAGGCCACAGCCCAGGCCAGTTAAGTCAGTCTCTGAGTGTGGGGCCTAGGCATGAGTAGTTTCTAAAGTGCTCCAGGTGAGTCCAATGTACAACTGATGCAGGATGTTTTGCTTCTTAGTTCAGCTAAATCTGGGGTCTTGTCTCACGACCAGAAAAATTAGGCACGCAGACACATTGAAGGGTGAGGAGGGCAGAATTTATTAAGGGAAAAGAACGCTGTCAGCAAAGAGAGGAGTTCTCCAAGCAGATTGCCCCCTCACAATTGAATACCAGGGCTCCCACTTGTGAGCTGAAGAGGCCAGCCTCCTCCCTTGCATAAGGTACAAATTCCTGGTGGCTCCACACCATCCTTCCAGTGTGCATGTGGGCCCTTAGTCTGAGCCACTCCACATTGATTTATTTCCCTTACTGCGCATGTGTTAAGGGATGGAGTTTTTCACCATGGGCATGTTTAGGCAAGCCCCCTGTGCACAATGACCTGGGCAGGTGGGAGGTTCTCCAGGGACCCTCCCCTATCTTCCTAGGCATTTGGCTATCTTCTGCCTCTATCACAACCAGGGTGGTGAACCAGTACCATAATCCTTTTCCTTTTGAGCTTCCTTGTAACCCTAATTTGCTATGATTTACATAATTTTTACTTGATCCCTATACCCATACTGAACTCCCAGAAGTCAGGAGTAGATCTTTCTCCCCTGAGTCCCCTGCAGCCTCTAGCACATTGCTCAGTGCACTTGTACACTGCTTCTCCTTCCTATCATTCACCCCACTGTGGGACCCTCATCAGGAGCTGTGTGGTTCTTGCTGCTCCCATCACCTCCATTTCTGGATTCAGGGATTAGGGGTAGGCAAAGTTAGACGTGGGTATGCTGGAGAGCCTAATGCTTCTAGGAAATTTATTAAGCAAAGTATTTTACTTTGCTAGAAAAAGTGTGCTTAATGGTATGGATAGCTACAGACTTCTTTTTGTCTGTCCAGGAACTTTTTGTTAGAATTATCTACTGCTACATAACAAACTACCCCCAAATTTAGTGGCTTAAGACAATAGTAAACATTTATTTCATGTAGTTTCTGTGGCTCAGGGATCTAGGGGCTGCTTAACTGGGTGACTCTGGCTCAGGGTCTCTCACAAAGATGCAGTTACAAGATCAAATAGGGCTATAGTCATCTGAAGGCCAGACTGGGTGGAGGACTCACTTCCAAGGTGTCTCACTCACATGGCTGACAAGTTGCTGCTAGCTGTTGGCGAAAGGCCTCAATTTCCTGCCACATGAACTCCACGTGACTACTTGAATGGTTTCTCCCAGAGTGAAGATCCAAGAAAGCAAGGCGGAAGCTGAAATGTGTTTTATAATTATGAACCATTATCTCCATGTATCCTATTAGCTACACAGGTTAACGCGGGAGGGAGCAACACAAAAGACTTGATGTTTGCTCACTGCAGGAGCCACGGATGAAAGGGTTCTGCTTGATCCTCCAGAGGATGGGCATGTGCTGTAGGCTGGCAGGCCGAGTAACTGCCTCTGGGTGAATATGACTGGTGCAGAGGTGGGCAAGTGACCCAAGTGGCCAATCACTGTAGTCCTAGGATTTTGCCAGGGCAATAGGGAGAAAGCTACCCCATGGTCTCGTAGTTTGGGGATTATTAACTCTAAGAATAATGAAAGCTTGGAGCTGCTCATGGACATCTTTGCCATTGCATTGAACCTTTTGAGAATGAAGCCAAAATGGAGAACAGAGAGAGGCACAGCATCTGATGACCTGGTTTGGGTCTATAAAGACCCAATTCAGCTGTACCAAAGCTAACTTCCTAAACTTGTAACTTATGCAAGCAAAGAATTTCTTCAGTTAGACTGATTTTGATTTCTGCCTCTTAGTATCAAATGAGTCTTGGCTAACCCAGGCCTGGAGGTCTGGGGCCTCCTTGCTCACTCTAGGCCACTGTCCTCTCTTCTGTGTGTGGCCATTCTTCAGTCTCTGGTCTGACCAGTGTAAACTCTGTAAACCTAGGGTACATCTACCTAGTTCCCTGCCCCAATGCTGGGGCATTAAGTGTTCTTAGTGCATATTGACAGAATTGTGGTAAATTTTCTTGCAGCCTCGTATAGTGGGGAAAAAATTGTGGTCTTTGGAGCTATACAGTCCTGGGTATAAAACCTCCTCTGTCATTAATCAACTGTGATCTTAGGCCAAGTGCTTAATGTTTCTCCCAGGTTGTGTACATAAAGAAGGGCTTGTAATCTGATGTTCCCAGGGTGGTTGTGAGGATGAAATGAGATCATATGTGGAAAAGTGAGGCCCATATCAAAGGCTGAACTAAAATTTTTTTCTCTTACCATTTTTCATTTCCCCTTCTAGAGATAGTAGCTGAATGCTACCTAGTCAGGACTTAATTCAATTCTGCTTAATCAGCATATTCTGAACACTTGCCATCTGCTAGATGACTAGATAATGGGGTGTCAGGAAGGGTGACTTGATAATTTTGCTTAACTGAGCACTGCCTGTAGACCAAGCATGGGATTGATGAGTTTCACAGTATGACTCTGTATTGCTTTTGGCCACATTATGAAGTAGGGGGCATTTGAATCTTGTTCCTTACATTAGGTTCTTGCTGAGGTGCTCTTCTCCCACTGACCAGTTCCCAGTGGGGAGTGGGGCATGCAGGAGGATGCAGCTAGACAGAGACACTGGCCACTGTAGTGTTGCCTTGAGATAGTCCAGTCCCTCCTTTACCTATAGCCTTGCTTATTGGAGCTCCCCTTTCTTCCCCACTCATTGCTAAAACTAATCAATCTGTGTGATGAGGTGGGTCATCATGTCTGCAAATTAATGTACTTTCTGGACTCTGTTATTGCTCCTCTGTCCCATCTTCATTTATCCCATTAATGATGCCAACATCAGCAATTCCTCACCTTGATTATCAGCAGTACATTTTAAGGGTTTAATAAATGTTTGTTGAACAGAATGGATGACAGGTTGATGACAATATTTGAGAGGCATCTGGAACCTTCCAAATTAAATAGGCAAACATCTTCCTTGAACTGCCTGTACACCTAGCCTAACAGCTGCCCTGCCATGAATAATGAATGTACTTGAATGCTTCAAATGCTTCAAGTACTCCAAGATTTTGCTTCAGGGCCATCCTTATGAACATCAGTTCTCCTTGAACTGTGCTATTGATAGAGAAGGGGCAGGAGACTGGATCAAACTATAAGTAAATAAAGATACAGCATGGAATGTGGTTTTAAGAAACAAATTCCTGGAATGTTCCTTTCAAAAACATTTGAATTCATCAAATCTACTTGTTTTATTTTTGTGAACATTCTTTTTACAGTCTTCACCCTGCCCTAATCTGAAGGGTGGGAGAGGGAGAGATTTATTGCGAGGAATTGGTGGCTTATGTGATTGTGAGGACTAATGAGGCAAGTTTGGTATCTGTAGGGCAGGCCATCAGAAAGCGCAGGCTGGAACTCTCTGGCATGAGCTGAAGCTGCTGTCCAGAGGTGGAATTTCTCTTTCTTCCCAGAAATCTCCATTCTGTTCTCACAGCCTTTCAACTGATTGAATCAGGTCTACCCAGATTATCTGGCATAATCTTCTTAAAGTCAACTATTTATGAACATTAATCTTATCTACAAAGTATACCTCCACAGCAACACCCAGATGAGTGTTTGATTGAATAGCTGGGGACTATATCTTAGCCAAATTCACACATAAAAATGGCCACGATAGGCCACACTTGTCAACCTGGCACCCATATACGTCTCATTAAATCACATTTAATCTCCAAATAAAGACAATAACAAAGTCATACTTCCTCTTACTGCTACAAGTATCCTGCATACAACTGAAAACACATAACCTTTCTCCAAAAGAGAATCAAAGTTCTTACATAATTTTCATTTTCTTTGGATTTTCTATAACTTATTACTGTGATATAACTACTAATATATCTTATGTTAGATGATGGCATAAGAGAGGGAAGAAAACAAAAATATTTGCATAACATATATATTCATAACAAAATAAGAAATAACCGTTAAAGTCCTCATTTCTGCAACTGGTCATGTTGCTGTAGCTGGTGTTTATAATTACCTTTTTCCACTATCTATTCCATATTCTATTTGCACTTAGCTAGTTGTGGTTCTTGGGCCCACAGACGAACCCAAAACTTCTATCTAGCCAGCAGCTTCCAGATAATGGGGAACAGAAGACCAGTGAATTCCTTGAGCATGAGCCTATTTTTGTACTTCATTTGCTGTGAAGTGAGTTCCTTGATCAGAAGCAATGCTGTGTGGAATACCATGATGGTGGATAAGACATTCCATAAGTCCATGGATGGTAGTTTTGGCAGAAGCATTGCTTTCAAGGGAAGGCAAATCAATATCCAAGCACGTAACTGTTCCAATAAGAACACAGTGCTGCTGGGTGCTGTGGCTCACGCCTGTAATCCCAGCACTTTGGGAAGCTGAGGCAGGTGGATTACGAGGTCAGAAGATCGAGACCATCCTGGCTAACATGGTGAAACCTCGTCTCTACTAAAAATACAAAAAAAAATTAGCTGGGCATGGTGGTACTTGCCTGTTGTCCCAGCTACTCGGAGGCTGAGGCAGGAGAATCGCTTGAACCTGGGAGGCCGAGGTTGCAGTGAGCCGAGATCGTACCACTGCACTCCAGCCTGGGCAACAGAGCGATACTCCATCTCAAAAACAAACAAACAAAACAGTGCTGTCCTTTCCATGATAAAAAGTGGTCCAGTATAATCAGCCCACATCAGATCACCTTGTTGAATGGTGCCATATTAGGGATTTGGTGTTGGTCTCTGCTGCTGGCAGAATGGGCACTCAGCAGTGATTGTGGCCTGGTTGGCCTTGGTGAGTGAAAGTCCATGTTGCTGAGCCCATGCAGAACCTCTGTCCCTCTACCACCATGGCTACTTTGTTCATGGGATCACTGGCCAGGCCAGTGGCTGGGGAAAGAGACTGAATGGTATACACAGAAGGGGTCACTCTTTTTGCTTGACTATTAAAATCCACCTCTGCCAAGGTCATTATTTCATGAGCATTCACATGGGACACAAGTATCTTTATAATCTTTGTACATTCAGAGAGGTCTATTCACATACCTTTTTCTCCGACTTCCTTGTCTCCATTTTCCAGTCATGATCTTTAACTCTTGACCAGCCAAAGCACTGGCCACAGCCTATAAATTAGCATAGACCCTTAACATCTGGCTGTTTCTCCTTCCAAACAAAATGAACAACCAGGTGCACTGTGCACTGGGATTCCTCTTGAGCGCTGTCCTTTAGGAATGTTCCAGAAAGACTGTAGTGCTGTGATTTTCCACTTTTGGGTGGTACCCGCATATGCAGAACTGTTTGTAGGTCAGATTTGAGTTTTCTTTTCCTCAGGCAACTGCTCCTGTGGAACTCCCCATGAGGCTATATGTGCAGGCTGGGAGAGAAAAGGTAAAAAATAATAGCAGAAACACTATGGACATTTGGGCTACTTCCTCATGCAAATTATACATGCTTTCATGTAAATTACACATGCCTGCGAGAGCCCGATCTCTTATATATACCATTTCCATTTAATTATGGAGTACTGCTGTATAGGCTCATCTTTATGTTTTGGTGGGTCAGATAACATCCTGTTCATTATGGGCAGTTCAGATCACATGGCAACTTTGTGGTCCATGGTTAAGTATTCAGTCTCTACTAAGGCCAAGTAGCAGGCCATGAGTTGCTTCTCAAAAGGGGAATAGTTATCTGTAAAGGCTGGTAGCGCTTTGCTCCCACATTCTAAGGCTCTGTACTATGATTTATCTAAAGTGACTGAGTGCTGGGTGCAATGGCTCACGCCTATAATCTCAGCACTTTGGGAGTCTGAGGCGGGTGGATCACTTGAGGTCAGGAGTTTGGGACCAGCATGGCCAACAAGGTGAAACCCCATCTCTACTAAAAATACAAAGATTAGCCAAGTGTGGTGGCAGGCACCTGTAATCCCAGCTACTCTGGAGGCTGAGGCAGGAGATTCGCCTGGACCTGGGAGGCTGAGGTGGCAGTGAGCCAAGATTATACCATTTCACTCCAGACTGGGTGGCAGAGTGAGACTATCTCAAGAAAAAAAAAAAAGGTGCCCTACCACAGACTTTCAACAGCATCTCAATTTCTACTCCAGTTTCAAGTACCATCAGATCTGCTGGATCATGTCCAAATGTTAGAGCAGTTTGCACTGCACCGTGGATCTGTTGCAGAGCCTTCTTTTGTTCTGGGCCCCACTCAAAACTAGAAAGATTTCAGGTCACTTTGTGTATTGGTTTTCTAGGACAGTTGTAAAAAATTACCATGAACCAGGTAGCTTAAAACAATAGAAACTTAATCTCTCATTGTCTTAGAGGCCATAGTCTGAAATTAAGGTGTTTGCAGGGTTGCTTCCTTCTGGAGGCTTTGAGGGAAAATCTGTTCCATGCCTCTCTTCTAGCTTCTGGTGGGTTGTAGCAATCCTTGTTGTTCATGGGCTTATAGCTGCATTATTCCAATCTCTTCTTTAATTGTCACATGGCCTTCTTTCCTGTGTGTGTGTGTGTCTTTCTCTCTCCTTATAAGGATACCAGTCATTTGATTTAGGGTCCATTCTAATCCAGTAAACCTCGTCTTAACTTGATTCCATCTTCAAAAGCTTTATTTACAAGTAATGTCACATTCATAGGTACCATATTTTTTTGGGGGGTGGGGGTGGGGGGACACAACCTTGGTAAATGAGCGAGAGTAGCAAATGAAGAATAAGTTGCCTCAAATTTAAAGCCACTATGCATCATGCCTTTTCTGGTTATAGGAGGGCAGATGCCACAGCTTATTCTTCACCTTAGAGGGGACATCTCAACATGCCCATACCACTGGCAATTTCGCTGGGGTTGAAGGCCCCTTCATTTTTGTCAGAATTATTTCCCAACCTCTGACATGCAAATAAATATCTTCCGGTATGTCTAGAGTAATTGCTGCTACTTCTCGTGAGGTCCAAGTAACATCAATGTAATGGACCAGGCATGATGGTTTGAAGGGAAAAGTGATCAAGGTCCCTAAGGACTAAATTATGCCCTAGGGCTGGAAAGTTGACATATACCTCGGAAGCAGGAGAGTGAAAGTGTATTGCTAGTTTTGCTAGCTGAAAGCAAACTGTTTGGGTGGTTTTTACTAACAGGTATCGAGGAAAAATGCATTTGCCAGATTGATAGCTGCGTGCCAGGTACCAGAGGATATGATAATTTGCTCAAACTGGCCATTGCAGCTGAGAAGTAGTGTTACAGGTAGAGGCGTGAGTGGGGCGGGAGAGGGTTCTCCCCGTACCCACTAGAAATGTTGGGTGATGATGTGACCTTTATCACATTGCCTCTCTAAAAATGATAATTCTGCAGCCAGGGAGAGACAATCTCCTGATGGTCCACGCCTGTTAACATTAAAAGTGTTAATTGAATACAGGCTCCAGGGAGAAACAACTCCTGGGCATGTGTGTTAAGAGACAAAAATGAGTAAAGTGTGATCTTCCAGGGGCTAGCTCCACCTGAAAAAGGAAGAAAGCCTCAGATGGGCATGCGTCTAACTCCCTAAACACACTGCACGTGCTCACTTCCCAAGGGTAAGGAGGGCTCTGCACATGCAGGCTGCCCACCCTAAGGGAAGAATCATGGGAAAGACGTGAGCTTATAAAAGTCCTAGGATCAGGATTAAACGGGGCACTTGACCTTCTTCTTTAACCTTCACGTGCCCGCTTGTAACTTCCTTTTTCTCCCGTTCTAAGACCTTTTAAAATAAACTTCCATTCCTGCTCTGGAACTTGCCTTGGTCTCTTTTTCTGCGTTATGGCCCTCAGTTAAATTCATTCTTCTGAGGAGGCAAGGACTGAAGTTTTTACAGCCCCTTATAGATAGGTCACTGGTAACTTGGGGTTACTCAGATCTTTTCCACTGGTGACAGTAGGGCAGGTGTGTAAGGCCACAGGCACAACAACAGCAGAAATCAACATTTCTGATTTCCTCCAATCTGTTCTCTCAATTCCTGTTTAGTGAGTGAAATCATCAATCATCTAGACCTTAAACTTGGGGTAATTCTGAGCCTTTCCATCTTCCTTAACTTCCATATGCAATCAGTTACCAACTTTGTAAATTTAATTCTGAAACTTATCTAGCACCTGTCTTCTCCATCCTACCTGATACTGCCTTAGTTGCATCTCTTGTCACCTCTCTCTTGGGATATTGCACTGCCGCTGGTCTTACTAGCACCCCTTCTCCTGACAACCCATGTAGTTATATTCTTTGCCTAAAAGATTTCAATAGCTCCCCATTCTCACAGGATTGTGGCCCAGACTCGTGTGGAATAGCTTATAGGTCCTCTAAGATGCCAGGCTGCTTCCTTCAACTGGAAGGCCTTCACTGTACTCTAGTGATCCAGCTCCACCTCCTGCCCCACAGACCAGCACCAATCATGTCTCCTTATCTTTCAAAAACTCTTATCTTTCAAGACTTTACTCAAATGTGGCTACTTTGAAGTGTTTCTTGACCATGCCTCTTCCTCCTTTCCCCTCTCCCATCTTGAAGGCAGGACAGCCCTCAGAAAAGACATCTTCTTTCATGGGTCCTCCTTATTTAGACAGAATTCCGCAAGTGTCCATATTAATCATTTACATTTTTCATACCTTTAAATTGATTTTAATAAGCAGAGAACACATGCATATAGTATTGTTGTAGAAAATTAAAGTAATACAGATAAACCAAAAAGCATTCTTGATCTAGTTTTCCTAATCCTACACTGTTTGCTAATTAGACTATTATTCCAGGCTGTTTTTTCACTAACACATCTTGGAAATATTGCCTTGTAAGTGCATGCATATAGACCCATTTCTGTAGAGTATAATTGCCACAGAGTATTCCCTAGTATTGGTGCTCTGTCATTTACTTAACTCTTCTTCTATTAATGAATATTTTTTTTTCCTCCCAGTTATTTAAGCTGACAGGAGTTTCATCTCATTTCCATCTGGTATGTCATAATTCTCTCCCTTCTCTCCTAGTGTTTTGCAGTAACAAACAGTGCCCCAGTGAATATTGTTTTGTACACCTTCTTATGTATAAATGCCAAGGACTTATTTTGTGGAGATACCTAAAAGTAGAAATTCCGGATAGAAGATGTACATATTTAATTCTACATATTCTTGGCACATTTTTGTACTTGGTAGTTTTTTCTCTTCTCATACGTTGGTAAGAGTTCTTTGTATATTCTGAGGAATACTCCTCAGTCTGATATACAACACAAAGTGTGTATACATATTTTTCTCTAATCTTGCTTTAAAATTTGGTTTATTGTGTCTTTTGTCCTGTTTCATATTTTTATGTAGTGAATTTATTGTTTACGGTTTGCATCTGTCTTAGGAAGACTGTCCATATGCCAAGATTTACATATTTTTTTTTTTGTTTAGCAGTTTATATTACTTTGAATTTAGTTTTGTATATGTTAGAGGTTATTACCTACTTTTCTTTATTTTTCCAAATTGATAGTCAGTTGGCCCATTAATTCCTACCCCAAATTGAAATGCCATTTTTATTAACTAAGTTTCTAAATATAGAAATTCATGGGTCTGTTTCTGTACCTCGTATTAGGTTTTTCTTCATCTTATTGCTTATTTCTGGGTCAATACTACACTGTTCTAGTTATTAGAGCTTTATCATATATTTTGCTATCTAATAAGAAATCATTCTTTTTTTAGCTGTCTTCTACTAGATGTTTGATGGATGGGACTGAGTCATTTGTCTGAATTTCAAGACTTTTTATATAGTTCGCATCTGTGTATGTTAGATGATATAAATAAATAACCCAGAAGCTATTGGTGCTGCCCTTTGTATTTTCAGGATCTCTGAAAGTTTATGATAAAAATAACAGCTTTTCAGGTTTTTACTCCTTTGATAGCTTAGTACTTGGAATGAGTTATTTCATAGGAATCTTATTTATTCAGAACCAAATTAAATAATGCATATGTGATGTACAAAGCTCAAAAGGTACAAAAGAGAACAGTCAGGTCCCCTAGTTCTTAAAAGGCAGTGATATTACCAGTTCCTTATTTAACCTGCTAGAATGGTCGCGCATTATTCATCCTGTTCTGCAACTTGATGTTTTCATTTAACAATAACGTCTTGGAAATCATTCCATATCAGCACATATGCTGTTTTATAAAATGGCTGTGCTATGATTTACTTAACCTTATGGCAATTCATTTGTTTTAGTAGAATACCTTTCATATGTATACTTTGTGGCACATCTAGAATAAAAGTTCTGCCCATGAAATTGTTGGGTCGAAGGGTATTTAAAATTTCAGCTTTGATTTATATTAAATTGCCCTCTAAAAAATTCCTTGAAATGTCATGAATGAAGACCCTGATGTCACTTGCTACCAGGCTTCAGACTTGCTCAGACATGCCCAAGTACCACAGGGAACACCATAGAGGCCGTAGCTGGGAGCCCGGTAGAGGAAGTGAGTGGAAGTATGTGTGCATACACCCATGAATGTGTGTATGATATACATGACAGGAAGTTCAGGGAAGACCTGTAAGTCAATGAATTAGAGTCCTGCTTAAAGCTCTAGTGATGAGTAGAAGCATTAGTGGTTTGCATAAGGCTCTTTTACCTTTATTATTCATTAAAACTGGCAGTAAATAATAGGTTTGAATTTCACAGTCCTGATGCTAATCAAAGCACAGAGCATTTCTTAACATCATAAATTATTACCCTTACAATAGGAGCATAAAGGGAATTTGGTTTTATGAATTGCTAACTGGGACACTAGCCTCTGTTTGGCTCTTGGACTGACATAGAGGGAAGAGGGCTGGTAATCACATCACGAAACTGGAACACTGTCTTACAGGTTGGGTGGGGCACAGTTTACTCTCAGTTTCTTGTATCGTACCTACCTGAAGTTGGCTGGGATACCTGAAACAGCCCAGATTAAATAGGCAGTCATTGTCCACATTAGCAACAGCTCATGATGTTCAGAGGGAAAGAGATTTTTGTTTCTAAGTAGGAAGAGGGCTTTGCCTGTGGGGCAGGAGGCTATTTTTGCTACACCATCTTAGCAAGTTGGTGCTAGTTTTAGATTGTGTACCCTCCCCTCCCCACTTGATCTCATTTCCATCTGGTATGTCATATTTCTCTTCCTTCTCTCCACTCCTGCCCCCTACTAAGGTTTGCCTTTTTTGGGTGGATCTTTTCTTTCCTTGGTGTCTTTCTCCACACAAAGAAAACGCCAAGTTCGCCTCCCTTCCTTTTAGCATGATAGGGACAGAAAAAAAGAGGAACCTTTTATCTTTTTGCCTTTCTTTTCTTTCTTTCTCCTCTAGTATCTATCTATCTCCTTCCCCTATTTTTGTAGCTTTTGTGAACCCTGGTCATCCCTAGTGGGAAAGGCGGCATCTGTGCCCCTCTGCTTGACTCAGGTTTCCCTTCTCTGGGACGCCTCCCCAGTCCATCCCTGCTCTCTTCATTCCTTCAGTGACTTGTCTTGCTAGTCTGTTAGCTGTTTCTGGCCCACAGGATCCCTGCATGTCCCATACATTAGCTTTCAGTGCCTGCTTCAGCTGGCACTCTGAGTACAAGAGCTTAGAACCACCAAATCACCTGGAAAGAGAAAATGACTTTAAATAAAGCATTAGCCAAACACAATCATACTTTGTAACAAAAATTTATTAGGATTAAGTCAAATTAGAAAACTTCATGCTCCACCACTTGTCATATTTACCTGAAATGACAAAGTTATACTTAGCTTGAGTGTAAAACTTGTGCCCCAGAGATTCTGTTTGGAAAGCAAAAAAATAATTGATGCACATAGCAGTGTGCCTGATACCACCACAGTGAATGTTGTTTAAGGCCTAACAAACAGTGGTCAGCAAAGCATACATTACTTTTAAGCTTTGGGTCCAAGGAAGATGTCATTCCCTACCTCCTTCAAAAGCAGACTCATCATAGCCTGGGCACCTAGGCCTGGAGCCTATTTTTTCGAGTCTAATATGAACATCTGGATTTCAAGAGGTGCTAGGCTTGAGGTATCTTTATGGCTTAAAAGGCACAGGTCATGCAGCTGAATTAAAAGCTATCATGTTGGTCTCTGGAATGCAGGCCATGAGCCACGCCTTGTAAGGGGGAGACCTGAGGCCCTGTCCTTGGCTCCTCAGTGTAACCCACACATCATTGGCTCTGTTCCTCTCGCCCTGCTCCTGCACTGCTCATCAGCTGTGAATGCTGGAATTGGAGGACAGGTTGGGGCTCCTGCACAGTCTGCTGCCAGGTAGAGAGCAACACAGGCTGCAGAATCCTACCCTCCAGCATATCGCGGGGAGGGGGGGACCTGCTGCACAGCCAAGAAGTGACTCACATGCAGGCAAGGACGGGAAGGCTTGTTCTTCAGGCACAACGTGGTATGGGGAGAAGAAACCTGGTTTTCTTGGAATGGTCCTACTAAGCTTGAAAGTGGTGCTGCATTTAGGGCAGGGCACACCCAGCCATAGGCAACCCCTTTGAGCGATGGGAGAAGTAGCATAAGAAGGATGCCAAGAAGAACAATAGGTTCTTCAACTCAGTGTGGGCTCTGGGAAACCATCAGCAGTGGGTACGGAACACTTCTCTGGGCTCTGCCCTGGGGTCACTGAGAGCAAATGGGAGTCAAGTCCTCAAAATAAGAAACTTATCACTTACTAAATAGCTGGGCATTCCCTTCAGCTTAGGAGCAAAATGTTTACTCTCAGAAGCTTTCTTTTATTTTTAAACTCTCCTTAATGGAGGGAATAAAATCCAGAATAGAAGTGAAGGGCCTGGAGAGCCGCATTCGCAGCAGAAATGCCCTGAAGACCCAGCACAGCTGTCCCATCCTCCAGCAGCTAGACTCCTGATACCTCCATCCCCACCCCAGCCAATCCAGTAATCAGAATGGCTGCTGTCAAAAAACTAAATTCATTTGCATAATAGAGAGGGATAATAAAATCTCATTTCTTCAGGCACCAGAGGATCCATGTGACAAGGCTTTGATTCTCTCCAATTTATGCTCTTAATATGTTTTCCAGCCTCTCCCCTGTACTGCCTCATCAGCTTGGCTTGTATTCCTCAGTGAGTCTTGCATTACTTGTGATTACATCTGTACTCTTCATGCCAATTAATTCAACTGGGATTGACCCAAAGTTTGCTCAAGCTTGAGTTCATAGCCTCCCAGGCCGAGGTCTCCCTCATAAATGTTTTCCTTGCCTGGCGTCTGGGGTGAAGCTTTCTGGTCCAGACCTAGCCTTGCAGGAGGACTGCAGGGTGAGGAGGCTTGCTCCTGGTAATTTATGGCTAGTTCATCCTGGTTTACAATGCATTCCACATCATCCTCTTTTAGCTGTTCCTGGTTGGGAAAAGAGAGAGAGGTGTCACTTCATGATGAAGGCAGAAAACAATAGCAGTCCTACAATTTTTTTTTTTTTTTAAACAGAATGCATGTTTTCCTTTCTGTAACTGCCCTGTCTGGCCTTGGCTGATGTTTCTGCTGCAGGCATGGTACAGCCTTTCCCTGAGTCAGCATTGAATATCTGATGCTGTACAGCCATAAGGGGTCTCTAAGTCTGAGGTAAGAGGTGTTAAAGAGCATGGTACTTTCATTTCCTCTTTGGGTTAAGGATGTTTCCACCACTGGTATTAACTAGGGTTGACAGGAATTAGGAGTTAGCATAATCCTATGATCTCAGAATAGGGGAAGATTCTCATGTTGGTTTTGTAACATTCCTGCCTATCAAAAAATCCTTGAAACACAGTTATTGCTACTTTTTTTTTTTTTTTTTTTTTGAGACAGAGTCTCACTCTGTCATCCAGCCTAGAGTGCAGTGTTGCGATCTCAGCTTACTTCAACCTCTGGTCTCTGGGGTTCAAGTGATTCCCCTGCTTCAGCCTCGCGAGTAGCTGGGATTACAGGCATGTGCCACCATCACATCTGGCTAATTTTTGTATTTTTAGTAGAGACGGGGTTTTGCCATGTTGGTCAGGCTGGTCTTGAACTCCTGACTGCAAGTGATCCATTCACTTTGGTCTCCCAAAGTGCTGGGATTACAGGCGTCAGCCACCACGCCTGGCCTCCTGTTACATTTTACCTTAAAAGTGTGTCTTCTCAGCATATTTCTTGGGAAGAGTATCACAAGTCTAGAAATGGCTGGAAGTCACCATAGTGGATAATGCCAGAAGCTAACTGGATCTGGCTAATAATAATTTTTTCCATACAGAGGTTCCCTTGAAAGAATTAAGATCCCAACTCTTCCTCCACTGGCTTTGGGAAGGCCATACTAAACTACTTGTAGAATGGGCCCTTGCCGGGGGATTTTTAGGGCAGTGGTTTCCAACTTTCGCCTGTCCCAGGATCACATGGAGGGCTTGTTAAAATACAGATCATCGTTCAAGCTCAGGGTTTCTGAGGCGGGGCCTGAGAGTGTGCATTTCTAGCAAGTTCCCAAGTGAGGCTGCTGGTTTGGAGACTACTGTTTGAGAACCACTGCCTTAGGCTTCTGTGCCCTGAACACACCTGAGATAAGTTTTTGCCTGTGTACAGGGCTAGCCAGCTGGACACTTCTAAGGGTACTTGCAAACCTAAGACTGTGCTCTTCTCCAATTCCCTGACCTCTGATTTGTGAGTAATGATTCTAAGTGCCTCTCAGCATTTTTCATTCCACTCCCTTGAGCCATAAATCACAGGCCTAGTATTCAAAACCTCAAAACCTCAAAACACAGCAGTTTGTGAGGATGCTTCTTTTACATTTTCTAAGGTCATTTTATGGTTAAAAATATTGGTAACAATAAAAGAGAATAAGCCAACATCAGCAACAATTGACAAGAGAAATGCTTCCTAGTGCAGTGAATTTTTAAAAAATGCTTCCTCCTCAGGCCGGGCACGGTGGCTCATGCCTGTAATCCCAGCACTTTGGGAGGTCGAGGCAGGTGGATCACGAGGTCAGGAGATTGAGACCATCCTGGGTAAAATGGTGAAACCCTGTCTCTACTAAAAGTACAAAAAATTAGCTGGGTGTGGTGGCAGGCGCCTGTAGTCCCAGCTACTCGGGAGGCCGAGGCAGGAGAATGGCATGAACCCGGGAGGCGGAGCTTGCAGTGAGCTGAGATCACGCCACTGCACTCCAGCCTGGGCAACAGAGCAAGACTCCGTCTCAAAAAAAAAAAAAAAAAAAAAAAAAGCTTCCTCCTCAATCCTGCAAGTAGCAGGCTTTTTGAGGTTCCTGGGCTCATCGATATTCACCAAGTCTGTCCCACAAGGGATATTCCCTCACCCTAGAGGCCTGAGATTTACTTACCCCATAGGCTTGAGGACTGGTAAGCAGCCTGGAAATCGGACCACACCATTCAGGTAATGTTGTAGTCAGCGGAGGACCAGAGTGGGTTAAAATTGGTTTCAGATACCTGGGAGGCCTGTTAAGGAATACTTGTCAACAGGGAGTTAGGATTTAGGAATCTTACGCTGCACAAACCTTTGTATGCTGAGACAGCTACGTTTGCCTTTAAATCCCCTACTCCCTCACTTAGGAAGAAATTTGCCCTGCAAAAATTGCTGTTTATAATCTTTGTTACACATACTTTTCCAGCCTTCCTGATAGCCTTTATTCATGAAGAAATGGTGGATGGCCCATGCTGCATCAGAAGTGTAAATGTGCTCTTCCCATCCTATCCCCAACTCAATGTCTCATTTGCTTAGAGAATGCATTCTTAAGAATTACCTTAAAGGATAACATAAAAGATTGTATTTTCTTAAAACTGTACACACGCGTAGCTTAAACTGCCAGTAAGTTTTACAAAGATGCAAGAGGTATTTTATAAAATGTTCAGTTATTTTAGAGCTAGGTAGTGAACATAGATTGTTTTCCAAAATACTTACTTTTTCACTATTCAACAGTCACTTTAAACTTCATACATCAATGGATTTCTATACAAAATTATGTAAATAAGTCGGTGCTGGGTTTATTCTGTTGTCTAGCACCTGTCTTTCTCATCTCCTCATTCCAAAGTGCTCTAACAAGAGAAAAACTTGTTCATCTAAAGCCATTGTTTCCTCCAATCTATCAATAATGAAATCCCCAGAGCTGCCTCAGGTTGCCTTATTTTAGTTTTTTTGCTCAAAGGAAAGCAGTGGAATTATTTCAGCATTCCATCAGAAATGACTTTTAAGCTTTATATTACTTCCTCTGCTGGAGAGTATTTCACTTCATCAACTTTCCAAAAAGCTATAGTAAATAGGGAAAGGGAAAAAATGGAGAGGAGTTATCATTGGTTGGATCATGAAGATCCGCAGCTGTGCTCAGGCACTCAGGGCATGAGATGATCTTGGTGATGCCTCTGGTGGAGTCCATCCATAGCTGGATAATTCACATGCCATTCTCATGATACCCTGAGCATGTGGGCATAGAGGGAAGATGCAGCCCAGTGGAGGCTAAAGAATCTGGTACTTCTGGCTTGATGTATTTGTCACCAAAGCAGGCCATGCACCTGAACGAAGCCTTGTTATGATGCGAGGAGAGTGACTGGGAAGATGTTAGGAGGGCCTGCAATTCCAATTGCAAATAGAAAAGTTGATCCCTCCTTTCAGATGGGCAGCTGTTGTGCCCAGTTAGGTGAAGATATTAAAGTTCAGAGCCTGGTATTTGGTGTAATATCTTGTAAATATATCTACAAATCTGAAAAGCTCTTGATGTTCTTTTAATTTTCATTAGTGTTATTTCTTTCATTTTATGTATGAAGGAATTGAGGCCTAGAGATATAATTTTAAATAATCCAAAGGCTCCCTCTGCTATTTGAATCCTCCAATATCACCCCTAGAAGACAATTCTCAGGGCAGGGTCAGGGTTTGCAACCAGCTGGGTTTTCTGGAGAGCAAAGCACAAGATCTCGCCCCTGCTGGGGAGCTGCAGACTCAGGCTGGGGTACGTGATCTTTCTAGGGTTTACAGTAGGTATGGGTCAATAAAAATGTCTTTATGGAGGTGAGGTGGACAAGATATATGTACAACTGGAGTACAAATTAAAAAAAATCCAGCCAATTTTATTTCCAGGTGGAAGGATGGAAAAGTGACAGCAAGTAAGCAACATTTTTAGTGATGTCATGTTAAAAGAAAAAAAAAAGTTTGTCAAGGCTCTGAGCTTGAAAGAGGCCTGAGCAACTTCTGCTGAGAGGCTCAGCATACTGAAAAAGCCAAAATAATGTTACAAAAGTAAAATATAAGTTTAGGATTGTGTAATGAACACCCTTAAAAAATCCTGATGAGGTTATTATCTCTTTAAATCTATGCGTAGTAGTGCTCCTTTATTTATGGTTTGACTTTTTATGGTTTTAGTTACCCATGGTCAACCACAGTCCAAAAAAATTAAATGGAAAATCCAGAAATAATTCACAAGTTTTAAATCGTGTGCCATTCTGAGTTGAGTGATATCTCGCACTGTCCATTCCATCCCACATGGGACATGAATCATCCCTTTGTGCAGCATACACATACTGTCTACACTACTTGCCCCCTAGTCACTTAGTAGCCATTGTGGTTATCAGATCGAAAAAGCATAGTGTATACAGAGTTTAGCATATGTGAGGTTTCAGGCATCCATGGGGGTCAGGGAACATATCCCCAGCAGATAAGGGGGTACAACTATATAATACTATTGGAGTAAATGCTTAAAGGCTAAATGTGTAGCTTTTAGTGAGTATGAGGACTAAACTGAACAGTATCACTTGGCTCCCTCTGTGCAGGCTCCAGGATTTTGACTCAGACCCAGGCATAAATGCCAGCCCTGCCACTTTACTGACCATATGGCCTAGTTACTTATCCTCTGAGCCTCAGGCTTTGTTGTGAATATTGACTGAAATAACATATGTAGAAATGGTTTTAAACCTTGATATGCTATAAAAATGCTACTTACTTAAAAAACTGTCTGAGTAATGTTTTCTGGAGAAACCGGTGTCTCATTGTTCGATAATGATGGGAAAACGATACTGAAGGTAGAGATAAGAGCTTTGTGCTCCAGTCATTTGGTGTAGCACCCAGATTCATGGACTACTAAGTGAATGGAAATTTTAAGGTGGTTCTATACCCCTAAACAGCTATTTTTGTTAAACTTTATTGTTCAGGGGGCTAGCATGAGGTGGTGAGTGAGAGGTGGGTAGAATTAGTTGATGTAAGACTCTCCTGGGAATTACGTGGCATCATTTTGCCTGTCCTGGTATCCAAGTAGCTGTGAGTCAACTGAGGTATACTCTCTGTGGCTGTGAATGGGATACACAGAGTGTGGTCTGCAGCCATATCAAATGTGGAGCTGAGTCTGTTCTTCAGCATCTTGGTTTGCCCAGTGCTTGCTATATATTATGTGCACAATGGATGTTTGGATTTAGAATATAGGAAAATATTCAGGGGTGTATGAGAGATGGAAGTAGATTCAGAGGAACGGTGCCAGGGAAGAATGAAGGGGCAGATTACAGCCAACAAATGAGTTTTCTGAGTGCTAGAAACCTAAGAAAGGGGAAATCAAAGTTGGACTACTTGGGCCTGAGTTATCAGGTGGAGGGGACCTTAGGAAGAGTGGTAGTGGCATAAAATAAGGTGATTTAAAAAACCGTTTTCTTTCACTCACTCATTCATTTGTTCCATCATACACTCACAGGTTTTTGTTTCATGTGCCAAGCTAGTGAGGAACAGAGACAAGGCACCCATACAAGGAAAGGAACCATTACATTACAGAATAGAAAATTCCCTTTTCTCGAAACTGTGGTCTCCTGAAGGCAGTCCCCTTCACCTGGATACAGTGTGGCACTTCTTAGATACTTATGAAATAGTAGTTGAATTAATGAAGGCAACAGGCTCAGAGAAGGTAAATAAATTGCTCAATGGAAACTGCTGATTAGTTTACAGCAGAGCTAGGCCTGAATTCAGGGGCTCTTCTACCACACTGAGCTATCCTTCTTCTGTTACGAAGACACTGAGTAACGGGACTTGCCTAATTGGATAACCAATTTGGAATTGGGGACTTCCTGAGTTCTTCATTGCTGAGCAATGTCTGGAAAGTGGCTGGATCTCCAGGGTTACCTGAATTATTAAAAGGTAAGAAAACTCTTCTATCTATTAAAAAAAACCCAACGGCAGATTTTGCAAAATGTGTTATTTTTCTCATCAGCTTCCAGAATGGGGAGGGAGGTTCCCCATTGGGTATTTTTAATATGACTAGTTTTGCTTCTCTAATAAGCTAGAAATGCATTGAGACAAAAAATGTTCAGCTCTTGGGGAAAAACAATGACTTTTCTCATCTTTAAAGGGCATAAGTTTGAGAATAGCAGTATGGTTCAGGAGACATAAGTAAAAGCTGGAACTCTACCCAGAATTTAACTTGCGTGAAATAGGAAAGACAGTTAGCAAGTGCATTTTCTCCTTTGGTCTGGGCTAACAGCAGGTCCAGAGCTAAATTTGGTGTTTAACTGAATAATATCCAAAATACCTGGTGACATTGATTGATCTTTTGTTGTTGTTTACTTTAAATCATCATGTTTTGTCCATTGTATGTTGCTAAAACCAATGGGTACACAGCTTAAGCCTATGGCTTGTATGATGTGGCTTTGCATAGGTCAGTGAGAAGCAAAAACCCCAACGATCCAGCTCCACAAATGAGCACCTGCTCCTTTGAAGGACTAAACTCCATTGCACCTATGTGGACTGAATGTCTGCATCCCCCCACCCTCTAACATAGCTAGGGTTATGTTGAAGCCCTAGCCCCAGTGTGATATTTGGAGATGGGGCCTTTGGGAGCTAATCAGGGTGGGGCCCTTATGATGGAATTAATACCCTTATAAGAAGAGATGCTAGGGAGTTTGTTCTCTCTCTCCCTCTTCCCACCTTCCACAAAGAAGAGATCATGTGAGACCATAGCAAGAAGGCAGCCATCTGCAAGCCAGGAAGACAGCCCTCACCAAGACCTGACCACTCTATTCTTCCAGCCTCCAAAACTGAGAAAATTTCTCTTGTTTAAACCACCCAAGCTATGGTATTTTGTTATGGCAGCCCAAGTAGACTAAGACATCACTTATCTTGGGCCCTCTTTAAAAATCTTTACTTTTAGAACCCTGTGGAGCTGTGTTCTATTTTTCTCTGAACTTGCCTCATCATGAAAATCATCTAGAACGTTTGTTAAAAATTCAGATTTTAAAGACCTCTCTTGGAGATTCTGATTCAGCAGATCTGGGAAGTAAACGAAGACACTGAATTTTCAGCAATCATCCCAGGTGACTGATCAAGTGAATTTGGAATTCTCTGGAGTATTGCCCTCCCATATGAGATTCAAATCTTAAATAGTAGACAATGTTCTTTTTGTCTCCCTATGTCCATAAGCCATCATTTTTAGGGTGAGGACAGGTATAAGGTAAGCCATAATCCCATTTGTCTCTGAACCCAGACATATATAATGGTCTCTGCCAGTTGTTGCATCTTGTCTAAGGGCTGGGATAGATACTTGACTCAACAAAATGAATACTCAATGTTATACTTGGGAGTGGATTAACAAATGATCATATCTCAGCTTGTGGAAGAAGACTTTTTGCCCACTGGGAGCATTTGCAAGTGTTTATAGACTTGATAAATGGTCTTGTTATAAGGGTAAAATGCTTGTCAGCACACAGCTGTGTGAAGAAGGAAAGCACATTTATCTCCATATCTCCATTCAGGAATACTGTACCCTACACCCTTTCATTGATATAGCATTTCCATATGTCTTATTTTCTCTTTACACTTGTAATTGGGTACTATAATCCCATTTTACAGATCAAGAAATCTGTAAACAGATGGCTTTTCTATTCCCTTCTATTCTTACTAAGATCTGGACACTAAAGATTGCTACATACTGTGGGGTGCTGGCAAATGGTTTAACAATTGACTCTCTGTTGGGGAAGAAAGGCTGGATTTGTAGCATTTCCCAATTTCCATGGTGTATAAATACTCCCACTACGGCTAATTTCAAGCTACTGACACAAAGTTACTGACTCTGGAGTTGAAAAAAGTGTACAAACTGTTGGTGTGAACTGGCTTCACCATGCCACTGGTTATAGATCTCATGAGTTCTTATGGATATTTCCAATTCAAATATTTCTGTTTTTCAAGGACACAAAGAATCAAATGAGAATATTCCACAATGATTCATTTGCTTTCTCCTAGATCACAGACACAACCATCTCAGAATAATACTGATAATGCTACCATAACAATTACCTAAAACATTAAAATATTTTTGCCATATCCTTGCATTCTGACCTCCCATTTACAAAACTCCTGCAGTATAACTATAGATGGTTGTCATATATTTATATTGTCTGGACATATAGCCATTACAGTCTATATTGTTTCCCTCTTAACTATCATTTAGTCCTAGCTAAATGATCAGGTGACTACTGATCTCATGCCTACCTCCAGGCCTTTTGTCAATTTCTCTCTAGTCACTTTGATTGTCTGAAGCTTGTTCTTCAGTAGAGTTCTCAGCAAGGGTTCATGGGAACAATATTCTGAGGTCTTGTATGTTGATAATAGTTCGTGCCTATTTTGAAAGTCATTTTGCTGGAAATAAAAGCATTGGCTTATACTTTGAGCACATTAAATGTATTTTATTTCTTTTGACATGCAAAGTTGTTCCTGAAAAGTTTAATGAACTTGTGGAAACTTTCTTTCTACCACAAATCACATGCTTCCCCCTGCCCCCAAGATGCCCAAAGGACTTTTTCTTTAAAGTTCATTAATTTTGTTAAAACTTATCTAATGTCGGTTGTTCTAGGTTGATGTCTCAGGTACATTGTGTGCTCTTTCAATGTATAGTTCCAAGGGTGTTATTTCAAGCTCGTTTTTAGGAGCATTCTATTTCCTTGCTTTGCGTTTCTTCTTTAGGGACTCCTATTCTCTAGATGTTCAATTTCTTAATCTTCAATATGTGTCACTTTCTCTTGAATTATTTTTATTTCTGATTTTTTTCTTCCCCTTCACCTGGTATTTCTCTTAAGATATCAATTGTGTTTATTCACTTTCCTATTCCTTCTAATTTAGACTTGATTTATTAAATGACTTTTTCTATTTCTAGAGTTTGTTTTTCTAATTCTTTCATGTCTTGTATCATTTTCTTAGTCTCTTAACTTGTTTGATGTAATATGTTATAATTTTGATTTGTTTTATGAGCATGTCTTTCCGGCATGTTTTCATTGTTTGTAGGAACATTATTCTATTCCACACCCTCATTTTTCTTATAATAGCTCTGTTATAGGAACTGACCTCTATTCGTTTCTATTATTCACTTTTACGTGAAATTCATTTTCCTAAGAGAATGAGGCAGGATTTAGAAAACTTTCTAAGCTTCAGAGTTCTCTCTTCGGTTGTTTTTTCACAGTGTGAAATATGGCGGTTTGCATGATGAGCTTTCCTGCTGTTTCCCTCCCCAGCTGATCTAGACCTAGTCTGTCTTTCCCTTGTCTCTACTGACCCTATCCTGCTCAATTCTAATTCCTCCAGGCAGTTTCTCCTCAGTATAGGGCCCTGTCCTAGGAGGGAGCCCATGTGGATCCATTTTGAAAGCTCTCAGGGGCCTTGACGACTCCAGCCTCTGTCTACCTTACTGAGACCATCTAGTTACTACTGTTAGAGAATGTGATAGCCCAACTCCAGTTCTAAGGATGTTTTCAAAAACATTCCAACTATACTTTTCAGGGAATACCGTTGACTAATCTTCAGGTCCATCCGATGCTACTCCATTGCTTCCTTTTTCCTGCTGCATATACTTGTGGTATTGGTGGTTTGTCTCTGCCCACTTGTAATTTTAGATTTGCTGTAAATGTGTCTCTGGGTTTTTGGTTTTGTTATTTAATTGTTCTGCCTGTTTCTATGTAGGGATTTGGAGGGATTGAAAGATTATGCTTGTGATGTCAGTGCCATCTTCTAGGAATTGCATTTTATCTGATCTTCTATCTTTGTTGATTAGTAAAGTGTCTAGCATATTACCAAGGAATAGGAGAAACATGATCTAGGTAGATTTTGATATTGTTTTCTGTAGGGGCTTCTTAAGCTGACTAGGAACTGTCCATGAGTCAAACAATGTAGCTTAGAATTATCAAAATGAACAACCTATATCACAACTCCTATATGAGTCAGATGATATCTGAAACCATGGTTCTTAACCTTCCCTGGCTGTAGAGTTTTGTCTAAAAAAAAAAACCTCCAAAAAAACTGCCTACATGCATGTTATTTGCATACAATTTCACATGACATTTCAGAGAGTTTTCAGATGCCTTGAAACCCATCCATAAACCCCTAGAGACCTGAGTTAGGAAACTCTGGTCAGGGATGATTAAGTATTAATAATGAGGGCAGATTAAAGGCTGATAAAGTGGTATGCTTAGTATCTTAGTGGTATTGGGAGTTGGTTTTAGCAATGATATCTATAGCATCTACCTATCAAATGTTAAGATAACTCTACTTGGCTCCTCAGAGCCAGCCAGGCAATCAAGGGACAGAGAAAGGGCAGTGGAGTTGGTTGGAAAAGTTAAAGGAAAGAAAGTGGTTCTAGGATACCAAAGCAACCAGCTTAAGTAGGGCAGATGGACACAAGATAAACAAGGGGCCATATTGGAATCATGAGGCTGGAGGAAACCTGAGAGTTCATCTGATCTATATCCTTGGATCTTAATACAGAAGAAAGTCGAAACCCAGTGTTTCCCTAAGTGTAGTCTCCCGACCAGCTGCATCAGAATTTCCTCTTGTGCTTGTTAAATACCATTCCTGGGGCCTTGAAGCTAATATCCTTGGGCAGGACCTAGTAATCTGCATTTCAACAATGCTCTGAAAACCACTGGAGCAGAATGGTATCTGGTCTCTTGAAAGGCTCTGAGTTGGGAAGTGTTGCATCTATGAACTGCATAGTGCCATGGTAACAATATAAATTTTACCACTATTAGGTCTTTATAACTTTTCCCTTTGGACACACAGATCAAAAGATTTCCAGGGATCTTTGCCACCTACCAGATACAGATAAAATCCATTTGTGCCATATGGATAGTGTTACATTTGGCTCAAGTTGTTTTGAAAGAAAACATTTCTGGCGAAGAATGCTGCTGCCACTTGCATAGAGTGAGCCTTGGCTTTTAGTGGCTTTCTGGTTAGAGGAAGTGCCACCAGACCTAGATGCCCTCTGTTAGCTTGTGGTGACTTTGACAACAGGCCTTTGAAGGTCACTTCCCTGACAATTTGTTGGAGAAATGAACTCTGAGAAGCAACTGTGCTCCTCCGTTCCAAGTCTTCTCTCTGGTTTGGGGAAAAATTTCCACTTGATTTCTGCTCCCAACACTGACTGGATGTAGTCCTATAAGCACTAGAGTTTTAGCTAGCTACCCCAGAGCTCACACTTAAGATAAGGGTGGCAGCTCATCCCATACTCCCTGGGGCTGGGTCCCCCGCTTGGCTCCCAAAATGGAGTGTGTGCCTGAGAATGATGGTATCCAGCTTCATCCATGTCCGTGCAGAGGACATGAACTCATGGGCAAGGATCCCAGGGAGATGCATAATCATCTCCTGCCTCTGAAAAGATAGGAACCATTATGTCTGCACCAGCAACTGCAGTGTAGGCCCCACAGGTTCGGATTCTCAGAGCACTAAGTCAAAGAGGAAACTACCTTCAGTGCTTACACGGGGAGGAAGACGGCAAACACAAAACGCAAAGGGCTGGGGGTCTAGCTGCTGTGACTGCTGCTCAGTTTGAGCCAAAGTCTTCAAAGCTTTATGCCTAGATTTTTCTCATTACTAAGGAGATGCTAGATGCTGTGTTAGATCTGGTTTGGTAATTATTTGGAGATTGTAATTATTTTGTCTATTAGTTTCATAGGGCTGCCATAACAAAGTACACAAACTGAGTGACTTAAAACTGCAAATTTATTGTCTCAGTTCTAGAGGCTAAATCCAATATTTCTGAAGGCTCTGAGGCCAGCAATCCTTGGTGTTCCCTGGCTGGTAGACGCATCGCTCCAATCTCTATTTCTGTCTTCACAGGGTGTTCTATGTCTTGACATGATCACCTTCTTACAAGCAAACCAGTGATGTCAGCTTAGGGGCCCGCCCTGTTCCAGCACGACCTTGTCTTAACTACATATATAAGTGAACCTATTTGCAAATAAGGTTGCATTTGAGGTACTGGGGGTTAGGACTTCAACATGCCTTTGTTGGAAGAAACAGTTCAGCTCAGAACACCTTGCTACTTCTAAGTAATCCCAAGTTTTCTGTATTTTTTTTAATTGTAGCAGTTAAAAGACAAGCTGAGTTTGAAGCATAGCTCTGTACTTATTATCTACAAGTAGGCAAACTTCCTGAGCTCTTTGACCACAAAAAATGGAACTAACTAACAGGAGTGGCCTCATACAGGAGAAGATATACTTTCTAGCACAGTTCTGGGCACATAATAAGCATTCTATAAACGTTAGCTAACATTTTTTTCACTGTGTCCCTTGAGTTACAGGTTTCAGAGATATATTTCAACCATCCCAAGTCAATTTACTAATATAACACCTTCCACATGCCCTGCAGTGTTCATAACATTCTTCTTCTGGCTTCTGGAGCCCTAGGAAAAATATTGCCAAGTTTTTCCCTGAAGGTTTGCTTCTCTTCTCAGAGCAGTGCCCCACATAGAGGTACCAGGGAGGCACTGCTCATTGTTTCATGACTGATGTCACAGTTTCACAGCAAGATTTCAAGTGAGAACTTACACAATTAGGGTCCTGCCATAGGAATGACCCATGTTTCCACACAAGTGAGGTGTTTACTTAGAAGGTGGGTGTCTTCATGTTGGGCATCAGATTTTTAAATTTTTTTATTACACTTTAAGTTCTGGGATTCATGTGCAGAATGTGCAGGCTACATAGGTATACACGTGCCATGGTGGTTTGCTGCATCCATCAACCCGTTATCTACATTAGGTATTTCTCCTAATGCTATCCCTCCCCTAAATCCCCCACCACTCAACGGGCCCCAGTGTGTGATGTTCCCCTCCCTGGGTCCATGTGTTCCCATTGTTCAGCTCCCACTTATGAGTGAGAACATGCGGTGTTTGGTTTTCTGTTCCTATGTTAGTTTGCTGAGAATGATGCTGTTCAGCTTCATCCATGTCCCTGCAAAGGACATGAACTCATCCTTTTTTATGGCTGCGTAGTATTTCATGGTATATATGGGGCATTAGATTTTTAATGTCACCTTAGAGCAGCCTTTGTTTTTATTTAAGAAAAAAAACAGGGTCTTGCTCTGTCACTAGGCTGGAGTCCAGTGACAATCATGGCTCACTGCAGCCTCGACCTCCTGAGCTCAAGCAATCCTCCCCCCTCAGCCTCTCGAGTAGCTGGGACTACAGGCATGTGCCATGATACCCAGTGAATTTTTAATTTTTTTTGTAGGGACAGGGTTTTGTCATGTTGCCCAGGCTGGTCTCGAACTCCTGTGCTCAAGCAATTCTCCCGCCTTAGCCTCCCAAGGTGCTGGGATTATAGGCATGAGTCACCAGGGCCTGCCTAGAACTCCCCTTTCTTATGTTTGTTTCTCCGGTCCCTGGGTGTTCTTGAGGCCACCTTCTAACTTTCCCAAACTCTATGGACTCCTGGCCATTTAGCAAATTCGTTAGAATGCATGCCCTGCAGCTCTTTTAGGGAACAAAATGAATACACACACACTTCCCACCCCAGCAATGTTGACTGTAACCCATTGAGTTTGTTATACGAATCCAGGTATGTAACACTGGGTTATTTTTGAGCTATGGAATGAAGACTGTTCAGGAGACTTCAGAAACTTATTTTCTTTGAGCAGACACAAGGAGAGCCCTTTGTCTTTATAGGGTCACATGTCACAAATCTCTTCTCCTCCTAGACATACTTTTTTCCTCAGATGTAGTCCCTTTGAAGCCTTTTTAAAACATCTGGCCTCTACCTAGAACTACATTTTTTTTTTTTTTTTTTTTTTTGAGGTGGAGTTTCACTTGATTTTGCCCAGGCTGGCGAGTGCAGTGGTGCCATCTTGGCTCACTGCAACCTCTGCCCCCAAGTTCAAGCGATTCTCCTGCCTCAGCCTCCCCAGTAGCTAGAATTACAGGCTCCCGCTGCCATGCCCAGCTAATTTTTGTATTTTTTTAGTAGAGACAGGGTTTCACTATGTTGGACAGGCTGGTCTCGAACTCCTGACCTCAGGTGACCTGCCTGCCTTGGCCTCCCAAAGTGCTAGAATTACAGGCATGAGCTACCGCGCCTAGCCAGAAATACATTTTACAATTGTTACTTAGTACATGCCTCAACATTTTCTCAACCACACACATATAACTCTAAAATCCTTCTGTGATGCACTTAGATATATTCTGTTCCATTCCATTTGTCTTCTACTCTGTTTATACTGGACATTGCTAGCTAGTATCTGCCAATATCCAGCTCTCTTCTTTCAGGTGCCTGAAGTAGGTGCGGCTCTAGGACTAATTCTGGCCAATGTGCTATGGTTATAAAGGGATAGCATCACTTCTACACTGAAACACAGGAAGCCAGCAGGCTGACCCTCTCCCTGTTACAGTGACCCAGGGAGGCCTCCGGTGAAGGTGGTAAAGCCACAGATCAGAGCTGTTTGCATCACTAAGTTGCTACATGGAGGACATTTGCCCTAGAGAATCACCACATCCTTAGCAGCCTTTGAGAGAAAATAAAACTTTGCTTGATGAGCCACTAAGAGTTTAGAAATGTTTACCACAGTGTAGTCTAACCTATTCTAATACAGTATTCTATTTCATTAAAAAAAATGCTGGTTCTGAGTTACCTAAATGATTCCATGACCCATTATGGGTAGTCACATACAGTTTAAAAATCATTCTCCCACAGAATTGGCCACATCTGTAGCACCAAAGTGGAGACAGGGAGCACCACAGAAGACGGAGAGCACATACTAGCACTGCCTTCCCTCAGGGTCCCAACTCTTTGGGATGAGTTGACTTGAGGACTACACAGTGTGTGTGACTACAGAGAGTTAGATTGCAAATGCTTTGGCAGGGGAGGCAGCAGGGACTAGTCCAAAACTGAGTGGTGGACTTTAGATCAAGATTCAGGCCTCATGGATCCTGTGTTTTGTCAATAGGCCTATGTGCCTTGAGAATCCAGACTACAAGTGCATCCTACTTTTATTAAAAGAAACTGCAGTACAAAGGCATGATTGCTGCTACTTTGCTCAAGTGGTTGAGATCAGAGGCCTCCATCACGGTTACGTCCTTGCTAGATACTAGAACTGCACTGTCCTCCACTGATCCTGCCCCACTTACCTTTCCTATCTCATTCCCCACACCGTTTCACAAACTTTAGTTTCTGATAAAGGGGAATCAGGCTCAATGTCACTTATGTTTCACTATCTCTCTGGGCCTTTGCAAATGCTGTTCCCTCCATTTGGACAGCTTTTCCTTTCAGCTTGGCACTTGGAAATCCTAAATCCATTCAATATAGCTCTACTGTCATTGCCTGTGAAGTACTATTGATCTTTTAGTTACCACTCTCTTAGGACTTGTCACTCTCTCTTACATTCTAATTATTCAAGTACAGTTCTCTTCCTGTTGCACTTTGAACCAGAGTTGCTTCTCTTACCTTTATTCATGGTGGGGTTCCACATCAGCAATAACCACAACACATACCCCCCCAAACCCACAACCCACTCAGAAAAATAAGATTTACTAAGGTTGACCTGGAAGGCCTTTCTAGACTATTGAGTTTCCAATACCCACCAAATACTTTACAGACTTTTATCTTTGCATGTTTTGTTCCTATTACCAGAAATGTCCTTCTTCACTTTGTCTTTCTGGGAAGCCCCATTTATGCTTGAAGCCTGTTGCATAGATTGCTACTTACCTACTCAATATCCAGTCTCCCTCTCCTCCTTACAATATAAGCCTGAATCTATGGAGGTGTTCTATTTCCTCAGAATGGGTGGCCAATGAAATAGAAGTTCTTGAGTGGAATTCTAGAGAAGCCTCTCAGAGCATCAATTCTGCCCTTTCTGCCTTCCTGTCTGGAATTGTAATGGTAATGGACTCTCTGGAGCTCCAGCAGCCATTTTGGGCCCAAGAAGCAAACTTGAGGATAGAAGCTATATAAAAAGATAAAGAAGAAAGATAGGACTGTGGTGGCATCATGGAGCTCTGTTAACCATACATAGATTGTCTAATACCAGACTTCTTTTAGTGAGATTAAACACCACTATTTTCATTAATCCATGGTTATTTGGATTTTCCTGTTATACATAGTCAGACATAATCCTAATGGATACTGGATCCAGGACCCAATTCAAATAGTACCTCTTCTTTGTCACTATTCCTGTGACAAACACAGGAATTTCTTCACTGGGGTTTCCACAGACCTTTCTGTTTCCATTGATTATATCAGAATTATTTGACTATATATCTCCTCTCTTGTTAGACTGTGAGCTCCTTGAGGGAGGGGCAAGTCTCTTTCCTCTTTGTTTCCACAAATGCTTAATGCCCAGTAGGCAGAAATGAGTCTCCTCAATGTTTGTTGAATTGAGACTTGAAAGGGATTTAGGGCTTTATGTTAACATACAAATTCTTCTGGGAAAGGTATTATCTGAAACCTCCACCTTATTTTGGACTTAGTTGATAGTAATATAGTCAGGAAATGGCACAAGACGGTGGCCTTAGGGACAGGGGTGTAGGAGACGGGTGGGCACTGGGCTGGACACTGGAAGGAAAGGTGGGAAAAACAGCAGCCATGGATCTCAGCCTGTCTGGATTTCCCTAGGGCAGTTCTTGTTTGCCCTTATACTTTCCTGTATATACAATCTCACTCCCCCTGGAAAGCCCTAGAGGAGACTGCCTGCACTAGAAATGCTTTACATTGCCCTCCAGCCTCACTGAGAGGCAAAGCTGCTCTCCTGAGACTGGGTATCACAGATAACTGGCTCCTCAGGCATATCTGTGAGTCTCTCCTGCAAGCCCCAACCCTGTCCCCTTGGTCCTCCCAAACCACTTTGGAAGGGTGCGTCACTCTTGAGTTGCAAGATTAAATGAATGTGTGTTTGGATAAGATGGTTTCAGGCCCAAGATCAAAGCCTTCACTGGCTGAGGTCTAGACCCCTTTCAGAGTGAGTATAAAACCTCCCTTTGGGGTGAATTATGAGTGCAAACGGAAAGTCCTGCCCATATCCACCATATCAACACATCTTCTCAGGAGTAGAGCTCAGATGGCTCCTTGTAAACTGGCATGGCTGAGAAAATGGAAAGATGTACTTTCTATTAAAACCACTCAAGTTTTATTGGCACGAACAGGTATGATCCTTTGGTTAAATAAAACCACTAGAGAGCAAATTAAACCATGACTCATGATATGATCATTCTCTCCTTGTAAAAATAATGTTTTGGTAGTTTGTTGTGTGTCCACTTTAATAAATAGTTCCAGGACCTTTTTTTTTTTTTTAATTTGGTAAGTCACAGATCCAGATTTAAGCCAAACCCGTGGCAGGAGCTGTCCTGCTTGCCTTGCCACAGAAAAGCAAGAGAAAGCATCGAGTCGTTATACTATTTCACCCTCCTAAATCACACCTTCCATTTACTTACGATTATTTACCATTGCTTTGTAACTGTGAACAGGCAGCTGAGTGGAGCTGGAAGTCTATTCATTCTTTAAAGTGACATAAAGTGGCACTTGGAGTCCCAAATGATAATTGTTCTTTTCTCCTTGTTAATATCCAACTGCTGTTAGGAGTTCTGTGAAAGAAGATTCATTTAATGCCAGCTCCAGAAATTTCTGTGGGATTTGGCCCTTTCTATTTTTTTTTTTTTTTGAAACCAAATTTGAAATCACCCTCAGGAATTGGGAAGGCTGAATTGATTGTGACCTTCAGCCAGAATTCGTCTCTAAATATTTTAGCAGGATGGAGAATTTTCCCTCATTTATATCCCACTACTACCGTAGTGGCCATGGGTGGGAAGTATTCTAAAATATAATATAATATAATACCAGTTTCTAAAATATAATTTCTTTGTAGACATTTTTAACTCAACCTGAGTCTTAGGAAACTAGAATTTAGAAAGGAAACTGGATCTTATGAGATTTCCACTTCAACCTAATAGTACCTCAGTGTCTAAACATTCTCCTAATCATTTAAATACTTTTTCAAAAAACTTGAAGTCTTATGGGAACCAGCCTGCAATGCTGGGAGGGTCCCTGCTGTTCAGTCACGTGTTCAGGGGCTTCCCCTACCCCACAATGAAGTCGTCGTTTATGGGTAATCTTCCAAGCCCAGCAATACTTATGACAAAATGATACAGACAGCTCTATATGAAGTTTCAAATACCTTTGATATTCCTATTGATATATCACAAATGGGGCTAGGGAAGGTAAATATGTGCTGATATCAATGGTTCTTTCCACACTATTCCATCCATACTATGGATGAGCTCCTGCTATTCTTGTCCCCAAAGTCTATTCAACTCTCTGATGTTCTGGCTCAAAACTATACTATATATTTTTAAATCTAGGATACATGTGCAGAACGTCAGGTTTGTCACATAGGTACACACGTGCCATGGTGGTTTGCTGCTCCCATCAACCTGTCTTTTACATTAGGTATCTCTCCTAATGCTAGCCCTCTCCTAGCCCCCCACACCCCAACAGGCCCTGGTGTGTGATGTTCCCTGCCCTGTGTCCATGTGTTCTCATTAGAACTACACTATTAATGGTGTCTGGCATTTGTATTGGAAGCTCTGTGCTAAGTACTTTACATGAAAAATCTCCTTTAATCCTAGGAGATAGTTTTATCATTATCCTCATTTTATGGGTCTGGAAACTGAGGCATGGGGAGGCAAAGGAGCCAGCCATGGCTACATAAGTATGAAGTGGTGAAGCCAGGATGTGAACATAGGCTGCAGCACTGTAGTCTAACATGCCCCCTCTTTAACTCTGGAGCTCAGTGCAGCATGATCCCTTCCCTAGGCTTGAAAAGAGTTTACAGAGCCTCCTCTGAGAAAAGACCTCCACTTCTCTGCATTCTCTGAGGATGCTTCAGCAGCATCATACCTGAGGCTGTCAACCCAGTTGACAATAACTTGGGAGCTCAGTGGCATGATTCATGGGGCTCGGATTGGTTGGGAGCAGAACTAGCTGCAATTTGTTAGTAAAGATTTTCTATGGCGGGGAGGGGTTATTAGAGACTTCCATTTGCAATGGTTGCAGTGTTAATATTTTTGCCACAGGTGTCCAGGTTGTTTTAAGGAAAAAGAAGGGGAGAGGACCATGGAACAGGAGCTGAGAACTCTTTCTCCCTGCTTTCTATTAAAGTTTTGAGGAGGTTCTATTCATGAGCCGGGTGTTTTGAGCATTTTAGTAATTAGAATACAGTTGAGGAAGTATGGGATGTGGTTTATAAACCAGAGCCTAGGAAAGGCTGGAATATCAGGGTTAGTAATATGCCCAGAGCTGAAAGATTCTCTTCTCTTTCAACCAAAAAAAGGGAGGTCAAGGTCATGGAAAAGGTGATGGTTTTAGAGGCTGGGAAATTTTCATATTCCATATGCCATCTGCTGACTGAATGCTAGTTATTTTCTCCTAATTGGGCTTCCTTTTTCTGTTGCTGATTTTAAGAGTGCTTTCGAAGGAGGGTATATGTGTGCTCTGGAGGCAGTAGTGGTAGGAAGGGGTGGGGGTCTCAATAAACCTTCCCAGGACCTACTTGAGAGCTTTGGTAAAGCCTTGGGCTGGTGCACACAGACCTGATGGACATACAGGCTGTGACCTTCCTGCAGATTTGGAGAAGGCCAAGCCAAGCATTTCAGAGCTCCTTCTATTGGCTTTGCAGGGTCACAGGAGCCCGATGCCATTCAGAGCTCTTGGAATAAATCTGACATTCTGAAAGGAGTCCAAGGCATTCTCAGTACAGGCAGAGGCCAGGGTCTCCCAGATCATTCTTGTTTACTGCCTGGTGACATTCCTTCCAAATCCCAACCTGCCTTTCAGCTGGGGCCTCACAGAATGTTCTTGCTCAGACTAAAGCTGCCATTGTTTTGTGCTGTGGGGCTATGTTCTTTTCTGTTGATTCTTCCCAGTTTAGGGATGTGGCTCTAGATCTAGGTGGAGCTGGAAAGCAATCACACCAGATTTCAATGCCTGCAGATAACCCTCAGAATGGCATCTTCTGGTGCTTTCCCCAGGAAGCAAATAACTCAGATTAACACCAAACTTTTTAGCATAATACTTCCTAGTGTCTGACAGACTGTGAAACTGGTACCAGTGCAGGTCACCTTTGGGTCATGATAGCCCATGTCATTAGGAATCTTAAAGCAAAATGAGGCTCCACTAGTTCTGGACCTCACGAGGTGTGCGTCAGCAAAACTCTCCATGTCTCAGACCCTTCTCTGTCTCAGTACCTTGGTCACCACTGTCCCTACGTACCTTTTCCTCAGTAATTCAGAACTCAAAGCTTGGATTATCTGAGACACTTTCCCTCCTCCTTCCTTCTGGTCCCACTTGTGTGTGTGTGTGTGTGTGTGTGGAGCGGGGTGCAGAATAACTGCTGGCAAGTGGGGAAGGCCCAAGAATGCTCAGCAAGACAGCTCAAGATCTGCACTGACTGGGAGGAGGTAGCAAAAGCTGATAACATTCCCTATTTTGTAGTTTGAGCTTTGGCTTGGTAAGTTCACATCCTGGGTAAAGGTTTTGCTTTGCCAGTTTAGAAACTCACTAATAAAGCAAACTGATTTATTTGATGACTCGAAATAGTCTATTATGGGGTAGACATCAAAAAGTGCTATGGACAAGAAGGGAAAAAAAAACAACAACCAAATTCCTTTACCCCATCTTTATACTCTGGAAGTCTCCATTCCACTGCTTGCCTTTGGTAGCTTCTCTTATGATTCTGTCTCATTTGTATGATTCACAGGTTACTGAAGCTGAAAGAACCTGGAGCAGATCGTCCATTGTTCTGAGTTATTCTAGCAAATTCTGTTTCTTTGCCCACACAATGAAGGAGCTGACTATATAACTGTTCCCTTAGGGTTTGGAATAATTCCCAGTGCTGCTATTCATGAAGTCCAGTACAATTACTTTCCCATTTTCTGCTCAGCACCTTGTCCTTCAGTGCTAATGGAATAACAGTGAATTCATAGAATTGTTACACCTACAGACCTTCTCACTGTAATTAGGAATGGCCGGGGTGAAGAGGAGCATTCACATGAAGTGAACTGCAAAGGGGATTTTAGAGATTAAAAAATTTCTCAGAGATAAGCAATTTGATTTTTCAAGAAGGGCTCAAAATTACACCAACTGCTTACTTTCAGTATAACTAGGATGGTATTCTCCAGTAGATTCTGGTCTGTAGAGAAAAAAAGTCTTCCTGGAAAAAAAATTTAGGCTTTTGATCAATTTGTTTTTATTCAGAAAAGCTGAAGTGGAATTAATTTTAAATGTGGAGAACTGGTCATTGCTTCTACTGCTGACAATACTACAATAGGAAAAAATGGAACATTTCCTTCTGAACGGAATTGTAGTGAATTGAGAACTAAAGAGCTTATGGAAAATAGCCTTCAAATGATTATTTTTGTTTGCTTAAATGCTTGATTATGATGATTGTAATTTCAGCTATACATAGAGTATAGGGAAAAAAAAGCTAAGCCTGGGCTCCAGTTATTAAAAAAAAAAACAAAACAAAACCAAAGAACATATCACATTATAAAATCCAAATGCCCATAGGTTTCTTGGGACTGCTAAGTATAAATACGCAGCTCAGGTTCTACTTGTTCGCATTTTCGGGTCCAAGAGTTCTTTTAGGATCTCTTTAAAAGACTGCCCTTGGCCCTGGATCACTTTAACAACTTAGAAAGGAAACCTGAATTTTCTTGCTTTGTATACAAAGGCTGGTCCTCTGAATTACAAAAGGAAGACTTTGGGGGGCAAATAATACATCTTCAGCTGGCTCAGGTTCTAGACATTGGGCTCATTCTGGTCACTGACCCAGCTGGTTGTAGGTACGATGATTTCATGATTGCTATAGAGAGCAGATGCCTCCTCCTACAGCACCATCTACCAAGCAGAGCCCTATTGGCAGTGATGTTCCACAAAGACATTTTTCTTCTTTGCTTGGAAAGAGTAGGATCATTACAGAAATGTGGTCACTTTAATTTCTCAGACCATGATCAAGATGAATAATATTAATAAAACTTGAGGCCAAGGACATACAGCTAAAAATGGTCAGATAGAAGACTAGAGGACTTCAAATGACACTGGAAGATCCAAGGACTATCAAAGCAAGTTAAAGCTCTAATACCCTCTTACCTAAGGCAAAACAGATCCCATTGCCCCCTGCTTCCAGACTGTAAAATGCTCCCTGGTATGTCTGGTGCACAGGGAAGCAGTGGCAAGTGAACAGACATGGCTGGTGGTTGACTTAGGGAGCTTGTGAATGACTGAGAGCATCCACTGTCAGACTTTAAACCCATTTTAGCCTGAGGCAGGACTGAGACCACCTGATGACAGCTGAGCTGTCAGTGGTAGGGATGACAGGAGGCCAAGGGCTCTGTAATTAGCATGGGTGGGAGGGATGCTTACAGGGCCCTTGTCTACACCAGCTCTGTTGTGGGGCTAAACAGAGGAGCTTAGCATTGGAGGCTCAATTCACTGCCTCCCAAACAACAGCAGCCAGTGATTCATCGTGCCAGTAACAAGGCTGCTCCGGTACAGTTTGACTTGGCTTTTTGTTTCATTTAGTTTCAAGAATGTTTCTGAACCATTATTTTTTTAAATGTCCCTTTGTCTTTACCCTTCCAGCCCTGAAGCTCTGGCGAAGGCTAAGGACTCTCAGAGATGCAGCAAGAGCACTTTATATTTGTCCTGTCCAAAACGAAGCTCACTGTATCGCTTTCTCCCAGATCTGTTTCTCCCTCTCATGCCCCCTGTCTCATTGAACATGTCATCATCCACTTTCATGCTCAAGCATGGGTGCTACCTCCAACTCTTTCCTCTCCCTTCTGCACAACAGTCAATCCATCCATCAATAAGTTCTGTCTACTCCACCTGCCAAAGACCTCCCCTATCCATCTACCCATCTGTCCATCCATCTATTCATCCATCTACTCCCTTTATCCCACAGCTGCTGCCAGCACCCCTCCCTTAGGTGGCTGCAACCACCTTCTCACTGGTCTAGGGGCTCTGCTGATGGGGCCAGCTCCCTGCTCCACCTCCCCTCCCATTCATAGCCAGAGAGGTTCTTCTGCAATGCTGACCAGATCATGGGACTCCCTGCTTACAACACCATCAAAAGCTTCCTGTGGCCCTTAGAAGGAGTGTAAACTCCTTACCCTGAGACATGTCTCCTTCGTAACTGCATGTGTTGACTCCTCTCTCTGCTCATCATTTGTACTTGCTACTTCTTCCCCTTAGTGTGGACTTCACCACTGTCCCTAGCTATCTTATCCTCAGTAATTCAGAACTCAAGGGTCAGATGCTCTGAGAAACCTTCCCTGACCCTCCCTCCTATGGTCTTCTACAGCCTGCACCCAATATAACTCAGGGGGAGGAGGGAAACCATGTAATCTATTGTCAAAACTAGGACAGAGTTAAAGGGGGCACCTGTACATACTGTACATAAATAATAGGCATAAAATGGGATGGTCCAAGGCAAACCAGGATGTGTGGTCACTCCCTAATCATGGCATTTGTCACACCTGCCAGGCCTCCCCTACCTCACTTGGCAGACTGCAAGTTCCTTGATGACAGGGAATGACCAGTTTTTAATATAGTTGCTTCCATAGTTTATGTTCAATACATATTTGCTAAATAAGTGAGCACAGGGATGAATGTGGCTGAAACAACAGGAATCTGGTCACACATTCCCAGATTTGAGTCTGATGGGAAGCTACGTGTCTGTAAACACTGCCTGCAGGCCTCCATATCTCACAGAGCTAGGCCTTTTCTGTTTTCTCTCTGATACGCTGTCAGCCATCACACATAGCATAGAAAAAGGATACATCAGATTGCCTTGCTAACACCCCCCAAATTCTGAATTCCAAAGCACATCTGGCTGAAATAAAGCAGAAGAGTGGGTCCCAAAGTGTGTTCCATGGCAGACAACTACGTTAATAGATGTTAAATGGGTTCTGGGCCAAAATAAGTTATGAAAATTAAGCATCTTTCATTATTGCTGAGACCTTTCTAAACACTGTGAAAAAAACACTGTTCCTTAAATTTAGATCCAGCACCTATCCCCTGTATCTCCCAGACTTCATGTACTATGGAACCTACTTTGAGAATCAGTAAAATCATTTTGCCTGACACCTCTATGTAGGTGACAGCTTGGAGTCTTTCAAAGGCAGGGCCATGCTTTATCTCTTCCCAGTGCCTAGCAAAAGGACCTGACACACAGTTGATGCTCAAAAATGTTTGTTGCATATGGCCTGGAATGTTGTATGTTTAACTGAGGGCGGAAGTGCTTGGGATTGGGTGAAGCCACGCAACTCTGCCAGGCCAGCACTGCAGATGGCTTAGGAACAGGGAGGATTCTGACTGCCCAAAATGACATGGAGAATAGGGAAGTTGATAAAGCTCATCCTTCACATGCCGTCACCCTCCCTTTGAGCAGCACCCTCCTTGTCATCATCCCCTGTTCTGTCCCCACCTTCCCAGTGTCCACTCCCAGCTGATTTGGCTGTCAGTTTCTGCTCGTCGAAGTGCTAAGCCGATGAGACTTAGCCTCATCCAGCCACATTTCCCTTAGATGGTTCCTGCTGACTAAAACCTTTCCGGCCTCAAAGGAGAAGAGCTCAGGTGGTGGAAGGCCGGGAGGCAGGGTTTATTCTGAGTAGGACCTGCCCATGATACCCTCACATCATCTCTCACTCTACCCACTTGTGAGGCTGGCCTTAATCATATGCCAAAGCCATGGGTTCTGTCTCTCCACCCGAAGGGGACAGTCAGGGGGCCTCTCAGGTCAGCACTCAGAAAGGAGCAGGAAAAGGCTATTGGGCTGGAGACATCAGGAAAGGACAAACCCAACTTAAAATACCTAGTAATGGAGGGGAAAAAGATAACAATCAGAACTTAAATCCAGCTCCCATGGACCAGGTTTAAAAAGTCTGTCTTGAAAGATTTTTTGCAGCATCACTTTACTTTTAGTTTTTCTGTCTGAGGTGCCATTCCTTTTTCCAAATTGATTACATGTTACAGAATGACAAAACTCCATAAAGGTACAAGTGGAATTTCCTCCTTTTCCAATGTCCCTTTTCTGTTTTAAAAAGAGGAGCAAAGTCAGGAAATGCCACAGTGAAATTTTGCAGCTGAGCCAATACGAGTTTTAAATAAGTCCAGCTGGAGGGGCTCTCACCCTACACCTCTGCTCTAAGCCAGTGGGGATGGGCCCGAGAGGAATCCCCCATATAGCCCTGTGCTCTGAAAAAGAAGAGCCATTCTCTGGGCTTGTCCTGGTCTAACCTGCTACTCCAGCTGGATGAGTGGCCATGAGCCAGGAGCTTTAGAACCAGCAGAAGCCTCTCCATTGAGCTTGTGGGATGAGGACACAGAGCCAGAGGCCTTACATTTGGCATAGAAGCCCCTCGCTGGGTGCTGACATGGTGCTTGGCTACCATGGGACAAATAATGATAATGTGTGTAGCCTCATATTACTTCAGGTCAGGTTTGACCTCCAAGCAATTCCAGCTCCAGTCAGATTTGGCATGAAATGAATTATGAAACACTTTTGGTTTTCAGGACTGTTTGGATTTCTGAACTACAGATAACAGCTTGTGGACTTACACTACTATTTCCATTGTACAGATGAATAAATTGAGTATCAGAAGAGTTAGGGAATTTGCCTTGGTGCATACAGCTGAGATCTGAACCCAAATCGGCCTAGATTCAGAGCCCATGTTTTTTTCGCGATGTCCTATATCCTGTTACCTCTTGACCACACTGAGGTCCTCTACTCTCCTGTGTTTGCTGAGCAGCCCCTGTAGCTGGAGGTTGTCCTAGAGCTATAAAACGAGGTGTGTGGATTAGAGAATCCCTTCCTATGGTAATAGGAAGGTCCCTCATAATGATATGAGGTCCCTTCCCAACCTCATTTCCATAATGCTATGCAAACATGTATTATACTCTCTAAGATGGGCTCACAGCTGTGTGGACACCTCGGAAGAGAGATATGACCCTTTAAGGATCTCTTGCAAAATGTAGGACCTTGGTGCCTTTTGGACCAAGTGGCATATATGATCCCCGATCCCTCTGCACGTTGATGACACTGTTCTGGCTGTAGCGTAGGTGGTCTTAACTGAGACACATGCCTGGGGCTGGTTAATGCTGCCGCTGCTGGGGGAAATAAGAAAGACACTAATTACACTAAGGCTCTTATTTCTCTTTTACTGGGGAGTTGGGGCAGGGCAGTAAGGAGAGAGGGTTGTCCTTTAAATTAGAGCATGTGTAGGTATAAATCTTTCTCCCATCTATCTTTATTTTGGAGTGTGTTTAAGGTTACGCATTATATGCATTCCTCTCCCTATATACCTCTATGCTTATATCAATTCATAAATAAAATATACAGCTGCTCAGCTGAAATGTATCACTTGTCTGCAAGATTCCTCCTGCAGGTTAACATCTCCTGCCAGGGGAGCTGCCCCGGTTTTCAGTGACTTTCAATGACCTACTTGTATGCATTGGTTCAGGCAGGGCTTAATAAGTGGCCTGGCAGATACGTGCGTCTGCATGTATTCTTCATTCTTTATTTTAGTATTATATGGCTTTCTTCAGCCAAAAATCAATATTGTGTACATAAAGTTAGCTTTGCAATCATACCTTTTCCTATGAAACCTGATATGAACAGAAATTTTTGGAAATGGCTGGGCAGGAGAGACTAATTCATACTGTTTATCATTCCATGGCTGTTTTGATATTGTCATAATTGGCATTTTCCCTATAATTGCCCTCAGTATTGCCAGTACTTATAGGAAAGAGGACTTTCAAAATGAAATACACCTGAGGACTGGGTATTATTGTGGAAGTTCACTTTCTGTTGAATATGATCTGGGATTGAGTTTGGAGACTGAATTTTAGCATGTTACTGTCAATCACAGCTTATCTGGGTCTTATTTGGCCTGGAATTGGAAATTCTTGAATAACGTGACACTCAAGCATTGGGTAGTCTCAGAGTCAAAAGCTGGTTTAATCACTATGATCAGATTTTAAAATAAGAATACTACAGTATTTACTAATACTGAAGAATCCCATCTTTTAGCAAAAGTCAATGTTTTGAATGTCTCTGTAACCCTTGCAGAAAGTATTCATTGTTAAAACCAAGCATTGAATTAGGAACCAGCGTTAAAAAAATAAATCTCATACACATCTATAAAAACAAATAGAACAAATACAATGAGATAATAAAAAATAAATTCATGTAAAATTTTGTAGAATATACTGAGCCCTAAGTCAAGCACTTGGTGCACTGAGAATAATTCTTTTTCTTATAAAGTAAATTACAAAAAGTTGGATAAAAAAATCAATGGACTATTATTTAGGTTCCATTTAATCTAGGTGCTTTAATAATGTCTTTCTGGCCAAATACAGTATTGATTTTTTATTGTTGTGGGATTCACTTAACCTCAAATAAAACTAAACGAAACTAAACCCAAATCGCCTACTCTTTCTTGCAATTGTTGTTTACAGCACGAAAGCACACACTGAATTTAGGCAACTGAGGGAGGAAGGGGGAGCGGTTTAGGAGCCTTGGTTTCTGTCTGCTTTCAACTGACAGCAACACCTTTAGTAGGGCAAAGCTAAAGTCCTTACAGTGCATTTTCAAATCTTGACAAGGCAAGGCACTCAATACGTATGCAACAAGGCAGCATAGAAATCTATTAAAAGAGCCTGCTTCAGACAAAATGAGAAGTTCCAGTTTCTATTTTACATTAACTTGGTGAGGAAATCAACTGGATCCTAAATTAGCTATCCAAATAATGCAAGAAAATACATTTATAGACAAAGGAGGGCCTGGAGGGGTAGAGGGTAGGCAGTGGCAACCACTAGGGGTTTGAGCCAGCTCCCTCTGATAGGCCTTGTGTATGATAACTTCTAATAATTGCCCCTTTTAAATCTTACTTCCACTGAAATTCCCAAGTCAGTGTTGCCATTTTGCAGATGAAAGAACTGAGTGGTTAAATTACTTGCTTAAGGTCACACAGCTCAGGACTGGGATTCCAACCTTGATGTGTCAACATGCAGGTTCTTTCTACACATAGCCCAGGCAATAAATAGGATTATGTGTAAAATAACATTATCATGAGGATTAATATTTATAATTTCAATTAATGCTTATGACACAAAATTTTTATCTGCAAAATGAAGAGCCTGATCAGAAGATCACTGAGGGTCCTAAATGATCTTATTTAATGATTTGGCATTAGTGATTTAGAAAAAGCTGATGTTACCTCTGGCATGCCCATGAGCTGAATCTGGTTTGCAGATTAGTTTTGTTTTTCCTGCCTGATGTTTAAGATTGTTTTGACAAAAAGTTAAAATAAACAGGAGAGTTTATGTAAAAATCTGACTTCCAGTTTTTCCTGACAGATCAACTGAGACTGCACTCTTAAAAGGTAAGAGTGAGTTCTGAGTAGCAACAATTCACTTTAGATGTCTGCAATTCTCCCCTTTGCCATGGTTCCCATTAATCCTTACTACACTCTGTTACTTGTTTCTTTTCTCTTTCTCAAAGTTATTTGCATGACTTCCTTGCCCTGTAGGCATTTTGAGGTGGCTTTCCTGATGCAGACAGCAGTAAAAGCTACTAGAAGAGACTTGCATTCAAGAACGTGCCGTTCCAGTAATCAGGTCTATGATCTTGGGCTAGCGCATTAACCACTCTGAACCTGATTCCTCTTTTGTTATTAATACATGGGAACAAGAATGGTGTGGAGATGATTAAATAGTCCATGAGGTTATACTCAGTAGATGTTAACTGACTCTGAGACATTCTTAGAAAAACATTTCTTAAAGAAAGGTTGCCCCTATCACGAACCCACAGAGGATGTCATTAACTGACAATGAGCCTTCAACCTCTCATATCCATCCTCATAGCTAACCTTTATCATCACCTACACCCTCTTGTAGGTCATTTCTCCCTTCTTTCCTTCCCTCTCTTTCACTTGGCTGAGTGACTTTTAATTGTGCTTTCAGACCATTTCCAATATACCTGTAATTACATGGCAACATCTTTTCATAATACACAGTGGAACAAGTGAGCAGAAGTATGCAAAGTCTCCTGCTCTCCCCTTAACAGCCTTTCACACAGCTGCTCATGGCACCCCTCCCTTTCAGAAATGAGGGCCCCCATACTTTCTGGTATTGTGGATCTTTCCTGCTTCCTTTTCTTATCACTCCTGTTTAAAGTGCCTGCAATAGTTAATAATGTGGCATTGCCCATCAGAGCTGGATAACTTTTTTCTTGAATTAATTATTTTGGTAAGGATTCTTAACAGGAGGCCTACCCTCTTCACAAATCTTAAGTGCATAATAATAGTATTGTTAACTGTAGACACAATGATGAATGATGAGTAGATTTCCTAGATACTATTCATCTTGTGTAACTGAAGCTATGCCAATTAAATAGCAACTTCCCATTTCTCCCTCCCTAGCCTCTGGAAACCACTATTCTCTCTTTTTCTGTGAGTTTAATTATTTTGGATACCTCATGTAAGTGGAACCATGCAGTATTTGTCCTTTTGTGACTGGCTTATATGACTTAGTGTAATGTCCTCCAGGTTCATTCTTGTTGCCCCATATGGGAAGATTTTCTTCTTTTTTAAGGCTGAATAATATTGCATTGTATGTATATGCCTCATTTTCTTTATCCATTGATCCACTGATGGACACAGCTCAATTTTATGCTTTGGCTATTGTGAATAATGCTGCAATGAACATGGGATGCAAATATCTTTTGGAAATTCTGCTTTCAATTCTTTTGGGTATATACCCAGAAGTGGGATTGCTAGATCATATGGTAGTTCTGTTTTCCATAGCATCCGCACCATTTTACATTCTCACCAACACTGTACAAGGGTTACAATTTTTCCACATTCTTACCAACACTGGTTATCTTTCTCTCTTTTTTATAATAGCCATCCTACCTGCTGTGAGGTGATATCTTATTGTGGTTTTGATATGACTTTCCCTGATTATTAGTGATGTTGAGCATTTTTTTTATATACCTGTTGGTCATCTGTACGTCTTCTTCAGAGAAATATCAAGTCCTTTGCCCATTTTTAAATTGGGTGTTTTTTGGCTATTGAGTTGTAGGAGTTCCTTATATATTTTGTATATTTGCCCTTTATCAGATACATAGTTTGCAAATATTTTCTTCCATTCTACAGGTTGTCTTTTCCCTCTGATTGTTTCCTTTACATGCAGAAGCCTTTGACTGTGATATAGTCCCACTTGCCTATTTTTACTTTTGTTGCTTTTACTTCTGGTGTCATATCCAAGAAATCACTCTCTAAACAAATGTCATGAAAATATCTCCCTATATTTTTTCCTAGGAGTTTTACAGTTTCAGGTCTGAATTTAAATCTTTATTTTGAGTTGATTTTTGTGTGTGTGTGGTGTAGGGATCTGACTTCATTGTTTCACTTGTGGATATAAGCTTTCCCAGTGCTATTCATTAAAGAGTGTCTTCTTTCCCCATTGTGGGTTTTGGCACAATTGTCAGAGATTAGTTGACTGTATATACATGGTTTTCTTGTGTGAAAACATATAGGCCAACGGAGCAGAAGCTCTCTATTTTGGTCCATTTGTTTGTCTATTTTTATGCCAGCATCATACTGTCTTAATTGCTCTAGCTTTGTAGTATAATTTGAAATCAGGAAGTGTGATGTCTCCAGTTTTTTTCTTTTTCCTCCAGATAGCTTTGGCTATTCTTGGTCTTTTGTGGTTCCATATGAATTTTGGGATTGCCTTTTCTATTTTTGTAAAAAATGCCGTTGGAATTTTACTTTGCTAGTATGGACATATTAGCAATATTAAGTCTTCTAATTCATAAACACAGCATGTGTTTCCATTTGTGTCTTTTAATTTCTTTCATCAACGTTTTATAGTTTTCAATGTATAAATCTTTCACCTGCTTGTTTAAGTTTATGCCTAAGTATTTTTTGATGCCATTATAAATGAAATTAATTTTCTTTTTGTCTATTTTGTTGTCGTATAGAAACACAACTGATTTTTATATCCTGTAACTTTATTGAATTCCTTCTTGACTTTAAGAGTCAGCCATGATTGTGATGTATGTGCCTGGAAAAAGCAGTGGGAGTAGACCTTGGAATCCTAGTAGTGACAAGTAAATGGTAACCGTTGGGTTGGATGCAGGTTTGCAAGGAATCTCAGGCCTAACTTAACCTCAAACAAGAGGGAAAAAAATCACCCATGGAGGCCCTTACAGAAAAACTGAGTTGCATTTTGTCAAGGCAAAGAATGGCTTTTTTATTGCATGAATGAGAAAGGCTAAGACAAGATTTTTACTTTCCCTGTTGAGTTCTACATTAGGTTTAGCCATTTGGAACTAGTGGAAGGGCTTCCCCCCACGTTGATGTTCAGGTTAGCCACTGTGTATCCATTCCGTGGATGAAGATGGTGATTGGGAATTGGGTGTTTAGAGGTTGTACTGGGGCACACAGACAGGGAAGGAAGCCCATATAGATCTGCAACCTAGCCCATGTAGAACCTCAACCAGGTGTCCATCTCTGCCTATGATTGAGTGAGCCAGTGACCGTTTTGTTCTCCTTGTTGGATCATAGTCCAGAGCCTTGATGCATTTAGTGGCATGAACACAAGCTCTTACTGGGGAGGATGTGGCTCACTAGTACTATCTTCATTTCCCAAGTCTGAGGTGTGGCAAATACATTCCCTAGTCTTCTAAAAACCAAAGCTCAAGGCTGCTCAGTAGGGCATTGGCAATGCTAGACCTGCTGCCTTGGAACAGATGCTGCTGGTTAAGAATAGATTTCTAAGTGTTTCAGGATGCTCAAGTATAGCTGAACTATTTCACTTTTCATGGCTGGTCTATTCTTATACTTTGAGAGCAGCTTCCACAGTGAAGTGAGAACACAGAACATAACAGCACAGGACCTTTCCCAAAGACAAAGAAGATTATTGAGTTAGGCATCCCTGGGGCTTTGAGTAGGCAGATCTCTTATGAAAGCTTGCTCTGGGATTTCTGGAATCCAATCATTCTAGATAGTATGTGTCTTAAACTTTTTACCTTTTCTGCTGGAGGGAAAAGAATGTAGGTGTACAGGCTATGGAACAAATCCTGAGGCCACCATTGAGTTTGTGATCTTATTCAAGTCATTTCATCTTCCTGGGTCTTAGTTTCCTCACTTCTCAGAGATCATTGTATTAAATGCAGTGATGGGTGAACAAGGTATGTACGCCTGTATTATTGTATGCTCGGTTCCTGGCATACAGTGGGTGCTCAAGAAATGTCAGTTCTCCTTTCTCTTTCTGATGTTCACATTTTTACTGCCCAAGCAGGAAGTGGGTTGAAAATGTGGAAAGAGCATTTAAAATTTTATCTGTTAGCCATCATTTACTTTCTTCTTCCCAGAACATTACAGCTCTTTCCTAAAGGGTAAAAAAAAAGGCCCTAAGAAGATTAAAACCAGCATGTAAATTTCAGCTTAGTTCAAAGCTAAGCCCCTTAAGAAACCTTTATTTGCAGAGCAGCTCTGTATAGGAGCTCTGAGCAAGCGCAGGGCCATCTGGGGCTGCTTGCTTTAATGGACTGGTTCTCAAACTGGCAACCATCAGATTCACTTGGAGAGCTTGTTAAAAAGCTTGTTGGGGGGACCTACACATTTTTTTTTTTTTTGAGTTGGAGTCTTGCTCTGTCGCCCAGGTTGGAGTGCAGTGGTGTTTTCTTGGCTCACTGCAACCTCCGCCTCCTGGGTTCATGCCATTCTCCTGCCTCAGCCTCCCCAGTAGCTGGGACTACAGGTGCCTGCCACCTCATCTGGCTAATTTTTTGTATTTTTAGTAGAGATGGGGTTTCACCGTGTTAGCCAGGATGGTCTCGATCTCCTGACCTCTTGATCCGCCTGCCTTGGCCTCCCAAAGTGCTGGGATTACAGGCGTGAGCCACCACGTCCTGCCACACATTTTTATTCCTTACAAGTTTCCAGATGATACAAAGCTCCTGGTTATGGGCCCATACTTTGGAACCACTGCTTAGTGGGAGGAGGCATGCAGGCAGTTGGGACCCCTGGGTTCTGAGCCTTATCCTGGCTTTAAAGAGCTAGATGACCTCAGGTAGGTCACTTAAACTTTAGAAGACACAGTTTCTCTTTTGTCCAACAATTGGCAAAATGTATGATTTGGAAAAAGCATAATTTAGAGCAGAGATCGCTAATCTTTTCTCTATAGTGGGTGGCCATCCCAGACTCTATGTGAGGGCTGAGGGGAACAAATGTCTTGGCACTTGTAGCCCATTTGGAATGTTTGGCACACAGGTTGAGAAAGTCTGACTGAGTGGTTAAAAGCGTGTGCTTTTAAGTCCTGGAAGCATTAGTGTAAGTCCTCACTTTGCCTCTCCAGGTGGTATTTTAGCTGTTTCACCTAGGTCTGAGCCTCAGTTTGGTCATCTGTGAAAAGGGACAGAGTATTTGCACCTCTATCATAGGGTTGTGGTGAATATCAAGAGAGAATGCATGTAGAGCACTTGACATGCATATTAATTCTTATTAGCTGTTTTTATTTCTACTTCTAAAATTCTGTGATTTGCCCTCCTGCCCATTCTGCACCTCATTGGAAGAAGCAGATAAACCTCTTCAGTGTTTGGAAATGTATAAACTTTTTTAGGGGGAGTGAGGAGTGCTTTAAAGGAGTGCTTCTCAATGTTTAAAATGCATTCAGATGCCTGGGGATGTTGTTATAATAAAATGCAGATTCTGATTCAGTAGGCCTGGGGTGGGGCCTGAGATTCTGCATTTCTAAGCAGCTCTCAGGTGATGCCTATGCTCCTGATCCACAGAGCTATGCTATGAGTAAGGCTATGCTTTGAGCAATGGCTCTTAAACTCTATTGTACATCAGAATCTTTGGAGGGAACTTTTAAAAGCCCGGAGTCTGATTTGGTACAGGGTGAGGCCTGAGCATCAGGTTTTTTAAAAGTTTCTCAGCAGCCAAGTTGGAGTACCACTCTTTAAAGCACTCTTTAGTAAAACACAGGGAAAAGTTGAATTGATTTGTGTTCCAGAAGCTGGAAGTAATTAATTTCCCTTCAAATAGGTCCCCTTTTCCCTAGGAGATTTGCAGATTTGCACTGAACTATGGCCAAAATAAGAACCTTTTAAACCTTTATTTTAAAGGCAAAAACCTGTTTAACATCTGCATTCAGGAAGCTTTGTGGTCCAGTAGCTCAGAAATAGGCCCAGGAGAAACAGCATTCAGCCCCTAATCCTCACCACTACCACCTTCACCATGACCTTGGGAAATCTTTTCATGTGTATGTTTCCATATTTTCTCATTTGCAAAACTTGGCTAATCCTGCAGAACGGCCACAGGATGTGTGTATGGTCAGATGCAGCTTTAAAATCACTCCTGCTGCCCATCTCCCAAATTGTTCTGATTTGCTTACTAAATTTTGACATTTGCGCAAAATGCATACTTTGTAAGTCTTGGAAGTTGGTAATATTCAAACTATAGTCTTCTATCTCTCTCCCTCTTTTAATAGTACCAACTGCTTCCTCTTCTATTCACACATAGTTTAAGTTTAATGCACCCCAGAGCTGCAGAGAAATCAGCAAGAGGGCGGAAATGATTTTTTAAAAGCTGTGGCATGAAGATTGGCCTTGCAGGATTAGCCTTTTTCTTGGCCCTCTAGTGGAAAAGTCCACCTATACTTGAGGGTGGAGGTCATGCAGACAAAAAGCCTTCAGTAGGCAAGAGTAGAATGGAATAGCTGGGTGTTAGGGCCATCCTCTGCAGAAGATGAGACAGACGCATTCTCCAGCAGCAGTCCTTAAATGTTGGTGTGTATCAGAATCACCTGGGGATCTAGTGGAGCCCACAGTGACTCAGGCCTTTGAAGTAGTATAGGGCACAGTCCCTGTGTTTTTGCAGCTTCCCCTAGTGATTCTGACACTGACCAAAGTGTGAGAACCACTGTCCTAGAGTGTTCCGCTTTCCCTTGGTGTTTTTCAGTTAGTGTCTTCCCAACCACATTTCTAAGCCCACCCAAAGCTGAAAAGCTTTCTTTTTCTGGTGTGCAAAATACTAGTTGTATATGTTAATTTTCAAGCCACTCTTAATGTCAGTGGAGGTGTTTTTTATGAAACCAGGAGGGGCCAACCCTTGCAGAACTGCAGAGTGGAAATAAAAGAGGTTCAGAATCCTCATTATCTCAACTTGTCCTCCTTCACCCTAGGAAGAGTGAGAGGGTTGGGGAGAGAGGTGTTGCTAGCTGCTGGCCTGGTATATCTTACCTGGCACCTCTGCTAGGGGCTTTAAGACAGTGTTGTCCCACCTTTGTCACAGCGGGCCAGGAATCTTTTGCAACTCTGGATTGTGATGCAGAGGATGAGGAGCACGTTGCCTTGAGCATTAAAGCTATGGTGGGTGGGGGATGCTGGAGGCATCAGCCCCCATTTCCTCTGGATGATTGCCCTAGTATATACAGGCAATAGGCTTATACATCTTTTCTTCACTAGCACTCAGCATACTGCCCAGAATACAGTAGGTGCTTAATGAATGCTTGTCTAAAAAGATGGAAAATCGGGTAGCAGAGAAGAACCAAAAGATGCCAGAAAATAGAAAGAAAAAAACATTGAAGGTGAAAATGAGGTGTTTGTATTAATAAATATTAAGAGGAATGAATTAAAGGGCTGAAAAAGCCCAAGAAAGGAGATGCAGGAAAGGCTGGGAGTCCTGAATGAGGTTTGTGTGGAGTGGCGGGGAGGAGGAGAGAGCCCCTGAAACAGCCAGATAAGAAGGAAAAATAGCAGGAGGGAAGGAAATAAGAGCAGTGATGGAGGGACAGAGGAAAGCAGTAAAGAGCCAGGAAGATGGCGAGAGGGAGAGCTGGCAGAAAGGACAGATCCTCCAACCAGCCAGCAGGTTTGGTCTTATTCCTTACTGGGAACAGACAGAATGACTGCGTTTGACGAGGAGTGACTCAGGCTCAAGACAGGCAGAACTGGAGGATAAAGCCAGATGGGTACAAGTGAAGTGGGTCACTGTCAAGAATCATCACGTTTTCTGGAATTCGATGTTTTCAAATTGCATAATCCTCCTTGTTCTCAATTATCCTCCACAAGAGTGTGGAGTCCCTCCCACGTTACAAGTCCATCTCAGTTAAGCCCCAGACATGCACTTCTAACACCACGGAGGGCTTCTTGGCAGCCTTCCCTGCCCGCCCTCTCCACATCGTGCCCTTCCCCTGCAGAGGGACAACTGGCTCTCCAGGCATTTCCCTTCCGGACTTCCAGTGTGACACACACGCTCTGGCTGCTTTCCTGTCCCCAAAGACTCTTACTCCTCCAGGGCCACTGCCAGCCTAGTCACAGCCTTTGTACAAATTAGAGAGGCCCACCTGGATCATGGGCAGATGAGAACAAGGCACAGTCTGAGACTCAAAGAAGTAGCTGTGTGTTTGTGTTGGGGCTGGGGAGGGGTGTGTAGAGGAGTGTTCAGGGAAAGTTTCAAATAGAAAGTGATATCTGAACTGAGTTTCCAAAGGGGAACAAATGTTTTTCCTGTTCCAGGTGGGTTTTTTTCTTTTTCTTTTCTTTTTTTTTTTTTGAGGGAAGGAGGGAAGGAGGCAAGGCCTCTTGGGGGCTGGAACAGCATGTGCAAAGGAGCAGAGGTGTGAAACAGCATGCTATCCAATATTGCTGGTGTGTTCTTGCATGAGAGGCAGCAAGAGGAGGACTAAGTGATGAGAATGAGGTTAGACTAGGTAGGAAGGGCCAGGTGTCTGGTTTTAAGCAAGGGAAAGACACAGTGAGACTTGCATTTGAGGATGATTACTTTGGAAAGATATTATTTGCTTTTTACATATGAGCATACTAAACCTCAGAGAGGTATTTATAAGTGACCTGCTTCATGTGACACACTTAATAGCGGAACTAGAACTTGACTCCACCTTGTGCTAAACCAGGGTCTCCTTACCTACACTTCAGGTCTGGATGACCTCTGAGATTTCCCTTGCAAAACTTGCCAGGCCCATTTGACTCCTCCCAAAAGCCAAAAAAGACTTAGATTCAGGCCGGCAGAGGCACTGCCCTTGGTCCCCTAAAAAGATGACTTAAAACATCTGTTTTCTCCATTTCTTAACAGAGGAACTTTATTCATTCCAGGTTAGTCTTTAGAAAGCAAAACCAAAATACTCCACTGGACATTTACTGGCACAGATTTCCAGAAAACATATATATACTGAATGGGGGAAAGAGGATGAAGAGGTCTCTTAGACCTTTGTGGGAAGATGGCAACTAGAGTCACTTCTTAGTCACCCACTGGAATGGTGGATAAGTCAAATTGTATCCATTGTTTTGGGTCTCTTCCTGCCACATAACTTCATAATAGGTCTGCTTATGATAAAAATGCAATTATTTCAGTATTTCTCCTTTTTCTGCCTCTCATACATAGGTGAGATTTCTCCTAGATAGATGGCCTCAGGGAGAAGAGAGGTGAAAAGAGCCATTAAAATCCAAACTCTGGTTGTCTGAGCCATCCAAGAAACACCCACGTTAATGGCTGTGCCTAGGAGGCGCATATGTTTGACTCCAGAAGCAACAAACATTCTGGTTAGACATGGGATGTATTCCCCTGTTAAGACAAGGAACTGAGAGAGGAATCCAAAGCCTCTTGATAAGTTTGAGTTTTACAAGAGAGGCACTTTGGAATAAGAGGGGATGTTATTGCCTTGTTCAGACATGGCTTCATCTTGGCAGCATTCAGGCCTTGGGTTAAGAACTTGGTTTCGAGTTGACAGACTTGATAAAAGTCCAGCCATGGCTGGCTCATAAACGAGACACCCAAGATCTATCTTCAGAAAAGCCAATATATTTCTATTATCACTGCTGATAAGGCTGATTCTCTTTGAAGTTTAATAATGACTCTTCCAAAAATGTTCCCTCAGACATTCAAAATCCATCTTGTATTAGTTTTCCTAAAGGCTGGTTTAACACCCTCCCATTTCCTATTACGACTTAAGTCCAGTGGTATTAAATGCTTCAGTCTTGACACATGGCTCTGTTTACCTGCAAGCCCAGGTGATGAGCACCACCACCCTTAGGGCTCAGCACCCCTATACACTTTTCTGCAGCCTAGCTCCTCCTGCTGGTGTTTATAACTCAGGGTCAACAATTAATTTGGGTCTATGAATAATAACTCTGGAGAGTACTTTTATATTCTGATATCTGAACGTGAACCAGATATCAACATTATTATTAATTTCTGGGATTGAGAAAATGATTCCCTTCCATCTACTAAGGGAGTGATAAGGCAAAATCACAACTTCTATATCAATATCTGTTTGCTCAAGAATCTTAAATGCCAACTGATATGGGGCATCTGGGTAGGCTGAGAAAGGGAGGGTTGAGGGCAACTTTTCGAGAAGCTGTATTAAGCATTTCTTCGTTATGTTCTAGCAGGTGACTCGTGTTCCCTCCTCTTAACCCCCTCACTGAATCGCAGTCACTTGGTTAGATCAGCTGCTGCTGATGGGAATGGACATGCTGAGTGCTAAGCCCTTGATGTTCGCTACCACATTCATTCTCCTTGACAGTGATAGAAGGTAGATGATACCGTTTCATAGCTGAGGAACAGGCACAGAGAAGGAAATGTCCCAGAGTCACACAGTTCATAAGTGGTGGCAACTAGGACTTGAGGATTTGAACTAGGTCTCTCTGACCTTAAAGTCCCAAAGGCAATATTGTTGCTTTGTTAAAAATTCACAACCACTGGGGTTTCAACGTCTTTATACAGGGATGCTGTGCTGGAAGTGAGTTGACAGGAAGAGAGAGTCTACAGAAGAGGCTGCCTATGAAAACACAAATACTATCATGTGGAATGGTCTCAAGGAAGTCTTTTGGCAGATTTGACAGATCTGTTTAATGAAGATCAATTCTATTTAAAGCCCCTCACCAAAACTAACTGCCCATCACCTCATTAAAAAAGAAATGACTGAAGATAACAAGGGGTGTGTCTTTGGCCAGAAGTGGGCTGGCTGGAAACACGGCTTGAGTTACAGAACTGTCTCCTCAGCTTCTTTCCTGGCTTGTCTCAATTTCTCAGCTGTCAAGTGATGGAAAAGAATGCTTGCTATTCATCAAATTTGTATTTATTTGCCAATGGACAAAACGGTCTAACAATTTCCTTGCGGGATATTCTAATTGACAGTTTAAGCAGATTATGAACATTTGATTTTTTCCCCCTTGTATGACCTGAAAAATCATAAAAATGGAATTTCTTTAAAAAAAAAACCCTCTAAAATGTGAGACTGACAAATATGAACATTATTCTCCTTATCGTTCTAATCTAACCTTTCTTCCTGGACTGGTACAATGCTAATGCACCATCAGGGAGGCAGTGGGGAACATAATGGGGGCACTGGACAGGAAAGCAGAGGTTTGTTGGCAGAAGGTTGAGGCCTCCCCAGAGGACCTGGCCCTTTCTGCCCTTATTCTCAAATCCACACACCTTCCTGCCACCACAGGCTCGCCTCATAGAAAGCACTGAAAGCCAGGGCAGATGCCTGTACTGTGAACCTGTCTGCTTTCAGTTTTCCACCTACTGTCTCAACCAAAGGTAACATTTGAATCTATCCTCTAGAACTGCTGGGAGAATTAAATGAGATAATGCATGCAAAGTGTTAAGTACTGTGCCTGGCATGTAGTAAGCACTTGAGTTTATTCTTATATCTTTAAAAACATGTCTTGCCTGTAAGCTCCATGAAGGCTAGGACAATGTTCTTTTTGATGAATCACCAGGGCCTGGCACAGTGATAGGTACATGACACAAGCTCAATAAATGCCTGTTAAACAAATACATAAAACCTGACCCAGGTCAGCAGCACCTCCTGCTTGGAATCCTGCCATCACCTGATCTCCCCGCTTGCCCTCTTGTCCCTCAACACATTCTCCACATTTCAGTCAGAGTGATGGTTCTAAAAAATAGATATGCCTATGGCTTCCTTAGCAGAAAATGCAACTCTAGAATATGGCAAACTCACTCCTACACTCTCTGGTATTTTCTCTTCTCAGCCCTGTCTTTCCCTGTTCTAGGCTTTTCTCAAACATGCTTTTCTCTTCTTTCTTTCCTCCTGGCCTGTACACATGCTATTTCCTTACTGTAGTTTGTATATGCATCCTTCAGGTCTCAGTGAAAATCTCACTTTCTCAGGGAGGTCCTCCCCACTCTCTGTCCGAGACACATTGCTCTGTTTTTCTCTCTGTGTCCTTGTCTATGAAACTTATGGTGCCATAGTTTGTCTGTTCTTTCTAATAGAGGGTTAGCTCAGTGATTGCCTGGTTTAGGCTCTGCAGAGAAGATGATGTACAACTCATCCCAATACTGTATTCGGTGCCTCTATGTTGGCAGATTGATATTAGCTATGGGGGCAATGTTTATACCATGGAAACTGGCATATGCTACAAAGCAGTTCTTACTTTTTCTCCAAATAGATGGTTGTTAAACACTTACCAGCACACCACTGGTTAATCCCATGAGAGCAGGAGGTATCTCTAATCTGTCCCACAGTGACTGGCTTATAATAGACCTCTGTAAATATTTATGGATTTAAACAGAAATTGACATGGCCATACTGAATTCTGCACATATGATCTCTTGACAATGATCTTAATGCAATTCTTATTTTTCAAATGAGTACATTTAGGCTCGCAAAGTGTAGTAACTTGCCTAGGTCACAGAGTAAGCTGTAGATGCCTTGAGCCTGCAGGCTGGGTCTTTGCCTCTGCCTATTGCTTTCTGCTGTTGTCTGTCTGCACCCACATTTTCTCTAGCCTGGCTTCGGTCTCTGAATAGGCCCTGCAGCCTTTCTGTTCCCAGGCTGACTGGTCCCTCTGGCCTCTGTTTCCTGGTCCTCAGCCTTGCAATGATAGCCAGTTGGCTGCTTACCCACTTTCTTCCTGGATCAAGGTCTCCAGCCTGACCTCTGGGTGAGCCCTGCCTTTAAGGACCTACATGCAACCCACTAGATACAGGACATGGAAAACAGATAAGACTAAGAAGCCTCCAGCCCCATGCCTGTGACTCAGCAGTAGGCTAACCAAATCAACCCAGTTTGCTAGGAACTTTCCTGACTTTACCACTGAAAGGGGATTCCCAGGATTCTCTACAATCCTGGAAAAACCTGGATGGTTGATCACTCTACTTTGCCATGTGACCCATGAGCACACAGGCATGAGGCCATCAGAAGAAGGGAAATCCCAAAGGGGTTTTGAAACCACAGCATCCACTTAACCACTATGGTAGCTGAGCAGTGTGTCTGCCTCCACCTTCACCCTGACCACTGATTCTGTTTCTGTATCTCCATTTTGGTGAGTGGCTGGGACCAAGAATGAGCAATTTAACTTTCTAGGCCTCTATTGACACGTATATAAAATGGAGATGAGAATCAGCTACATAATTTATAGGGGTCAGTGAAAAATGAAAATGGGGACCCCTTGTTTAAAAATTAAGGATTTCAGCCAGGCGTGGTGGCTCACGCCTGTAATCCTAGCACTTTGGGAGGCCGAGGCGGGCGGATCACGAGGCCAGGAGATCGAGACCATCCTGGCTAACACGGTGAAACCCCGTCTCTACTAAAAATACAAAAAATTAGCCGGGCATGGTGGCGGGCACCTGTAGTCCCAGCTACTTGGGAGGCTGAGGCAGGAGAATGGCATGAACCCAGGAGGTGGAGCTTGCAGTGAGCCGAGATCGCACCACTGCACTCCAGCCTGGGCGACAGAGCGAGACTCTGTCTCAAAAAAAAAAAAATTAAGGATTTCAAGATGGTGGCCACAGAGCATTAAACTAAGCATGGGGCCCTTCTGAATGGGGGTCTCTAGGTAACTGCTCAAGACTCATGACTGTGAAGCTCGCCATGGTGATAATAATACCCATAATTGAGTTCTGGGGGTTAAATGGCCAAATCATCAATAGCACTGAGCACAGTGCCTGGCCCAGGGTAAACGTTCAGTATACTGGTGGTGGGGATTATTTCTGAGGTTTGGCCTGGCTTCCCCTGGCTTGCTTGGCCTCTTCCAGAAAGACACCTGAATTTTTACTTTGACACTGAAGTGTATCTGGTGATCTTTTGTAAGTCACTTCAGCTTCTCTTAGGCTCAGTTTTCCCCCCATAAAACATGGAGATTGCAGGAAATCTCTAAAGAGCTTACCAGCTCTAAGTCTATTTCAGCCAACTCCGTGACATTTATACACATGAGCAAGGTCTTCATGTTCTTTTCAAAGCAGCTTCTTCCTCCCTAGGCTTGCTAAGATTCTATTTGGACCTCAAGTTCCATTCATATCAAAGAGTCTCTACTTCCAACCCTAAATACATAAATCAAGGATTCTTAGATTATTTCTAAAGTTCCTCTAATTCAAAGGTAAACCCTCCTTACACATGAACAGTCTGAGGCTTGGGAAGGTGGAATGACTTGCCTAGGGTCATATAATGGGATAGGCAGATGGTAGGAATCAAAGCCAGGTCCTCCACAGTATTACATTATTTCTTTCTTGGCTAAGGAAACACCACAGCGTACCTTTATGATTGTGCTTTGCAATTATTCTTTGAGTAATTTATCATAAAAATAAACAGAAAAGCAAAAAAAAAAAAAAAAGGTTCATTTGGGGTCACCAGATGATTTTTTTCCAAGTATGTCTCCATTTTTCTCAAACCCTGGACACCTGACTCAGGCTTGGTTTCATGATTTCTCAGTAGTTTTTATTTAGCAAGGATAAGGGTTTCCTCTCTTCCTAGTTGAGTGTAGGATTTCCAGACCCTTTCTTCTCATGTTTCTGTACTCTAGGGTGAATTCGCAGATGTTCCTTTAAAGGGGCATTTTCTTAACCTTTTGTTTCCCTGTATCTCAAGTGGTCTTGTGGGGATATCTAGTCATTCCCTTAAAAGAAAAGGTTGGAAAGAAGGAAGAAATGTTCTCAGCAATTCCCTGGGTCTGGTCCACGTGAATTCCCACTAGGTCTCTCCATGGGGCATCTGGTTATGTGCCTGGTGGTTGGAAATTTTGAGCTTTTCCCAAGGGTGAGAGTGAGAGGGAAAAAAAAAGTCTCTGTCCCATGAAATCCTGTTGCTTCCTAAAAACCACCCTCGTCTATGTTGCTGTTTTCACTCATGGAGCTCTGACTGGGCAATGGATCTGGCTCACTTTTTAAGTGATTTATTTTTTAATTTAAGTTTGCACTTTTCACATGAACTGGCTCAGGACCAGCCAAAACATGTGTTGCTTACTTGGGAGTAAGACTGTGATTTTATAATTTTTAGGCTTGCTCTTAGTTTAAGCCAGCCTTCTCCTGCTGCAGTGCTGCTGAACTGACAGAGGCTGTAGAGTCAACTGGAAAGGATTTTTTGGGGCTCCCCTCATCATTCATTGGCATCTAGAGCAACATGCCATTTTCTCCATTTTCAAGCAGCTACAAAGGAAGACTAAAGGCTCACATTTGAAAGGACTACGATTTTCCAACTAGTTTGAGCCTGCCTGCAAGTGAGCTTTGTAAACTAAGAACAGTTTCCAGTGCACACTTTCTTCCTTCTCCATAAGGCTGGGTAATAATCTCCTTTCTAGAAGAAAGTCACGTAAATCTGGGGCTGCTATGAATTTTCAACTGGTGTCAGACCAACATGAGAGCTAAAGTGCACAAAGCGAAATGCAGGCGTGGTGTGGCCTTTACAAAACAAAACCAGAAAGTCTTCTATCAAAAAAAAAAAAAAAAGCCCGAATTTAGAATCTAAGTTTGTACGAATTTTAGAAATGGAGACTTTCTGCTTCCTGCCCACTTTCCTACACAAGAGAGGCACTCTACTTGTAGAACTTTTGAACAATCATTGAATAGGATGTGTAGGTAGATGGAGCATACACTAGAAGGACTAAGAAAATATCCTGTGTGTGCAGAGAGGGCAGTGATGAGAACTGCCGTAACCAGAAAAGATTATGTTTATGGGGCCTCTCCCATGCTCATGAGATTATATTAACACTAATAAGCACAGGTGGTCATAATTTTTGTGAACAGAGAATCAGAAGGAAAATTTAAGTTCTAGAAAGATATTCTGGGTCTAAAATCATTCATAGCTAAGAGTCAAACTGGATTGTTTATTTGGGAGGATGTCTGAAGTCCTCAGGCCTCTCATTTTGGAGGTCAGGAAGTAGGCGCCCAGAAAGGTCAAGTTACCCAAGGTTGCAAAAGGGAAGAACTCTGTAAACAACTTGATTTCCAGGGAACCTTTCCCATCCACGTCAACCAAGACTAAAACTGGCTTCTCAGCCCACACAGTCAATGGGAGATAGTGGTCTTTTCTTTAAAAGCAAGTCCATTGTGTATCAGTTGGCCCTTGCTCAATGGCTCTTGACTTGTCTACCACGACCAGGACTCCTCTTAGCTGCCCAGCATCTCTCTATTGGGTAAGAGTGTTTATACTTTAGCAATAAAGGAAGGATTTGTATAGGATTTCACAGTTGGCCAGACTTTTCATACACATCATTCTCATGTGTCCCAAACATCTGTTTTGTGAGGTATGTGGTTCCCATTTTAACAGATAAGGAATGACTTAAGGGCATACAATTAAGTGGCAGATGTGGGGCCTGAACCCAGCATTCTTATTCCAATTCAAAATTCTTTTTGCAACATGATAATGCAAGTTGTCCAGGACATGAGAAATTCTTCTCTAGGAGCCAGGTAAAAGCAGCTTTCCTTCCTGGGCAGGTTGGGTGCTTCTACTCTAAGTAACTACACTTTTTATCTTACAGAACAAAACAGCAGTAATGGGGAGAATTAGGACCAGGTACAGTTGTATTAGAAGCAGGTGATATGTCAGGTCTCATTACATAAAATAACAATATTGTGAAAACGTCTCTCCTCTCTGTAAGGGCATGTTTTCTCAAGATGCACATCTAATTATGGTGACAAGGGCGGGGAGAAGAACTATGTTCTGAATGTTCTTTTGTCTCTGTGTGTGATTCTCACATACTTTGCTCTCATGTGTACTGAAATCAACCTGAGCATTATGAGAATGAAAAGTGAGGACTGTTATTCCATATTTTAGTTTCTCTGAGAACTTCCTAAGGTCAGCCTTAGAAAATATTTTGAAAATCCATTACACTTCCCTATCCAATGGGGAAAAGATTAAATGGGTTAGATTTTTGTGAGATAGAAACATTCTATTTGTCTATTAGACAGAGAAACAAAGCATTAAGCTCAGATTTTTATGGAGAACAAAACCTGGATGCTGAGAATTTTGTCTGTTACATCTTTTTTAAGTTACAGGGATTCAAAACACTGCAGGAAAATAATCAGTTGCCCTCTCACACTGTCAGAGGATATGGCATAACCTACTTCTGTCATTTACTGAACAAGAACTGGTGTGTGAGGTGGAAGGTTAAAAATGTATTGCCACAAGGCTCAATCCAATAGCAAGTCAAAAGGAGTAGGAATAAACTTTGGTGGAAAAACAAGTGGTTTTTAAATGGTTGACCCTCAATTGCAATGTCACAAAAGCACCTCTACCAAAGGTCTGGCCTTGCTATTAATGCAAGCATGAGCACTTATATGGAAAGAGCTTGGTCTGCTCAAACATTAATCTTTGACTATCTCTGAACCTGTCCCAGAGGAGAGAAGGAGGTGAGCTGCTTGATGACATACGCCAGAGCAGTGGGCATGGCCCTTCCAAGTGGGACACTGGCTTACCAGGCCAGAGGGTGAGATGGGATCCAGTGAAGCCATCTGTTCCATCATCCTGCTTTTCTTTCTAGTAGCTGAAAACTTACCCTGCTTTACACAGCTGACAGAGAAGTAATTTTCTACACCTTCCTTCAGGCAACTCTCTCCTAGGGTAGCATCCCCAGCCTTCTCATTTTCAAAGCTGAGTCCCTCATGTCACAGTGTTTGGCCACCACCTGTTCATCCTTCAGCACAGCTGATCACTATTTTCTAATCATGTCAGTCATTTGAGGACCGAAGTCATCCCCAGGTTTTGTCTCTTATACCTCTGACCATTGCTTAGGCCAAGATGGCATACCAGCTCTAACCCTCGCTTTACGTCGCCAATGTAAATTTCCCAATCTTCCATCCCCAAGAACATACTCTTCTTTAGATAGACACTTTCTCTCCTTTCAAATATCCTCCTTCAGGTCACTCTTTGGGCAAGAAAGCTAACTAATTCCTCCTAGGAGACCTTGAAGCTATAATATTACACGAGAACAGAACATAGGCTGAGGAAGTTAAAAAAAACTCAACAAAAGTACCTATAATTAATTTATCTTTACTGTGGAAAACAAGTACCATGCCAGGGACTCCCACTCATACCATCAAATTAACCCTCATGGAGTCCTTCAAGGTAGGTTTGGCTGTGGCCACTTCCGTGGTTGTTGTAGAGCCTGAGTCTGCTGTGGGTGGAGGAACTGCAGTTCAGTGTCTTGCAGATTCTAAAGCTGTGCTCAGACACATAGGCACTCACAGAGGGCAGGGACCCGGTGATGGGAAGAGTTGCATGCTGCAGATTAAATCATGTCCCTGCCTTATTTTACTTTATTTTTTATTCTTCTATAGCCATAGGAACATAGCTCTACAGGTAATTCACAAAACATACCCAGGACCAGCCAGTTTTGGGACTGGCAGAGTCATCTAAGTTACAGCCCTGCTCTTTCCTGGCAGCCACAATGGCCAGAAACAACTCCTTACCCCACCCAATCCCATCACCTCCTGACAGCCTTTTTGGTCATAAGATTTCTTTATGATCCCTTGCCAGAATATCAACAGTTCTATTTGCTCCCTGAATCCTCCCTAAATATTCCAAGTCTTATTTCCATTCTGCATATAGAAATACCATGTCCCGAGAGCGGTGGAGGACTGAAAGTTCACAATCTTTTGACCTCTTGGCTTTGGAAAACACTCAGGTCTCCCTGCTTCCACCATTCTGGCTAGAGGCCAGGCAGCATCTTCCTCTCTGCCTAGATGCTGCTGGGGAATGGCCCTGGTTGGGGTGACGGCTTTGCAAATGGGCCTGCCACTCATTGGAAGCACAGAGCAGGGAGGCTGACGGGGAGTATATTTCACCTCAATTTCACAATGGGCAGAACTCATTTCTAGGAAGTGATCAGGCCAGGTGCAGGCATGGCTGCCCATGCCCCCCATAGCTGCCTCTCTGTGGGACTGCGGATGTGAGGGCATGGGCGGGGTGGAGAGGGAGTTCAGCAACCCTCCTCTGGGCTCCCACTGTGCCTGTGCCCACCTGCATCCTACTTAACTCTCTGTATTGTGATTTTAAGCCTCTGTCTCCCCCATTGGACTGTGGGATCCATGAGAATAGGGTCTACATTTTCTCTTTTCCATCTCTAGCAGATGGCACTTTGCTAGCACATTACTAACTGTTCAGTAAATGTGTATTGGACCAGTGGAAGGAAAAACATTAATACCTTATGTGGATCACGTTCCTTGCTGCTAGGATCACAAACTGCTGTATCTCATCAAATGTCAGGGTCCTGTGCTCCTTCCTGCTCACAATCCTCCCTCCACACTGTGCTGACCCTTCTCCCTCTGACCTGTCCCACAGAGTGGGGTAAGGAAGCTGGCAGACAGAGCCATACCGAGTAGGTTTAAGGGAGGGACGAGGATGGTTCGAATTATAGTTTTCTAGGGCTTGAAAGGGGATTGTGTGAGTGACACAGAACAGCTGTTTCCACTTAAAATTGATTAGCAAGTATCGCTACAAATGAACTCAGAATTTAAAACAAAGCTCCATGGAAACGAATCATTCTAAATCATTCTAAACTGGCTGAAGTAAAGAAGTTTCTCCAGCTGATGACTAAAAAGTTCTCCTTTGGCCCTGCCTCTCCCCACTGGCCAGCCCTCTTCGAGGTTACACAGTAGAGATGGGATGAATCCCAATTCTTCCCTGCTAGCTGCTTGTCACGAATTTTAACTGGCCCCAGGCAAATGCCCTGGCACTGTCTGCAAAGCTGGAGGTAAAAATATCACCGGAGACAGAGGCAGCTGGGTTAGCCTGGCTCTGCTTTGGGGCAAGAGCCACACTCTTGGTGATTAACCTCAGAGCCTCCCTTGAGCCTCTTAGAATTGGTCCATCACTGCACTCAATAGTGAGTAACTGATGGGCTGCTGGACAGTGCTCTATCTATTAGCCCTGCAACACCTGGGAAGTTAAAACATAAAATACTGTTTGGTTTTTGAAATGGTCTCATTAGAGAGTTGAGTCTAATTCACAGAAACAAATAACCCTAAGGTGTGATACTCAAGGAAATTACAGAATCCTTAATGGCATACAATTGGGCAGTCTTAGAACATCTGATACAGGAAGTAAACCAAACAAAGAACATCAGTTTTTGAGGATAAATTTAAAGTACCTCAGCTATAAGCCCCAGTAAAGACAAGTTGTAGTATATCTTCTGGTCATCTAACTAATGGAAGTCACATTTTATTCCCATTATACTGGACACACATTAGCAAGCTCTGATCTCTCTAAAATTAGATCTTTGCAGAGATAGAGTTGGCTCATCCTGACAGGGCTGATGGGTGGTGAGGGCTCTAACGGCAACATGTTCCATCTGGGCAGATATTGTTCAGCTCAGCTTTATAAAGTGTTCTTTGTGCTTCAAGAGTTGATGTACTACTATGTGGCATGACCAAACAAAACTCAGTGGCCTACTTATTTTTCCACTTCTGCTTCCCACACAGAATAAGTCCGTAGCTGGTCCTAGCCAAACATCCCTACCCTCCCAACAAGAACTGGAAGATGCCATTTAGTCACTTTCCTACATTTAAAAACATGTGTCAAGATCATGGCTCAGGAACCATAGATAATCAAGACCCAGGGGGTTGTATGTTCTTTGGTCAAAGAGATTGAATGATACTCACTCAGAGGCTGTACCAATTTTAGGTTTTTACATTATCTTCTTTAATTGGAAGAACTCCCACTTGGGCAGAGTTAAAATAAACCCAATGTTTAATGCTTCCCTGGGGTAAAGCTAAAATGTGTATTAATTGTGGAATGGTGGCACGAACACAATCCCATGGCCCTATGCTGTGAAGAGCAGAGAAAGAAACATGGCCTGATCTGGAGAGAAAGTTCTCCAAATGTCAGCTGGGAAGGATCTTTAGCTGGTGAAAAGAGGAAGCAGAGCGGGGAGATGGTGACACCAAAGTCCTCTTGCCCAAAGTTACATCTATAAGGTTCTGTGATAATGTGTCTGGATTTCTGAGCAGACAAGTTGTATTATAGTTGGCTGACGCAGCCAGAATTGACGGACATTAGGGATGGGGAGTTGGAGGGCTTGGAGGTTAAGATGTGCAGAAGAAACGGCCCAGGCAGAAACATTTCCCACATCTTTAGCCATTAGAAACCACCTGTCACTCACGAGATAAATTTGGCCCCTTGGGCAAAGGGGGTTGCTGGATTTCTTTCATTTTTGTCATGAATCCATCCAACATTTAAAATATGTCAAGGAGTTTGCCATCAGTGAAGACACAAGTGTAATTACGGCATAATCTCTGCCCTCAAACTTGCTCCTATTTTGGGGAAGAGAGAAAGTAAACAGGCAGCTTCGATTTCTTGTGCTCAGTGTGCTGAGAGGGACTGGATGGGAAGCTCTGGGAGCATATAGGACTGGCAGATATTACAAATTTGGTGGCAAGAGGATCTCTGCTATATTGTGGTGCTTCCCAGAAGAGTTGGTTACAACCAGCAAATGATATTCTATGCAGTGAATTGCCTTGGGGATATACCTTTAGGTTGGCACTGACAATGATGTATCACAATGATGTTAAGAAGATACCTTCTTGGCCCCATATCAGGCACGTAAATATGAAATAATGCACCCTGGGCATTGGATAAACTCTGACCTTCTGACATGGTCCAAAAATACAACTCTGGGGAAAACTAGGCCTGCTGGGAATCAGGAGGATATAATCAGGGAATGAGAAGGAAAAACATATTGACAATATTAAGAGCAAATTCATACTGAGCACTTAAGACGTTTTACCAGGGTTACTGCATTTGATTCTGTCAACAAGCCACCGAGGAAGGAGCTATTATTTCCATTTCATAGATGAGTAACTGAGGCTCAGAGAGGTCAAGTAGCTTGCACATGATCACACAGATACTATGTGGTGGGTGCAGGAGTCAATCTCAATTCTGATCCTAGGGTTGCAGTGAGGATTAAATAAGTTAATACTCCCAAAGTGCTAGGAACAGGGCCTGAAATACAGTCAGCACTCAATAATCGTTGACCATGATTACTAACACAGACAAATCTCTGTCACAGACCTCCTCCAAGAGAAAAACAAATGATCTCCCCTCAAAGAACCAATCTAATGTCAACCCCTCAGTGATTAAAAACACTAATTATCTGGCTGAAAAGGAGGAAAAAAATGAGCCAAGAACTTGCCAGCTCCCTCTGTCCAACTAGCCATCAGGTCCACCAAGAAATGAGAACATGGTCACTATGGCCAGGGCAGCCCTCCTCAGAGACAAGCTCCTGCCCGAGGAGCTACTGCTCCTGCACAACAGGGCAACAGCCCTCCCAGGAGCCCACACCAAAGGAGAACTCCTGCCTCATTGCCCCTCACTTTCCTCTCAGGTTGGATGTCTCAGTGTTACTGAGATTAAAATACTTTCCTTAGTCAAAATCCTCCTGATTCCCACAGCAGCAGGAGGGTGTGAGGTCTTTATGGGGGCTGAAAGATGAGATTTGGTGAATTACACTTTCCACCCTTGTTTTTCTCCCCCAGAAGATGTAGATCCTCTGGCTACAGGGATAAGCAGACACCTGTTTTCTTTCTTTTAAAGAAAGCAGTGTCTGTCTACAAATTTCCTTATGTATTTCTCAGGTTTGAAATGTTCTATGTTCCATTTTCCTTATGTATTTCTCAGGTTTGAAATGTTCTATGTTCCATTTTCTTTTCTTTTGAGACAGAGTCTCGCTCTGTCACCCAGGCTGGAGTGCAGTGGAGTGATCTTGGCTCACTGCAAGCTCTGCCTCCCAGGTTCATGCGATTCTCCTGCTTCAGCCTCCCGAGTAGCTGAGACTACAGGCACCCGCCACCACGCCTGGCTAATTTTTTGTATTTTTAGTAGAGACGGGGTTTCACCGTGTTAGCCAGGATGGTCTCGATCTCCTGACCTCATGATCTGCCCACCTTGGCCTCCCAAAGTGCTGGGATTACAGGCCTGAGCCACCGTGCCCGGCCTCATTTTCTTCCTTCTCTCCCCATCCCAATCTGTTTGGAGGCCTTTGCATCCCAATGGGATTTCTAGTAGATTGTTATAACCACCAGCAGTGGGGCTGGATGTTGATGTAGTCTTTTTATTTTTACTATTTCTCAAGCTACTTTCAAAAACTACACCTCAGGTTGTTTCACCATTGACTAATAAATGTTCTTAAATACATTTTACCCTTCTCTCAGTAAATCAAGGCTAGAATATTTAGACAGGAAAATGAGAAATAAACAACTGAGAACGATATTAGGAAGAAGCTGTCATTCCTGCAATCTTTAAAATAAAATAGATAAGCAAGTATTTTTGTGTTATTTCTTTGAAGAACTCAAAGTAACATCCAATTAACCCTGTGAAATAAATATGAGAGAAATATTAGGTGCATTTTTCTCATGAGAAAAACAGAGGAGAAAAGTGATTTGCTTGTTCACAACACATCATGTAGTTAAGCAGAGCTTGTAACTACATACAGACCTCACAATTAGCCAGTAAATGTAATAGCTAACCATCGGGAAGCATGAAGTGGCCCAAATAAGACAAAACAACCCATCTGTCACAAATGGCTGCTATTTGTGGGGTACGAACTTGCCAGAGTCCTCACCAGTTCTCCCTGACATGGAGTGGGGTCTCAGTGGCCATTCCTGGGCCTTTACTCAACCTGCGATACCCAGTTCTGCTACCTGCCTGAAGGTATAAGACCCCCTGTCTACACAAATGTAGACGTTGCTTGAATCCTGGAGACTTGTTGCATGGGACAGAGGCAAGGCAAAGAGGGTTAGTGATGAGAGATGCTAAAATTAACTGAAGATCTCTTGGGAGAGATGAGCTTGAGCTTGGCCACGCAAGATGTGTTGTCAAGGTGGAGAGGAAAGTAAAAAGGCGTCAGAGAAGGCCACTAGCTCTAGGTCTTTGGGCAAGTTTCTTATCTTGACCTTGATTTCTTATAACAAATAACTTTGACTTATAATAAATAACTGTCAAACTAAAAACAAACCAACTACTATGTAAAGATAACAGAAATTGCCACAAATTTGGCTTCTTGAAGTGGCAGCTAATACAATAAATATGGGAGCTCATTCATTGCAGATCCAATCAATAACTGGGCGCTAGTCTAATAACCAGGTCCCTGGTACCTGATTTGACAAAGTCCTTCAAAGGAGTTTGAGAATGAAAGCCAAAAAGACTATGGTCCTCAAGGTGCGCCCCAAACAGCCAGGACACAGGCTTCCTGAGTTCTCTCCTGGGGAGTCCTATAAATGTCCTTTTTGACCTTGGCAAACCACTTTGGCTGCTGCCTCATGTTTTCTATCTGCAAACAGTAGCTAATGAGTGATACCTTCCCATGGGGTTTGGGGTGGATTAATTAGTGAATGTCTGTCATTTGCTTTGAAGACCAGAGCTCTACCTAATGTAAATGAGAAGTTAATTCCCTGAGAAAAAGACGCTGCCTCACAGGACAGTGGCTGTTCTCCATCTGAAGGGATAAGATCTTCCCCGCGTTTTCATCTGTCAGAAGAAAGGGGTTTGTTTAATTAGCAGGCAATGTTTTTCTGGAACCAGCCTCTGAATTAGCAAAGAGGCTGCAACTCCCAGTGTATTATTATCATTTGTCTTTTCCGCTGCTGACATTTGCAGTCTGTTGCAAGTCACAAATTCCTAAAGGATAGACATACTGGGGAGAAACTAAGTGGGGAAGGTGACAAGCCAGTAAGGATGTCTGCTGAAATTGAAATTTAAAACCTCGCAAGAAACATCTGCAAGCTTATCTGGGCAAAATGGTAGCAGAGAAAGTCAAGGTCTGGTGGGACTAGGGGTAAACGCCTTCCCATTTTGTGTTTCTATTTTCCTGTCTCTGAAACAGGGATGACAGTCTTCAGCGTTTTGTTCCTTTGGCATGTTATATGGGCTGGTGCTGTCACCTGTGTCCACTGCTTCACGATTTTTGCCACAGCTTGCCCTATAAACATGAGTTGTTTTTCCATTGGAGATAGATCCCACTTAGTTCCCTGCCACCTGGATGGTATCTTTGGAGTGGCAGAGATGACAGTTTTTAACCACTGTCAAAAGTTATTTTGCTTGTTTGCTTATTGATAGGCTGCCACTCTCTACTACACCAATGGTTCCACGAGGGCAGGCCCTTCATCCATCTTACTATCGTATCCTCAGTGCCTGGAACTTGCCTGGTGCATAGTAGTTGCTCAATGAATACTGTTTGAGTGAATTACTGCCTGTCATCTGTACACTACTGTTCCAATGACATCAGATTCCTGTTTAGAAGAGGAGGAAGTCTCCATATCCAAAGCATTGTGGGTTGAATTATGTGTTAGTCTTCTTGTGTTGCTATAAAGAAATACCTGAGGCTGGGTGACTTATAAAGAAAAGAGGTTTAGTTGGCTCATGGTTCTGCAGGCTGTCCAGAAGGCATGGCACTGCCAGCTTCTGGTGAGGCCTCAGGGAACTTTTACTCATGGCAGAAGGTGAAGTGGGAACAGGCACAGCACATGGTGGAGGGTAAGGTGCCACACTCTTTTAAATAACCAGATCGCATGTGAACTACCAGAGGCAGAACTCGAACTTGCTTATCACCAAAGGGATGGCACTAAGCCATTCATGATCAAATCCCCTCCCATCAGGCCCCACTTCCAACATTGGGAATCGCATTTCAACATGATTTTGGAGGGGAAAAACAATCATATGCCCCCAAAAGATATGTTCAAGCCTTAACCCCTAATACCTGTACATGTGGCCTTATTTGGAAGTAAGATCTTTTGCAGATATAATTAAGATGAGATGAGGTCATAGCATGGATCCCTAACTCCAATATAACTGGGGCCTTTAAAAGAAGAGAGAAATTTGTACATAGAGACACAGACACATGGAGGAGAATGCCATGTGAAGACAAAGGAAGGGATTGGAGTGGTGCATCCATAAGCTAAGGAATACTAAGGATTGCCAGCAATCGTCACAGGCTAGAAGAGGCAAGGAAAGATTCTTCCCTAGAGCTATTGGAGGGAGCATGGACCTGCTGACACCATCATTTCAAACATCTAGCCTTTAGAACTGTGAGAGAATACATTTCTGTTGTTTTAAGCCACCCAGTTTGTGGTACTTTGTTATATCAACCCTAGGAAACTAATGCCTGAAGGTTATCACAGTCTAACAAGAAACCCTTTGGGGAATGAAACAGGAAGTCCTGCTCACCGTTGCTTAGAAGCTCCGTTTACTATGACCTCCACTGCGGAGCAAGGCAGTATGTTTTTAATCACAGCAGATTTATCATAGTGGTAACAGATTGTGGATAGGAAGGGACGGAAATAGGTAGAATTATTGAAGCTTCCCTTTGTGCCAAGGATCCTCCTGACCCTTGCTGGTCTGTCTGGTCTTCAAGTATGGCCACCTGAGGTCCTTCCCACATTTCTCCCAGGGTTAGCTTTACTTGGCATGTTCACCCCCATGAATACTACCAGCTCTTCATTGGCTGCCTTTCATTTTGAGGCTTTGTGTTCTACTTTGTGTGGTCTGTATTCTGTTTCTCGTGAAACCACTGCAGCCTGAGTGACAGTTATGTTTTAGGGTATTTTTTCTCATACTTAATGGTTATATTATCAGTAAGGTCCAAAGAGTCAGCTGAAATGGTACATCCATTGCTCTGAATTATACTTCCTTTTCTAACTAAGGAATATTTAAGAATTCAATTCAAATATAGAGGGAATATCAATGGTTCTTGGTTCTGATTTTTAGCTCTTTAAGGAAGACTCTATTCACTCTAGAGTAGTGATTCTCAAACTTGTTTAGGCTATAGACCCTTTGGGAGTCTGAGGATGTTATAGAGTCTCTTCCCAGGTAAGTGAATATCCACACAACATCTGGATGAGGCCTTGTGTCCCAAGTTAGGAACCCTTGTTCTACCCTAACTGGATCATCTTTTCCTTCATCTCAGTTTGGCAAAAAGGGAAGCCACTTGGCCCTTCCAATGACTTCTCAGGAGAAGGGCTAGTTGTTGGAAGACAGTGGAGTCCTGACCTTTTGGTTGCTCTCATCTCTTTTTTCTTTTTTTAGATAATTCGCCAGTGTGATTATTAATCTTATGTATTAACTTGACAGGGACATGAGGTACCCAGATATTTGGTCAAATATTTTTCCGGGCGTGTCTGTGAGGGTGTTTCTGGATGAGATTAACATTTAAATCAGTAGACTGAGCAAAGCAGATGACCATTATAATGTGGGTGGACCTCACCAGTTGAAGGCCAGACTAGAACTAAGAGACTGAGGAAGAGAGTCTTCAATCTCTCTGGCTTGCAATTGAGGCATCAGTCTTCTGCCTTTGGACTGGAATTTATACTATTGGCTCACCTGGTTTTCAGAACTTCAGATTCAGACTGAGCAACACCATTGGCTCTCCTGGACCTTCAGCTTACCAAGTGTGGATCTTGGGACTTCTCAGTCTCCATAACTACTGCATGAGCCCATGCCTTATAATAAATGTATGTATGTATCTATCTAATCTCATTGGTTCTGTTTCTCTGGAGAAATTTGACTAATACAACCAGGGGAAGAGGCAACAGGATCTACACCTCATTTTACCTTTGAACTAGTTCTTCCTCAGTGGTTCTTGGCATTTTTTTGTGTATGTGTTCAAACCAGAAACTCCTAGGAATATTTCTGGTGTATTAACTAGTATAACATAGTATGCTTACAGATTTTAAGAAAAAGTCTACCAGACTAGGGAGTCTGACATGGTCTTCACACAACTGTAATCATAAGAGGTGGTTTTGTTTTACTTACAGCCAACTGATCTTTGATAAAGCCAATAAGAACTAACATTGGGGAAAAGACACCAAAGAACACGAATAGACATTTCTCCAAAAAAACAAAACAAAACAAAACAAACAAAAAACCATACAAATGGCCAGTAGGTGTATGAAAAAATGCTTACCATCACTAATCATCAGAGAAATGCAAATCAAAACTACAATGAGATATCTTGTTCCAGGCAGAGTGGCTGTTATTAAATAGACAAAAATAACAAATGTTGGTGAGGATTTGGAGAAACGGGAACTCTTATATACCGTTGGTGGGAATGTAAACTAGAACAGCCACTGTGGAAATTGCATAACAATTTCTGAAAAAACTGAAAATAGAATTACCATTGGATCCAGCAATCCCACTACTGGGAATCTACCCAAAGTAGAAGAAATCAATATATCAGAAGAATACCTGTTTATTGCAGCACTATTGACAATAGCAGAGATACGGAATCAACCTAAGTGTTCATCAATGAATGAATGGATAAAGTAAATGTGGTGTATATATACACAATGGAATACAATTCAGCCTTAAGAAGAATAAAACCATGTCATTTGCAGCAACATGGATAGAACTGGAGGTCATCATCTTAAGTGGAATAAGCCAGCCACAGAAAGACAGATACTGCTTGTTCTTACTCATATATTGGAGCTTAAAAAATTGATTACATGGAGGTAGAGAGTGTAAAAGATAGATAACAGATACTGGGAAGGGTGAGTGTGGGGAGGGGGAAGATGAAGAGAAGTGACTTAAAGGGTGCAAAGATACAGTGAGATAGAAGGAATAAATTAAATGTTTGATAGCAGAGTAGGGTGACTATACTTAAGAAAAATATATCGTACTCAAGTGATGAACACCTAAACATACTGACTTGATCGGTACACATTATATACATGTAACAAAATTTTAAATGTACTCTATATTTGTACAAATAAAACCTAAAAAAAGATAAGTTATGTTTGCTTTTTTTCCCTCAACATACAGCTCCATTTATAATACATATGCACCCTGAGGATACTGATATTTAAAAAATGGATTCTTGAAACTGGCTTATGTTAGTCTTTGGTTTGTCAGTTTAAGAAAAAGGTTACCTAATTTTCCAATTATTTAGTTGGTCATATATACTTTGTCCCAATGTATACATTTTCTTTTCCACTATATTTGTCAGTCTGCTCTTGGTGGTAGAGGTAACAATCCAGGTGGAAGTTACGTCCCCCTGAGAAGAGGCAGCTGCTTTTCGCTATTATCAGAATCACCACTCTCCTTTACTTGACCTAAAGTACCTGCTCTATTGGGAGGGGGTAGAGGGAGGGGCAGAACAGCACCAGCCTTCCTTGAACAAGAGCCACTGAATTAGTGGGAGCAAGGTGGGGTCATTGCAATGTTCCCCAGGCAGTGGGTGAGCCTTGTCTAAGTCCAGAAACCTCTCCCTCTCCATTCCCACAGCACATCCTGGATCCTGAAGCTCCAACCGCAAGCCTAGTGGGGAACCACTGTTGTGTCAGACCAATCTGGTTTTCAGTTGCAGCCAGGGACCTTCCTCTTACTAGTGTGTGACCTAGGACAAGTTCCTTAATCTCTGGAAGCAGCGTGTGCCTAGGGCTGAGTGAGAATGATAGTAAATGGAAAGCACTCGAAGGCAGTGCCAACGAACTGTGGATGCTCAGTAAATAGTAGCTGCTGGCTGGGGGCAGTGGCTCATGCCTGTAATCCCAGCACTTTGGGAGGCTGAGGTGGGCAGATCGTTTGAGCCCAGGAATTTGAGATCAGCCTGGGCAACATGGCAAACCCCATATCTACAAAAAATACAAAAATTTAGGTGAGTATGGTGGCATGCACCTGTGGTTCCAGCTACTTGGGAGGCTGAGGCAGGAAGATCACCTGAGCCCAGGAAGACAAGGTTGCAGTGAGCCACGATTGCACCACTACACTCCAGCCTGGGCGATAGAGGAAACCCTGTTTTTTAAAAAAACAGTAGCTTATTTCCTAGCAATCTGCACTAAAACTCTCATGGCAGCCTCTTAAAGGGCCTCCTTTCTCTTCTGCCTCTTCCACCTTGTACACTAATTCAGCTTAATCTTTTAAAAATAATGTCAGTTCCCTGAACAAACATTTTCCATGGAAAAATATTTAATAGTGTCCCAAATCCTTTACTCTGGCTGGTAAGATTGTGGATGCCTAATATTTTCTTCTTTGTTTCTGTCTCTTCTTATTAACCAGAAAAAAAAAAAAAAAAAACCTTCCACACTTTTCCTTTTTCCATAGTAGTGAGAACAGTTCTGAGATCACTCTCTGGTGGCCCTCCTTGAATTTGTCTTTATTGGCTGTGTCACCATGTCACTTACCCTCCCTCGATCCCAGATTATCCACACCTGTAAAATACAGTTCATACAAGGACTGAATGAGAAAATGCATGTAAAACACCCAACACAGTCCTTAAGCAATGGAAGCTTGGGTACTGAGAAGTGCCTGTAATACTGGCCTTGTTAAGTATTTGTTAACAGATCAGTGGAACACAATCAACTACTTCTCTCTCATTTCCTAACCCTCTATAACCTAAAACCTTACCCTTGGCCTCAGTTCAGAGTTCACTGTCAGACTGGGTTTTATTTTGGTAGGGTCAGCCTGGCTGTCCTTGTGTTTTCATCTGTCTCTGACTGCATGCTTCCAAGGCCATGGCACTGTCTTCCACACCACATGGGCAAATCCAGGAGTAAAGGCTTCCTAAATTTTGTTAAGGGTGAGAGTGTTGTGCATAGGAGAAACTGACAGCCAGAGACACCCTTGGAAGGCCGTGGCCAGTTCCACAGGACATGTCCACTTGGGCTGTATGGAGTCTTCAAACCTTTGGACCTCATGCTGGTCAGTACTATGAGCAGCAGCCTCAAAAGGGATAGCTGTGGACTATCTATTGGTGCCTTGTCAGTTACTATTTAAAGCAAGTCCTGCAGACCTGGTCTCTGCCTCTAGGATCAGCTCAGGGCAAACAGAGGAGTGGATCAGACATCACTTGTGCATTTTCTGGAATGTACAGACATGCCCTCAATAAAGAGTTAGGCATCATAATATGTCCTGGTTCAGTATATTGTTCATATCTGTTTTTTAATGGTTGAAACTCTAATATCACTTGGTATTGGTTTTCTATTCATGCATGCAAGTGCTCTGCGAAAACTTTATGTATTCATTTGTATGTGAGTATTTGTAAAAACCTCAATAAAAAGTTATTAGCAATAATGGAAAGAAAAAGTATAAAAATCTTGGATGTGCAGTAAAAGGAGATTTTGACTATTTTCAGACCCACACTAGATCTCAAGTCATCAGGATTCCTTGAGGCATCGAGGTCACCATTGTCTCTTGCCTAATACAACAGCCTGCTAAGTGGTCTCCCAGACACTACACTTGCTTTCCTGCAATTCTCCACACAGCAACCAGAGTGATCTGTAAAATAGTCAATTAGGTCACATTATTCCCTTCCTTAAAACTCTTTGATGGACACTTAGTTCACTTAGAATAAAATCTCCCCTCTTAACTTTGCCTGCCGGCCCTGCGTGATCTGTCTGCCTCATTGCTTTCTTCAGCCTTCCTTCCTCCCTCTTCTCTCCCTCTCACCATTCTCAGCCACACTGGCCTTCTTTCTGTTTCTTCAATGCACTCAGCTCCCCTCTACAACGTGCCCCCTCCCCCCAGGCCTTTGCATGTGCTGGTCCTTCTGCATGGGATGGTCTTCTCTCAGCTGCTCATGAGGGTGGCTCCTTCTCATTTTCACTTTTAGAAAGCCCTTCCCCAACTACCTTCTCTAATGTAATTCCCCACTCCATGGCTATTCTCCATTGTGGCAAATAAGGATCATACTGTGTAATTATTCTACTTGCTTAATTTGAGTTTTGTTTTCTCCCCCTAGTACATTGTTAGATTGTAAACTGCATGGTAACAAGGGCTGTACCTTCCATCCCCAGCATCTAGTACAGTGCCTGGCACTTAGTAGGCACTAAATAAATATTTGTCAAATCAATGAAGTGTTATATCTTTGTGCACTTAAAATTAATGGTCACTGGAGTCTATTAGGGGACCACTTTCTCTTGCCTTGTGCATATATCTTTTCCTCAGCGGTAATGATCTCCTTTTATCTGTCAGTAGATGGAGTATATACACTCAAAGATAAGCCTTCTTAGGATAATTCCAGTTGAAATAGCTCATAAATGGTCCCTGCAAGTATTCTGAGAGTACAGCCAGGAGACGGAAACATAGTCCTCTAGAGTTTCAACTAGAACTAACTTGTAGAGCCTCTTTCAAACAGGAAAGAAAGAGGAAGGAAGTCTAAATTCTCCAAAAATGGTGAATGATAAAGCCAAGTGAAGGCTACACTTCCTCTCTTAAAAAATCACTACCTCCCACAATTAATTAGAGAAAAAAAAATCTGATAAAAGTAGACTTGTGGAGGTGGAACAGAGTTGGGGTGAATGAATAGTAAAGGAACTTTCCTCTTAAATATGGGGAAGAAGAAAAGGAAAATAAACTTAGACACTGGACCAGATAGTCCAAAAAGGAATCCCTTAGCACATACCATATGGAACAATATGAGTTTTAATTCAAGAGGAAAAGGAGACAGATTTTGGCACTGTTACTTTTCCAGCTCCTTTTACTACCAGCAGATTGATTCCATTTCTTATGCCCTGAGGCTTTTCCTGTTTCCTGTCATGTGAACTTAGAAGCATTTTCCTCTACCCACTCCTACTCTTAGCCCTCTCCCCTTCCCTATTTTTTGTTCTTCCTCAAACATCTTCCATCTATGGCCACCTACTGGAGATACAGAAATATCTCCTAAGATTGTTCTTATTCTACATGCTTGGGGGTAATATTCTAAATGTAACAGGATTAACAGACATTCTGACTTCAAAATCTTGATGAATGCATTCTCATACTGTTCAGCAATGTGGTACTAGGTGCAGATTTTCCAGGCTAAAGGAAAAAAATCATGAGATCATTTTTATGAAGAGCAGTGCAAATTCTTTCAAATTCATTCTAAATTCATTGAGCACTAACTAGTCTAATTCCTCTTTTATGTTCCACTAGAAGTTGCAGACTTAGATTTTCTAAATAGCTTGCAACCCATGTCAACAAGGCATTTTTCTATATGGACATTTTTTTCTGTATGCACAAGTACTATCTATTTTCTCTGCTTACATTTGTTTGATAAAGAATAGATCTCTATAAATCAGAATCTGAGTTTTCTTTAAATAAACAATTACATATGATACTATAGTGGTAGATACATGTCATTACAAATTTGTCAAAACCCACGGAATGCATAACACAACCTCAATGTAAACTATGGACTTCGGCTAATAATGTGTCAATATTGATGTTAATAACAGAGGAAACTATGTGTGGGACATATGGAGTATATGGCAACTCTGTACTTTCTGCTCAATTTTTCTGTAAATCTAGAACTGCTCCAAAATGTAAGGTCTATTAATTTTTAAAAATATGAAAGTTTATAATCCCTTGGTTTTCAGATATTTGATGATATCAAAGATTGTTTTACTGAACTACTGTGAATAGCCTGAAAACACAGCAACAGTGAACCATAAAGAGGCATGTAAACTTCCACTATCTTAATGAGATGCTGATGTAACACTGAAGCCTGGATAACCCTAACTGTGTTTGACACATTCCGTTCTCCATCTTCCCGATTCAAAACCCTACACGGTATTCAAAGCCCAGTGCAATGCCATCCCCTTTATCAGAACCTCCAACCCTCCACCTGGAAGTAATTTCTGTCACTCCTACACCCTGGTGGTAATTTGCTTGAACTTTTCCAGCCTTCACATGTTGTACACAGGCCTCTCCTGTTTCTACCACAAGATGTCTTTAGCTGCTAGAAGATGTTTGGATTGTTCTCCTTGATTAGCTTGATTTTTCCCCCTAATATTCGCTTCGTTATGGACCCCAGGGGTTGTATGTTGGTAACAATGCCTGGATCATTCCTCTCTAATAACACTGTCCTTGCCTATCTGCAAGTCTGAATGTTTTGTGATGTTGCATATTCTGCTGTCAGTTTTGCTTGACCACATCTGACCCATTTAGGGATCTTGCCAGAGTCCTGAACATATAACTTATTGCCTACTGTGTGCCCTGAACTTTCCACTCGAGTTGACCTTTGCAAGCAGTACTTGCTCTAAAAGGGTATCAAAGTCAAACGACCAACTTTTAATAATCTAACTACACAAGAACAGGGAGATGTTTCCCAGCCTTAGCGCAGCCATAACCCAAACAACACATTGCTCCATAATGCTCACAATAAATCCTGTATATTGCATAAAGGATGTTTCCCATTAAGGGCAACCTTACAGCTCTAGCAATGTTTTTTGTCCGTTGAAGGTGAAGGTGTGTATGTGTTTGGGGTGGAGGTGGCGGTAGGGGAGTTAGTTGATGGGTGAGTAAAGAAAACAGATAAGAGTCTGAGACCAGGGGCTGACCAGAGTACTTAGTAGAACAACATGGCCAAAATGAAAAAATAAAGTTGTAGAACCCGTACAGGTAATTCTCCTTTGCATTGGCAGCATCAGATCCCTATTGACATGAAATTTGAAATCATTGGTTAGCAAAACAATTTTGATTTCCCATTGAGTTCTTGGGGAGGGGGTGCAAATAACATTGGTGAAGCTGGGCTGCCCGACTCTGCCATCCTCCCATATGGCAGGTGTGCAGGCCACCTTGGCCTCCTGCGCGTGCTGCTCCTCATGGGCAGCTGCAGTCCGCCCATCGTCTCTGGGGCTGATGGAGAAGTGCTCGCCTCTCTGGCAGAGGGAGCTTCACTTCTGTTCCATTCATCTCCCTAGCTGCTCAGCAGTTCCTCCTTTTGGAGGCTGCTGTTCCTCTCCTCTTCCGAGGCTTGGGCATCCCAGCTGCAGGACCTGGGAGCCCAAGCCCCCAGGCCACGTGAGCCTCGTGCCCCGGTGCACAGCAGCCCCGCTCCTGCCCAGCCGTCAGCGCTCACTTTCCTCCCAGCTTTTGTTCCGCACCTTTCCTCCCTACAGGTTCTGGCACTGCGCCTTGCTGCTGACTTGTATTTTTTTCTCCATGATACAGGAGGGAGGGTAATTAGGAGGAAATCCTGAGAATCTTCAAACTACTGGAAAAAAAAGAAAATGCTGGCGGCGCTATTCATGGAAAGTGGAATTTGGCCTGGCTGTGACCTCCCCCATGCCTGGCTTAGACTCCTGGTGGAGGAGACAGATGGTGAGGTGAGGAAAGCTGTGTGACCCGATCACTGCCGGCCAGAGCAATCGGCAGGAGCAGTGAAGAGGAGATCATTTTAAAGCAAACATGGACTTTAGGGCAGGAGAGTAGAAGGGTAAATCTTTATATATTGGAAGCCAAGGCATTTCTGAATGGAATGAGCTTAGCAGTTTTATTTTAAATTCAGCGCCAAGAGGTAGACAGTGGACTTGCCCAGCATCAAATCTCACATTCAACACTGGGGACAGCTAGCTCAGAATCTGAAAGGGACAGTCATGGTCCCTTTCTAAGGAAATGTTCCCAGCAGTTAAGTAATCCGATCTGAATTGTGGAATAAATGGTGCTTTGAAATGTGTTTCTCATTAATCTTCATTTAAATGTAGACAGCTAAGTGGTTTGGATGTTATTTTGAGAGTGTCTCTTTAACCAAAAATTTATTATTAATGGCAAATATTTTAGGGCATGGTTGGCTGAATTTTCCTGGGTGTCAAACACATACTGTTTCCTGAAAATCATAAAATGTCCTCCTTCTGTTCCTAACAGAAGTGACATATCCCATTGTCTTGTTTCCACAATGCTTAACTGTGTTATAACAAATGTCAATGGTGAATTAACTATCCCTTTGAATGTTTCAAATGTGACTTTTAATTAAGCATATTAACCTGATATATTATCATTTGAGAAGCAACTAAGATTATATGAATTTTAAACTTTTGGATGCCCGCAGAACATGAAAAGCACTTTATGAGGCTTGCATTAATGCATATTTCATTATAATGTAATTCTATATTAGATATTCCATTTATGCATAGAGCCAAAATAGTTTCTGCTCTGTAGTGACGCTGATTTAAATGAGTAAATCACAAGGAATCGAGAAATCTTAACTCTTTGTGAATCTCAGCATTATCATGCATATAAAGAAAGTCTTTGTGGGCAGAATCTTACCTTTAGTTAATAGAGTACAGCATTTTTTATTCAAGTGGGATGGGGTAAGAGAGGATGGATGAACTATTTCTTCTGTATAACATTAACTGATTAGAGACAATCCTGAGCATTCCCTGAGCATTTTTCATTTACTCCACATATAGCAGCTGATCAGTTTTGCCACACAGAGCAGTCAATAAGGCTGAAGTACACATGAGAGGGTTATGAGGGGCTGGTGGGCTGCCTTGCCCACATGGGTAAGGAGAACATGTGCAATATTAATGCATAAAGAAACTCTGGGAGCTAGATGCATGCTACTCTGCAGGGCTGCCTTAAAGTATCCTGTGTAATATTACTAATAGACCTTTTACAATTTTTATAGCTTCCCGAGTTATTTTTGAGTCAGTGCTAGCATTCAATTATTTCCTGTTGAATAGGGAACAAAACAGGCCTAAAGACTGAAAGGAAAAGCTGCTGTGGGGAGCGGTCTCTCCAGATGGAAGTTTTCTGGCAGATTGTGATTTGTGACTCAGAATGAGCCCAGATTACTGTGCCATATGGGTGGCAGCAGTGCCTGTAGACACTATTCAGTTATTCAGTAGGCTCCTCCTGAACTCCTACTATGCGTTGGTTACTTGCCGGGCACTGGGAAACAAAGATGAGTAAGCGATAGTATCTGCCACCAAGGAGTCCATTCATTTATTCATTCATTCATTTAACCAACATTTACTGAGCATCAATGATGTGCATTGTATATTAGGGGAGTTGAGCACGTAAACATAGAGTAAATTACCATATGGTGTGACAAAATCAGTTATAGGAAAAAAATGCTCTGCAGCTTAGAGGTGGAGAGAGAGAAATTATATTTGGGGCAGTCAGGAATCCTCACAGAAAATGTGACATTCAACATGAATGTTGAAGTAGGATTAGGAAATTATTGAGAGGAAAGAAGGACAAGGTCATTCCAGACAATGAGAACAGCATGAGCAAAGTCATGGAGTTAAGGTTTCATGCTTGGGAGGAAAAATAAGAAAATAAGAAATAGATTGTGGATATAGCTTTTGGCTCATAGGGAGGAAATGCAACTAGAGAAATAACTTATGCAGGATCTTTCATGTCATGTTAGAGTTTGGCATTATTCTGAACGTTGGGAATGGAAAATTCCAGAGCTCCCTTCTGTCTATCCTCATGGCAGATATCCCTAAAATGGCATGAATGGTATTCTTTCCTGCTGAGCCCAGGCCAACCCTTGGAATCTTTCTCTATGTAGGGTTCTAAAAAACCTCAACCAACTTACTGGAACTGGTACAAAGAAGAAGTATATTCACCATCTTGGTTACAGGCAAAGGAAGCAAAGATTTTTAAATAGGGAAATGACAAGTGTGTGCTGTCATTCTCTATACTGATTTGATTATTGGGAAGACCATTTGAACCGGTGCACTGGAGAATGAATTAGAGTGGGGAGAATCTTGAATCAGGAAAACCAATAGGAAACTGTTTAATAGTTCAAGTCATTGGTTCTCAACCTGATGGCCCACTAATACATTTGAGATGCTTGTTACAAATGTCAATACCTAGGTTCCACCCTTGATGAATTAATCCAGAATTTAAAACAAAACAAAAGCCAAGTGGTTCATTTGTGCCCAAGGGTTGAGATCCACTTGTCTGTAAATCTGATCATGGAAACATTTATTTATTAGACAGAAGAGGTTTTATCTCTTTTAATGTATACTTGGAGAGGCGAGTGGATGACTTTGGGAAGATGGGAAATGATTTGCTTCCATTGGGCCTTTACTCATATAGTACTACTCATAATGGCTGCTTTCTTGATTGTCATCTATATCGCTGCTGACTTATCTATAGATATTTAATCCACCATATCAATCATCTGCATATGTATTTTTAATCCCCAATTTACAGATAAGGTAACAAAGTGTCAGAGACTTTAAGTAACTTGCTTAATGTCATAAGGTAATTGATGCCAACTACAACTGCCAATACATCTACTGTAGTTTTTTAAGGGGAAAACTGATGAGAATGTGAATGTTTCTCTCTGGTTCAAAACAAGGTCATCCTTACCCATCAGGAACTGTGCCTTTCATGTTCTGATTGGCTCAAATCCTCACTGTATGCACATTGCACAATTGTCCTGCCTATGTGTGCTTTCACGCTTGTGATTTCTGTGAACAAACAGTACCAAGAACCACCACCTCCCACCCCCCACCCAAATCAGAGACATGTTGGCTCACTTTAAATATCCTTTTAAAAACATCCATACAAATTGGATTTCTTTCCCTAATTGTTATTTAGCAAGCAAATAATGCTCCATGGCTGCCTAATTATTTGGATTGTTTCAGAACTAGTAAGCAGAAAACTAGTACTAGCAATAGTATTCACAGTAAACACTAGGTTCTTACTTTGTCTGAAACTTCTCTTCTAGAGTCTCTCTATACAACCAAGGCAGCTCTCATAGCCAGCACCCGTGCTATGCATTTAATTCAACAATGTGGGTCTCATTTATAAGCCAGCAGGCTGCTTCCTGACCTGGGGGATAGACCACGAAGGTTTGGCTTTAGGAGGGGCATGCTACTGCAACCAGGTGAGCCACATGGCTTGCCTAGCAACAAAGAATGCCAAGAACAGAATGCACAAAGTGAAGAATTCCTAATTTTGAATCCAGTGCTTTCAACTACCAGATTGTATTAATTCCTAGAAATGAAACAAAGTAAGAGATGCTTTATTTACTGTATTTATTATGGTTTACTCTTTTGGCAAAATCTTATGCATTATGTTAGCTGCTTCTTTTTTACTTATCATTGGAAGGAGACCCTAGAACCTTGTCTTTCCAGTTGTTTTTTGTGGAGCCCCAGGATTTCTTAGTGGATGAGGGAAACTTCAAGTGGATGTCATGGGGAAGTGAAGGTGAAGTTGCACTCAGCTCTACAATTTCCATCCCAACTTTGATTAGAATAGTTTTGCTTTTATTAATTTTGTATTTGAAAAAATAATCTGCTACAATTGGTACAAAGAGCACTGCACTAGATATAAGAAATCTCTGGGTAAAACATTTGTATATGCCAATCAATTGGAATTCTTGTTGTTTTTAATAATTTGAAAATCCAAAATCCAATTTTGATCCTGTACATGTCTGGAAAAACTGGCATGAACATAGCTGAAAAGAGTTGTTATAAAGCCCATGAACTTGTCTCTTAGGAGATGTCTGGATCCGCCTATAGGTGCTCAGTCATGGCCAGTGGAATTAAAATGGATTTTAAAGATAAGGTCTCTGATTTTACGATCCTGGTCATTAGATTTCAAGAAAGAGCATATATTAGCAGATGGCTGTTGGAAGCGGACATGCTGAAAAGTGATAGATACCACAAGGGAAGATGTGAGTTAAGACTTAGTCACCCACTGCACTGGAGGGACTATCTCATAATGAATAGGAGTGTGGACTCTGAAGTCTGATGGATTTTGGTTCATGACCCAATTTGGACCCTTACTTGCTTTGTGATTTTGAGCCTCAGTGTTCTCTTCTGTAAAACGGGCTTAGTAGCAACCCTTACCTCATAATGTTATTGTGTGTATTAAATGAAATCATGCATGTAAGGTATGTATCAGTTTCTGGAAGACAATAAAGGCTCAGTAATAATATTCTGATTATAAAGTGACCTGAGTCATTTTTTGTTGTAGAAGCCAAAAACTGCTGAGGAAAACAGAGCATTACAACTATATATATTAGCTAACTCATAATGATAGCCCCAACTCATAAAGATATGCCAAGATATGCCTAATGAGAAGACTATGTAATGCATTTCAGAAAACTTTCCAAATAAAATCATGTTTAAAGTAACACATTTTAAGAAACAAGGCAAGATGCTCATTTTGCCACTGCTATTCAACATAGTACTGGAAGTCCTAGCCAGAGATAATAGGCATGAAAAAAAAAAATAGCACCCATATTGGAAAGGAAGAAGTACAATGATCTCTGTTCACAGATGACATAATCTTATATATAGAAAACCCTAAGGATTCCACAAAAAATCTGTTAGAGCTAATAAAGGAATTCAGAAAACCTGCAGGATTCAAGATCAACACAAAAAATCAGCTGTGTTTCTATACACTAACAATGAACACTCTTAAAAGGAAATTAAGAAAACAATCCCATTTACAATAGCATCATAAAGAATCAAATACTTAGAAATAAACATAACCAAGGAGGAGACTTGTACATTGAAAAGTACAAAACACTGATTAAAGAAATAAATAGACATTCCATGTTTATGGCTCAGAAGACTTAATATTGTTAAAATGTTTATACTGCCCAAAATGATGTATAGATTCAATAACATTCTGGTCAAAATCCCAATGGCATTTTTTACAGAAATAGAAAAAGATTCTAAAATTCACGTGAATCTCAAGGAAACCTGAATATCAAAACATTCTTGAAAAAGAAGAACAAAGCTAAAGGTTTCGTAATTCTTGATTTCAAAACATATTACAAGGCTATAGTATTCAAAACTGTGTGGTACTGGCATAAAAACAGACATTTAGACCAATGGAACAAAACAGAGCACCTAGAAATAAGCTCTTGTATGAGCAAATGATCTTTGATGAGTCAGGATCACACAATGGGGAAAGGATAGTCTCTTCAACAAATGGTGTTGGAAAACTGAATATCCATATGCAAAAGAACTAATTTGGACCTTTATCTTATGCCATATAGAAAAATCAACTCAAAATGAATCAAGGACCTAAGTATAAGATCTAAAACTATAAAGCTTTTGGAAGAAAACATAGAGGAAAGCCTTTATGATATTGGACTCAAATGATTTCTTGGATATAGCATCAAAAGCACAGACAATAAATGCAAAAATAGACAAATGGTACTACATCTTCTACATAAATTTAAAAACTTCTGCACATCAAATGAAACAGACAACAAAAAAGGCAACCAATGGAATGGAAGAAAATATTTGCAAACCACTGATAATGGAGTAATATTCAGACTATGTTAAAACTTCTACAATTCAACAATAACAAAATAACCTTATTGGAAAATGGGCAAAGGGCTTGAATGGGACATTTCTTCAAAGAAGATATGCAAGTTAACAAGCATATGAAAAGATGCTCAATATCTCTAATCATCAGGAGACTACATAATGAGATATCACCTCATATACATTAGGATGGCTACTATCATAAAAACAGAAAATAAGTGTTGATGAGGACATGGAGAAATTGGAATCTTTGTGCACTGTTGGTGAGAATGTAAAAGGGTGCAGCTGCTATGGAAAACAGTAAGTATGTTCCTCAAAAAATTAAAAATAGAACTACCATATGATTTAGCAATCCCACTTCTGGGTATATATCCAAAAGAATTGAAAGCAGGAGCTCCAAAAGATATTTGCACACCGGTGTTCACGGCAGCATTATTCACAATAGCCAAGAAATGGAAGAAGCCCATATGCTCATCAGTGAGTAAATGGATAAAGAAAATGTGGTATGTATAATACATACAATAGGATATTCTTCAGCTTTAAAAAGGACAGAAATTCTGTCACATGCTACAACATAGATGAAGCTTAAGGACATTATTCTAAATGAAATCAGCCAGTCTCAAAAAGACAAATACTGCATAATAACCACTTATATGAGCTATTTAAAGTAGTCGAATTAACTGAAAGCAGGTTGGTGGTTGCCAGGGGTTAGGGTAGGGGGAAATGGGGAATTGTTCAATGGGTATAGAGTTTCAGTTTTACAGGATAAAAAAGTTCTAGAGATCGGTTTTACAACAATGTGAATATAATTGACACTATTGAACTGTATACTTAAAAATGCGAAGGTGGTAATTTTTACGTGCTTTTTACTACATTAATATTTAAAAAAATTTTTTAAAATACAGAAAATCTTAAAGTATTAGCTTCAGTTATCTGGAAAATTGACACAAGGAGCACATTGTTATGGCAGGGACCATGGTTTGCTACACAGTTCCTTTTATTTGTAAAACTCCAAATTATTCCAAATTGGATGACTAAACTATAGCTAATCTATATATTTTAAAGGAAACTATTTATGGATAGTATGGGAGAGAATATTATAATTTTATTAATAAATACTTGAGTCCCTACCATGAGCAAAGAGCTATTAAATTGCTTGCTCAATACCAAGGATATAACTGGCTTTTCTCTCCCTTGAATTGAATTTTCAGCCTCAGAGAGATCAGAAGCTTCCCTCCTTCCACCCCCCACCCTCATTCAGAACTGGCCACTGTGGATTTTCCGAGGCATTTATAGCCTTCTCTAAATTGTATTTTGTCATGTGTACTCTACCCGTATGTCACCTGATAGGAAACATCAGCTGAAATCAGTGATGAAACTGCCTACTTCCAAAGAGTTAAGGATAACTCCTTCACTCCTCTTGCTTGTTCCTTGACTGGATCTGATCATTCACATGTCCCCTGATGCAGTCAGGCTCTACTTGAATCTGGCAGAGCAGCTCCTTCACAGGACTGTGGACTTTCCCAGAGCTTTCCTGATGACCTGCTGTAGCAGAATCCCCTGGGACGCTGGAGAAACATATGGCTCCCTTGGCCTTAACCGCAGGCTGCTGGAATCCCAATCTTTAGTGCCAGTGAAGTGAACTCTAAACAAGTGCCCCAGGGGATTCTGAACTGCTTCCACACTTGGAAACCACCACTTTAGAAGCAGCTTGGCAAACCTTGATGCAGGTTCTTGGGGGAACCAAAGACAGGGAAGGGGAATCTGTAGCCTATGGTGACTTTGGCCTTGTGCCCAGATCCCTTTCTTCCTAGACTTGTGTCCTTTGTTGGTGGAAGAGCATCTGCCTGGGTTCTTTCTTGTCAGAGCTGGAGTGGCACCAGTCATGGTCCCACAGTGGAGAGTAACATGCTTTTAGCTATTCTGTCCTTGAGGAAAAAGGTAAAAGAAGAAAGGAGGGATCCCTGAATGCTAATTAAGTGACTTTTGTGTATAAGAGATGAACATGCATGTCTCTTTAAATTAAAAGCCCTATTCAAACATATACTCACATATCTTTGGAGAGATACAGAATGTGTACTTCTTGTACCAGGCTGAAAAACTGGCTCCGTTATCACAGTGGTCTCAGGGAGTTTCAAGAAACAAAAGAGCTCTCATTGTGATTGCAATGTCAAAGTGTTATGGCCATCAACCCAGTTGTGCCTAAATACATTTTAAGAGGATTCATTATAAGTAAAAATAAACTGTGTTTTCTGTAATATTTCAGCTTGCACAAGGAATGTGACAAAGAGAAGGACATTGTAAATATTTTTGGCCTTATTTGGTCTTGGTATTTCTCTATGTCAGACTGAAAATCCTGACAAGCAGACAGAGCAGTGTTATATTTAACAAACACCTTCATGAAACCCATGGAGAGAAAGAGGGAGGGAGAAAAGCAGTAAGCGAGAGAGCTAGACAGCTCGGTTTAATCATTTATTTCCGATTAAATCATTCCCAACCAAAATTGTATGTACGGATCTTGGGACATAAATACATATACTTAAAAGGCATTCTTTAAAAATAATGCTACACCTGACTGCACCCCAGTGGCCTTACAGGTGCTTGTTTTCACCACAGCAACCACTGGGTAGAGGAAAAGAATCAGAATGGTCCAGGGCAAATCAATCATCTTTATGTTAAAAACAACTTAAAGCTGCCTGGGGATTACATATCCAGGCTTCAAAAGTATTACCAGAGTTATGAATGTGAGAATGGTGCCTGACACATTCTCCCATTTTAAATATTAGAAAACAGAGATACGAAAAGGTTACTTGCCCAAGTCACTCAGTTTTTAAGTGAAAGAGCTGGGGGTTTGAACCCATGTGTTTTGAATCCATGTTCCTCAACATCACACCACCTTTAACTTATTACATAAAAGAATGTTATGTGAACTGAAAAATTCTTAACTTCTGTTCTCTGATAAGCATTCCTGGCTTATTTATTAGTAAATTACAGCAAAGGAGTGGTTGAGAAAGCTGGGACCCTTCAGATGCTATAATTTAAATCTTATTTCTGTCTCCTACACAAGGCACTGTGTCAGTTGACAGCTTTTGAGGGATGGAATTTTGGTTTCTTTGTGCCACCACCTGCCACCAATGGTGGCAATCAACATCAATAATTATTTGTGAGTCTCCTGGAATTCTGCTTTGCTCTATCTCACAATATTCTCATTAGAGCTTCCTCCTGGTGTGGAGGTTCATCGCATGGCCCCTTGGACAGGGCCCCTGAGCCTCCCTCCCTACTAGTATGTAATGTCTGTCATCTTTTTCTTTCATAATTAATTGCAATTTGCACAGCTGCATATGAGGTGAGTGGCTGGAGGAAGAAATGCAGCTTCCGGCTCTCTTGCTTACCTACCCAGCTCAAGCCTTGGTTGAGGATTTTCTCTGCTTGAATCCCAGGCTGCTCATTTCTTATGCAGTAGATAGCATTCCTTTTCCCTGCTATCTTCTTTATGTTACATTCCCCCCCTTCTACACTGGCATACTATGTTGTTCCTTAACATAAATAAATTACTCTTCAGATTCTTTTCCCTGATGTTCTTAAGGCTTCCCGTCACATTGTATTGCCACATCATTTAAAAATGTTGCAGTAGCTGGTGAACAATAGTTAATGACTAAAAGAGCAGACTGTTGAGAGCTATACTCTGGAATACTCAATAATCACGTCTACTCTGATAGTTTCTTTTCCTGTTCCAAAGCTGAGCTTGGTTGTATTCAGTTCTGATCATTAGGTTCATGTTAACAACTGTTGCTCAATTCACTGTTTTTCAAAATAATTATTAATACAACTCTGGGAGTGACAACTCCTTCTGTAAAAGGATGCTACTGCCCGAATGATGGGGTGTGCTATGTACAATTATGGCTTCCAAAAGGTATTAACTGACATAAAAAAAGCAACCAAGTCAAAGACTAATGCATAGGAGAAATCTCAAAAGCACTGAGAACACAACACGAGAACTTTTTGCATCGTGACATTGTAAACACAATAATAAGTGACTTGGAATCACGGTTGATTAAACTGATGTTAGAAGCCCTCAGTACTATTATACCACGCTTCATCTCCTGAGCACCCTGTGCTTTGTTGTCAGCCAACAAACTATAATTTCATGACTGACTGGCCTAATACAGTCTTAGGTTCCAGATTCTGTGCACAACCTCACCAGACCACAGAAGTTAAAGGAAAAGCAAATAAATAAATAAATAAAACAGTAGGCAGAGGTCAAAAGACAATGCTCAACACCAGCCTGAAATAAGGCAAGTCTCTCACAGGAATACATTCGGGATTTTACTATCATTTAACTGAAGGACTATTTTGATTACCTGCTGATTCAACATTAACTAGACATTTATTAGAACACCTGCTTTGTGCCAGGCACAGTGGTAGGCCTGGAGGCTATAGTGGGAAAAATAAAACAGGTACTAATGAGTAGTTGGAATTTCTTAATGGAAAACAAGATCATTCTCCATTGCAACCACTCTATAGCTAGTGGAGGCTTTGAAGAGACTCTTAGAGAGGTTTCAGTTCAGATCTTTCCTGGGGCTCACTTTGGTACCGTCTTCAAGATTTCTCTTGGAAAGGGGCATTAACTCCTTATCCTATCTTAGATGCAATCATATTGAGTTTTTGCCCTTACCATATTCATCAGTTTACATTTCTGAATATACTCATAAAAGGTCTCCTGGTCAGGTCTTATCTCCACTCACTAAAGATTCTCTTAACATCCAGAAATCTATCTCCAGACACCCTTTTATGTGCTCTTTCTAGAATGACAATATAAATGAGTTGGTACAAGAAATGTGAAAAAGAGAGATTGGAAATCTATTGAAATTTGCTAGTCATTAGTGCAGAAGGCTTTATTCACTTCCACATATTTTCTGCATTTAGGATCACCTGAACTTTATCACTTTTGCTGGTAGCAGAACAATTAAGCTGAATAGGACACTTAATTCTAAGAAAGTTCTAAAGAAATCTTTAAAATTTTTAAGACTATCCCTCTCACTATCCTTTAGGCTGAAAGTCTGTCCAAATGTCTTTTGGCACTTATGTGGAATATGATGAATTCCTTTCGCTGGATGTATCTCAGGATAGCATTAATTTGGTGTGATCGGGAGGTGAATTTCTTTAGGATCTTTTTCACTGTTCATGTGCTGTTTTGCAGTTCCTTTGGAGTAGTGGGGGCTTAAGGGGGCTTAGCTTTCATAAACTTTTGGTCTTGAGAATATATACCTGAGATGGGGTCGGTTTGGGAGCCTCCAATGCCTGTCAATTTGGGAACTCCAGAGTAGGATTTTATAAAAATAATCATCCATTCATAACTGTATTGAGTTACAAGGGAGGGCAAGAGAGTCATCCCAGGTCATAGTCATACAATGTAAATTTAGACCAAGGGATGAAACGTGTTGGAGAACACCCTGCAATAATCATTATTGGGTATCTGTGAATTTAACACACTTTTCAGAATGGGACAAGTTGCTTGCCACGGTAGGAAAAGCTGTGCCAAATGTTTGAGGAGAAATGTGGAGAGGAATAACATTAGCTTCAGATACCAAATTGCAAGTTAAACTTCCTGAGGATTTCCCGAACCCTGTTCAAATAAATTAAAATTTTGTTTACCAAAATGACTCCGATATGCAAATACAGAACACAGTGTTATATAGGTGCTAGGGACTGAAATTTTTTACAATCATATAATTTATTGTAATACTTAATATTATGATAAGACCGTTAATTTATCATATTTTCCCTGTAGTGTTTACTCACATGGACGGGGATAGATCCAGATTTCATGAAGTCTGAAGGTTACCTAATTTTGGAGGCTATTCTTAATAAAAAGAATGCACACTTTTGAATATCAACACTGGTCCCTTACAAAGGACCCATGCAGATGAAGAGCCCTGAAAGCTGAGTTTCATTGATTCCGGGTGAAACTACCTCTGGATGTGGAGCTGTGTTATGGGAATACCGCATCACAGTCAGGACCCAGCTCTGCTGCCGCCTCAGTAGGAGGCAAAGGTGGAAACGTGGAAACTATGGTTATAAGGTTCATACTTTACTGACCATCATTGAAGCTGCTTGTTGGGTCCCTTAGGAAGGGATCTCTCAATGAAACAAACATTAGAGCTTCTTATTTTTTTTTGAGACAGTGTCTAACTCTGTCACCCAGGCTGGAGTGCAGTGGCACCATCTTGGCTCACTACAACCTCTGCTTCCTGGATTCAGGTGATTCTCCTACCTCAGCCTTCTAAGTAGCTAGGATTACAAGGCATGTGCTACCATACCGAGCTAATTTTTGTATTTTTAGTAGAGACAGGGTTTTGCCATATTGGCCAGGCTGATCTTGAACTGCTGACCTCAAGTGATCCACCCTTATGACCAGCAGACCCTGATCTAAGAAGCTAGATGATTCCTCATGAGGTCACTTATAAACCTTATTGCTGATGTATTTCAGTTTATTTATTGGACTATCTTAGATTTTAAACACCCCACCCAATGCCACCATCTATGTAGCAACTAGAGCAGGACTCACAAATAAAATAACCTTCAAGGCCAAACAGCTTCCAATAGCCAGATTTGTCAAGATTAACTTAAGGTTTTAAAATTAGGCAATGCTTGTAGACACAAACCACTGTGGGCACCATAAAATATCACCTTATTTCAAAAGACTGAGAAAACTGAAAATGACCTGAAAAATTCCTATTGAGTGATCTATTTAATCACTCAGGTGGGGTATGGTGTATCTGGTGCATGTTCAACCTCAGGTGCAGGTGCATGTGCATGCAAATATACACGCGCCACGCTTTTAACCATGCATCTCTCTTTGAAAAGATCATTCCTTCTTTCTTATCTATATGTGAACAAATTGTCAAAACAACCTCAAATGCTAGATGATATAATCCCCAAATGCTAGTAATATAAAAATGACTGTAATAATACAAGTGATATCATTGCTATACATAGCACCACACTTTTACTGTTTCTCAAATCTACAACTATCCTATTTTCTAGTGTTTGTTTATTTCTTTATTCACTGAAATGACTGATATGGGCAGTTTAGACACCCAGAGGAGGAGATAATGGTTTTGATTGTGCTAGATGGTTTGACTCTGCTGAGTGTATCCTATAGACTTAATACCAACAGAGGTCATGGATATTTTTTTCCCACTTCTTTTCCTCTTTATTGTTAAGGAGACTAATTGTGTGTGAGTGTATGACAGGAAATGTTTTGATTTTTTTGTAGTGGCAAGAACAGGAGGGCATTCTTTTAAACATCTTTTCATTTTCTAGGCAAAGCGTGGGAATGGAGGATGAGAGATAGTCAATTTTCAGAATAAGATGTTCTACCAAGATGTAAAGAGGGGAAAAAAAGTAACTTTCAACAGCTAGGCAAGAACTGCCACAAGCAGTAGTCGAAAAAATCAACGGCATGGTTTCCTAATGTGGTCTTGGATTCAGCAAGAAAATACTACAGAGAGAAAACTGCAGGAGTCCCTATTTTGTCCCCTCAAAATGAATTAAATGGTCTAGTGGAAGCTGAAGGACTCTGAAGATGGTGAGTCTACCACTGATTCTTCAGATGGTGTCAAAGATGATTCCTGGTTAGGTATAAAAAGCAGCACTTTTAGTCTGCTATTCATACATTAAAAATGACAGAGAATATACACCTAGAATATTTACCTAGTACTGCTGCCTTGGAAACATGGTTCTAGGTCTCAGGAGTTTCCCAACAAGGAGTCTTTGTGCTCTTGAGACCTCAACAATGTACTGAGCTGACTACCTCAGCAATATTCTATCTAAACTAACACCCAGGTATAGTGATCAATGGTCTAACCAGCTTGCAAGTTATGGCTGAAATAGTGGTTTACCTATCAAATCCATGTAACTCCCAGAATAATTATGATTCTATCTTTTGGGCTGGCAATTATTTAAATAAAATATTATTTACAAAGGAAACAGCAGGGAGAAGAATCATGTAAATTAGATTCATTAAGTGGACAGATTCACTTACAGTTCATTTTGGAATAATTTATGCCAGTTTTCTCTGATGTCATCTGTTGTTCAGGTTAACAATTAGCTCATTATTAACTGACAAAGGTTACTTTGTGTATTGGCAGAGGAAGGCATATTATTTGGGAAAGCTTCTATGACTACCGAGCTTTCATATGGGTGCAAGAGTTTATTTGCAAAAATCCAGCTCTTATTTTCTCAAACAATTCAATATCCTGATGCATATATCTCTGTATTCTCAGGAGGCTTTGCAGAGGAATATATTTCTCTTTGCTAGTGTATAAGCAGTCAAGACTAAAAGAGAATAGGGCAAAATATTCATTCCAACTCTGTATTACTCTCTGCTTTGAACTAAAGATAATATTTTCTAATATATTAAGAGACACCTCTTTTACAGGCCAAGTTACAGATCTCTTAAAAAATCCAATATGATGATGCCCATTTACAAAATTTTATGATGAGAAAATTAACTTTAAAACTCTTTTACAACTCTACCAAATGTAAGAAATATATGTCCCTAAGAAGGTAAGGCATTAGTCCATTTGGACCTTTTGAAATTCTTTGCTGTTGCTTGCAGTCTTTTATCTGTCTCAGCTGTGTGTAGTTTAGTGACTCTGACCTTGAGGAGGTAACAGAAATGGTGCCTACCATTAATGTGGTTTTTCTTTTAAAAAACAAAATGTTTCCTGGCATGTAATTGTTTTTTTCAAAAAAGACTTGACCCTGTGCAGTATTTTACACTTACATCATTTCCCCATTTATAATTCTTTCTTGTTTTGGTGTGTTGGAGGGAAAAAAAGTGTTATGTAGTTCTTTAAAAACTTTCAACCAAATAATAATAAACAATCGTAAGATTCTGAAGTATTTATCATGAATGTAAACTCTGAGAGCAGTAAAACTGGTAAAAGATGATTTCCATAATAACTGGATGAGGGAGGACCCAGGAAAAATCTTGAGCTTTTTGCTTGCATAACAGAATGAAGGAAATGCTGAACATGGATTAGGTTTGGAAGATAACTCCTGAGTTTGGTTTTGGATATAATGACTGTGTCTTTGAGTCATACAAGAGGAAATATCAAATAAGTTCCATCTATATGACTGAAGTATAAATTTGAGTATAAATTCGTTTTTGTTTCCATGTTATTGTAATCCAAGTATACAGATGGAATCACCTAGAAATAGAAGACAAAGAAAAGAAGGGGGCCTTGGATAGAACCTTTATTAATTCCAGCATTGAATGGAAAAGAAAGATGAACCTGAAAATGGCCAGAAAAGTAGGGGGAAATTCAGAGTATTGAGTTAGGGGAGATAAGGGGAAGAGTATTACAAGGAGGAAGCAATCAACAGTATCATATATGTTGCTCAAAAGACACATCAGAGGAGAACTGAAAAATATCCATCTGGTTTAGCAATATGGTGGTCATTGCTGACCTAACAAGCTGCTTTAGTAAAGTTGTTGAGATGGAAACCAGATAAGTGGGTTGAGGAATGAGTAGAAGGAGAGCAAATGGGCTGGGCGCAGTTGAGGATAAAAATGATGAGAGAGGTAAAGCAGGATAGTTGGGTAGTATGGGTCTATCTGAAGTTGTTGATCAATAATAGATAAGGGAACCAGTCTCTGCAGGTGTGTAAATCTCTCCAACAGGGCTCATCTATGCAGATATAGTGTGCCCAAAAGCAACATGTTGCCTTCATCTCTGGTTAGGGTTTTTCCAGATGGGTATAACAAAAAGATGATGGAATCCAGACTGTTTGCAAGGGTGATATGGAAATAGTGGAGAATGGATTCCAATCTGAACAAGTAGGAAGGTGGAGAAAGGACAGACATTAGTGAACTGGAGTCCCTATCAGGTCAAAGAAGGATCTCATTTATTCATATGCCACCCTAATACAGCTTGTCTATAGAAGGAGGAAAATAAATGTCCTCTTTAAAGCTACTGAATGCAAAGATTTTTTTTTTAATTAAGCTAAAGGGAAAAGAGACCTAGGTCCAGTTTTAACAATTCCCTCTTCCCTAGACTTCGTAGGAGGGCCCAAGCACAGACAAACCCAGCCTTATATATATATTCTTACCTGAATATAGATTTCTCCCAATATGCCAGTTGAAACTCTCTCAGCATAAAAAACCTATGGAAAAAATACTTTTGCCTTTTCACTTGGCTAAAAGAAGATTATTCTATAAAAAGAACTGTAGTCCAGATGATTAAACAATGGAGGGAGAGGATGAAAACCAAAACTTTACTCAAATGGAAACCTCCTTAAATTTTCCCATTATTCTTAATGAAATAAAGGCTGAGCTAACTGCTAGAGAAAACTGATTCTTGATGTTGCAGAAAATAAGCTTAAAAATAATCATTCTAAAGTCTTGTTTCTTTTTCTGTAGTATGCGTATTTTCTGTTCTATTTTAATATTATTTTTATGAAACCTTTGGTTAGGCTGGGTGCAGTGGCTCATGCCTGTAATCCCAGCACTTTGGGAGGCTGAGTCGGGGGGGATCACTTGAGGTCAGGAGTTCGAGACCAGCTTGGCCAACATGGTGAAACCCCATCTCTACTCAAAATACAAAAAATTAGCTAGCTGGGCGTGGTGGTGGGCACCTGTAATCCCAGCTACTCGGGAGGGTGAGGCACAAAAATCATTTGAACCTGGGAGGCGGAGGTTGCCGTGAGCCGAGATAGTGCCATTGCACTCCAGCCTGGGCAACAAGAGTGAAACTCCGTCTCAAAAAAACAAAAACCAAAAGTTTGGTTAAAATGAAAAGGGAAAGAAATAAAATACTAACTATATAGAAAATGAGAGAAGAAATAGTAAGAACTTTGTATTCAAACTCTACAAAATTTTTCAGATGACTCTTGTCAATTTTATCAAATAATAAATATGCTCAAGAACAAGTCTAACTTTTCTCTATTTTTCAGACAGAAAAAGAGAAGCAGATGAAAGGAAATAGAATTTTCTATTTTCTCCTCACCATGTAAGCCTCAAATAAAAAGCATCTAACAATTCAACGATCTTAACTTGGACCTGGTAGGAGACATACACTGAAGCAGTGGCTACAACTCCAAAATATACCAATCTGTGAGGCTACGAGATGACAGGTCAAATTTTTCTCAGAAGAAACATCCTAGCTATATTTCATCATTGAATGTAGCCATGTATTGGCCCAGTAATCGTCACAAGCATCACAACCAATTACTTAGGGCTTTAATAAAGAAGGGACCTTATGTAGAGTTTAATCAGATGGCAGTTGTGGGAAAGAAGCAGAAATAGTTTTGTTTGTTTGCATTAACAAATGGATGATGAGAAAGATAAAAGGGGAAATCAAGAAGATAACCCAAAGGAAACAGATAAATGGAGGAATAAAAATGAAATTCTATCTTCCCCCAAACAGAATCTGGCATAAGAAAATGCAGGCATTTTTGGCTAAACCAGAAATTAGATGGGAACTACATCTCTTTAAGGTCCAGAGTTATAAAGCACAGGGTAAGGAAAGGGCACCCGGATAGGGGAATCCTGTGCCCTGGGTTTTAGTCCTAGCTTTGCTGATCCTCAGTTTCCTTACCTGTAAGGAGAGAGAAATGCTTCTTGCCCTTTGCTATAACAAAAAGACCACCAATATTGTCCCCTGCCCCCACTCATCCACAGTTGTTCTGATAGACTTGGGACAGCTATATTTTCAACCCTCTCTTCCAAATACTTGAGATGTATTTTATAGATCTGTGAGTGAGCAGCTATTTCTAATTCTGTTTTGAAAGGATTGTTCCAAAACCAAGATGATACGGGGGATGCCATTAGAAAAATATATTTGTAAGGTGACAATCAATTTAAATTATCTCATAAAAAGATGAGTTCTGGCATATCATAAGTGAGGTAAGATTGCTTCCTTGTTTCTATCAGAAATAGGGTAAAACCAGCTCAGTCGAAAGCTGGATAAGAAGTTAAGCAGTAATTTTTTTTTTTTTTTTTAGAGGGAATCTTACTCTGTCGCCAGGCTGGAGTGCAGTGGTACGATCTCCGCTCACTGCAACCTCCACCTCCCAGGTTCAAGCTGTTCTCCTGCTTCAGCCTCCTGAGTAGCTGGGACTACAGGTCCAGCTAATTTTTGTATTTTTAGTAGAGACAGGGTTTCACCATGTTGCCAGGATGGTCTTGATCTCGACCTTGTGATCCACCCGCCTTGGCCTCCCAAAGTGCTGGGATTACAGGCGTGAGCCACTGCGCCCGGCCCGAAGTTAAGCAGCTATTGATGGCAGTCTGTTGGACTTTATTCCATTTATTTCTTTCATTTTCATGTAAGCTTTCTGTGATTGAATCACAGGAAGTTAATATGCCAATTATTTACTTCCTGGGAGTCTAAGAAAGCACCTTTATTTACTATATGCCATCAAACAGAGCTATTACATTATGTTGAATTTGTAAGGATAAAAACCATGACAAGTGCACCATATTTCTAGAAAATAGGTTCCAAGTGTAAAACAGAGGGCTAGGCATCTCTTTTTTTCATATAAAACCATGAGTGAATGTATACTCCTTTTTTAAGAAAGTATCTTTTGTTTGGCCAATAAAAAGCCAAATTCTTACAGAATACTTTGTTATAAGCACTTCCATTGTGCAATATAGTTTTGGTTGGAAAAGCTAAAAAATGAACTCTACTTCCCAAGCCTATTAAAAAACATGGAGAATACCATATGAGAATCATGGGTTGTCAAGGTCTTAGGAGTTCATGAAATTGTGTCTAGAACGCTTTGGGTACGGGGGAGTTGCTGTTGTGGTTAAAAAACAAGGAGGGGCATTTCCTTCACTTTACAAATGAAACTGGAGCTTAGAGAGACTGGTTCAAGCTCATGCAGCCTGCAAAGCCTGGGCTCAAAATCAGAACTTCTGACTCCTAATCTTGCTGCTTTGTGACTGCTGGGGTTCAACTGCATGTTGAGATTCCCAAGAATCCCCTGATCTTGGGGCAGGAGGAAGCCAGCTGCCCCTGGTCTCTGCTGACTACAGCCATGGGGACCTATTCGTTCCTCAGTCTCCAACTCTCTGCCCCCAGCTACTGGCAGACGGGAGTAACACGCATGTAGCAGTCCCATCTTTGCCTGTTTATTCTTTGTGAGGGACACTTAGCATTTTCAGTCCATCACTGAGCTGGAACAAAGTAATTTTGCCTGAAGAGCCTGTAGCTGGGCTTAAAGGTGCTTACCTGAAAGGAGAGGGATGGTGATAATCTTTTTGCTCCTAAAGAGGTGGGTCCTGCCAGGTCAGCCCTGGAAGCTCTTTTCTTTGGACAGAACCAGGACTAGCCTCATCCCACAGAACTAGGGAAAAGCTTCAGCATGTGGTTGTAAAGGAGGGTGGGGCCCATCAACTCACATCCTTTAATAATAATAACAAGAGCAGCCCTTTATCAAGGACCTAATTTTTCTAGGCCCTATGCTATGTATGGTAAGTATAATAGTGTGAATCTCACAAACATCCTGCAAGATAGGTATTATCATTGTCACTGTCCCCATTTTACAGATTATGAAATCAAGGTTCAGAGAGTTCAAGTAATTTTCCCAGTGTCACACAGCTAGTAGGTGACAAAGATCTGAACCTAGCTATTTGACTCATGCTCTGTGCTGTTCCAGGCGATTGAGTCTGAACTTGATTGGTAGGATGTGGTATATCAATGTTGTATTCATAACATCAGTTAACCTGGCGGTTAACTTAAGTGAAGTCTACAGATAGAAGACAAGTTGATGAGACTGAATTAGCACAAAATACTAAAATAAGTATTCTGCCTATTTTTGAGTAGGATATTAATTGTAGAGCATCCCCCTATGAGAGAGCCACTCAGAGAAAAACAAGTTCACTCAGAGGTTTAGAGAACTCCATCCGCGAGGCAAGGCTGGGCAAGTGGCTTGTTTACCTCGAAGAACTGGCTCAGTAGGTAAATGGAGCAGGTTCATATAAATAGGATTCTACCTGGAGACAGGGAACCAACCACACATATTGTCTCCCCACAAGAGTAGTCTTTCTGCCTTCCTTGTTTCTTTGACTGGCATAAGCAGACTTCTAGTCATGAGGGCTGGAACCCCACAGTCACCTGGGGCTCCTACTTCCTCACAACTGGCACCTGCCTGGCCCTTTCTCTCTGCAGTCCTGGTACCCCCAATAATGCGGCATCAGATTCTATGGATTTGAGGCCAGAGTTTTCTGGCATCTATACTTTTCCTTTCTATTCCCATTGCAACTACCATAATTGAGGCCCCCGTGACTTCTCCCTAATCACTGCTGTTAGCTCTTTCTAAAACAAGACTATGTCACTCTTATGTCTACAAATCATCTGATTCCTCATTATTTACTGAGTCAAATCCAGACACCTTCACCTGATACTCAAAATCTTTTCAGATTTCCGTGAACACATCTTGTTAGTCTCTCCTCCCTGGCCAACCTTATATGTGCCGAGCTGCAATCCTCACTTAACCCCAAGCACACACAATAATTTTCCACATTTGCACCTTTACTTGTGACCTTTGCTTTGTCTGGAAAAAGAAAACACGTCTGTTGTGTTTGTTTGGTATTTTCTAGTGTTCAAAGTGGTTTCATTCACCTTTTTCCATTTGAAATTTACAGTTACTTTGTGGGGCAAATATGATTATACTCATCTTACAGATTAGAAAATAGTGGCTCAGGGCAGGCCTGGAACTAGAGTTCCATAGCTGAGGGGCTGAGGGATGACTAGCAGCCAGATCTTCAAACTCATTGCTCTGTCCACAGCTCCGTGTTGCTTCTCTCTCCCCGTAATCTGGCCTTTACTCCAGCTCCCTCCAGTTGCTATTAGTCAAATTCCATCTTTTTCTCAAAGTTCAGCTCGAATCTACCAACAACTGTTAACTTTTCCAAAATAAACCCAGAATTGAGGGCTCTCTCTCCTTTGTGTTCTCACAGCTCCCTGCTCAACTTGCTGGGTACTTAAAGCAATTAGGGGAAAGGCCTGAGGGTTCCTACACAAGAATTTTATACCAGCAATGATCAAGGTTTTAAAACCTTTTTGATTATGATCCCATTAAGGCATACATGTTATATCACAACCCAGGGTACATGCACACACCCCTGAAACAAGTTTTATGAAACAAAATTTACTTCTAATTTCTCAATGCACTGTGATATTTTCTCTAGTCTACTATTTATTAAGAAGTGCTGGTTAGGAACCCACTAAATTGCTTGTGAGAACCACTAATGAGTTATGATCAGCAGTTTGAAAAACCCTGATTTAAATATTATTATGTCCCTTCTAAATGGCCTAGACAACATTTTCAAAGGTTTGCAAAAGACTGAGCTAGCAAGGAAGATAGGTACGTTCATCAGGGATTTAATCTGTAGTTCCCAACAGGAACACAAACAGTTCTTACAAAGGCTAGGCCGAGAAGGAAGGGTCTCAGCTGGAGAGCATCAACTTCTGTTTGTTGGAAGGTCAAGGAGAGGGATTCTTGGTGAATAGTTGATGGTGGGGGGGAGTACCCATTCCACAGTGGGATATCTTCCAAAGAGTGGGATTTGTAGAAGCCAAAGATTGAGGTGGGGAAGATTTCTCAATAAGGCATATCTCTGGACTGAGAAGAGACTTATGTACTCATCATAAACTTGAATATAGCAGGAAATCAGCTAGAATTTAAAAATAATAAAAATGTAATAAAATTCTTTGTTTATATCTGCAAAATGAGTCTGAAGGCCTTCAGGTCTATAAAGCTGTCACTGAATTTAGTATCATTTTAACTTTATGAAGCACTTGATGTTTGCAAAGTGCCTGTACAATTACCAATTACCATAATGTTCATCTTCTGAATATTTCAGATCAGAGAAGGCCTGAGGACTTTAGACTAAGAAAAGGGGGAAAAAAAGGAAAAAAAGTTGGCCAATCCAGTTAAATACCAGGCTTCTGAGCTTGTACTGCTAGAGTTGTTTACCATGTGGGGCACCTGCCTGGGGTACTCTGGGGACTTCTCTTCCTTCAGCACCCAGAGCCTGCAGTGCACACAGTCAGCCTTGGTCAGCCACCCCTCATGACTGACACCCACTCGCTGCTCTTGGGCATTCCAGGCATAATTCTGTGTCTACATGAACCAGTAGAAGGAACGGCAAAGGGCTTGGCACCTGTAACCCAAGGGCTAGTCCATAGCGAGGGATGTGGGAAGAAGTGTTTGCAGTTGCTGGGAAGGGGCAGTGAGGAAATAAAGCTGCTACAGTCTTTCCTGTTTGAGGTATTAAACACATGTTAAAGGATTAAGGAAAGATTTGCTTAGCAGCCTGCATGAGCTAGAAATCACTTCTGGCCATGTTTATAGGCGACAGGTCAGTGAAACCTAATACACTGGTAGATTTCAAGGAATTCCAAGGAAATGGCTTCAAGGGATGTCAAAGGCAATGGTTTCAGGATGTGTCTGTTTCCTTTGGAAAAAGGTTAGCTCTCTGATGCTTCTTCCCCTACATTTAAAAGGCCACTGAAATACTAGAAGACAAGCTTAGAGACTGATCTGGCTTTTTAGCTAAAAAACATTCTAGTAGACTCTGGCCCTAACAATTACACCACTGGATAATTTTCAGTAGTGGAAATTTAAGAATCAATATCTTAATGAAATGATACTTTTCTATATTAACTCATTTATATTGGGAACACACATTGAATGCTCTAAAATAGTTTTCAAAGTAGAATGAAACAATTTGTCTACATTTTTATCCACACAGAAAACTGGTGGGTATTTTGCAGGGCAGCTGTCCTGGATCATGGATTATTTTCAATTTATTCTTCTCCCTGTTAGATCAGCTTCCATACAGCCACCAGTTCTCTGCATTATAACAAACAGGACTCTGTGGCTCTGTGCTTAAAGTGCTGCATTGGTTTCCTGCTGTCAATAAATAAAATCCATTTTCTTAACCGGGACACATGCGGTCCCTACACAATCTGTGCACATGATAATTCCCTGGTTTCACTTCCCACTAGTTGCCCTGAACTTTTCACCATTTTCTGAACACTCTGCACCCTGTTCAGGCCTGAGCTGTTTCCTTGCCACAAAGTCCTTCACACTCTCAACCCTGCTCCTTACAGATTCCTACTCTTTTATCACCGACTTCCAAAGTCACTTCAGTGTGGCTTCCTGGCTTCTCCAAAGCTGTTTAGTTGGCTATACCCCTCTCTGGCTTCCATGGCACTTGCTGTGGTCTGAATGTTTGTGTCTCTCCAAATTCACACGTTGAAGCCTGACTCCCAAGGTGATCACATTAAGAGGTGGAGCTTTTGGGAGGTGATTAGGTAATGCGAGTTCTGCCCTCATGAATGGGATTAGTGCCCTTATCAAAGAGGCCTAAGAGAGCTTGTTTACTTTCTTCCACCACATGAGGATAGAGCAAGAAAGTGAATTCTGTGATCAGGAAACGGGTCCTCACCAGACATGGACATTGCTGGGATCTTCATCCTGGACTTCCCAGCTTCCAGAACTGTGATAAATAAAATTCTATTGTTTAGAAGCTACTAGTCTAATGTATTTTGTTATAGCAGCCTGAACAAACTAAAAAAACACTTTTTTGCTCAGGACTTTGTGATAGCTCTCAGCATTGGTGGCTGGTGCCACCAATCTACCTCATTAGGATGCTGGCATCTTAAGGGCAATCACCATTTCTTTCTTTATCTCTGTGGCTTAGGAGAAGGCAGAAGACTTTTTTCCCCTTAGGGAAGAAGAATTAAAATTCAATTTAGTTAAAATAATTGAATAAAATATAATAGAATAATTATTTTTCTGGGGGAAGAAATATGAAAACCAAACCCAAGCCTCACAGCAATAAGATCTGTGACAGAAAGGAAACTTTAAAGGCTACTTTAGCCTGTACCACATCACTCTACCTTTAGCCATCCAAGTAACCAAAAAAGTATAAAATATTAACAAGAGAGAATTCTGATTACACTAGGCACTGGGAATAAGGGTTTCACGCTTGACTTCAAAGGCTTATTCATTGTCCCTCCAGACCACCTGTTTTCTCTCTCCTGTAATTCTGTACTTTTCAGGTGGGTTATTCAGGCTCTCTCGCATCTATTCATGCCACACTCATCACAGGACCTTCCCCATGTTACTCCCTATTCTTGGAAAGCTCTTCCTCCCTTCTCATTATTTAATTTCATGTTACGAAATCGCTGTTCCTCCATGGACACTTTCTCACATGACTGGAAGAATAGCATTTATTTCTTCAACAGGCTTTTCCTCTATTAACCACCAGCATAATAATCTCTTTGCCTGCTCTTTCTCATGAGTTGGTTTGACATACATTGAGAATCATCACCATCTACCTTGTGAAGTGAACCTTAATTAGGGAAGAGACATGTCTGCCCAACACTCTGTGTGATGTCTATCATAGCTTCACATGCAGACAAATGCTGGATAACTGCAGTCTGCGAGCTAGACCCAGGACTGTGTCTCACTGGCAGGTGGTAATATGTGAAGCTGGCAGCCATGGCCCATGCTGATAATGTGTCTCTGGTAGCTCATGAGCTTGTTGGCAGCCTGCAAATATCTTGGCTCCTACAATTGAAAAGGAGTGACCAAGTAATGATTAAAGAACATTTAAACATTATACTCTTTTTTCATGGGAAACAAATATTAAAACTAAATTCAATACTGGCAGCATTAAGGTAATACATATGTTTTTGTAAGTCCTATCATCTTTTCTTTCTCTTTCTCTTTTTTTCCTAATAAAATGATTCAGTACTGACCTAGAAATCTTCAGTATAACATCACACTGCTAATAACAAAACACCATGGCTTCACCTGAAAGGTGCAATTGAAAGATTTCCTTTATCACAGTAAGGTACAAGAGTAATAATTATCATCAAAGGCTTGTATTGCTTTCATTGTGGAAGAGAAAAATTGCTGCACTTCTCTATCAAGTCAAAATTGCTATCTGTAGTATAATTTCCAGAAAAATAACTGAGATGATGGACTATAAGTTAGAAAAGTCATAAGTGAAACAACTGCATGTGCAGAACAGAGGACACAAAAGAACAGCTTAACACCCAGCTCCATCCATTTACTCAAAATCAAAGAAGAAGAATTATGTCTGATTTATAGCCCAAGTGAAACCTTTCCTTTATGGAAACTAAAGACTTTGAAATGGTATTAAAATACAGCTGTTGCAACTAAAAATTATTACAAGTATATAAAATAATGGAAATTTTAGTCACTCAGATAATAAATGACAATATTATACACATTACATGATGCCTGTCTTTAAGACATGTGGCTATCAGTAGGTATAAATAATAATAATACATGTAATGAGCACTGTTCTAAGTGTTTTGTGTTAATTCATTTAATTATCAAAACAAAGCTATGAGGTAGGGACTTCCATTATCCCCATTTTTCAGATGAGCGATGGAGACACAGAATGGTTAAATAACTTTCCTAAAATTACATAACTAGTAAGTAGATAGGCTATAATAGCAAATCAATAGCTTCTGGCCACAGACCAAGACTTGCTTCCGTTTGATAAAAACCAACAGTGGAATGTCTGTGTGTTTCTTTATACCATAGATGTGTTCCTGAAAAGCTCTCCATAAATCAGAAGTTTAAAAACAGAACTGTATTGGAATGACAGCTCTGTGGGAATTTCTTTACAGGTGCATCGCAAGTGCCCAGGATGGTGCCTGGCATGTGGTAGACTTGATAAACGTGATAAGCGAGTGAATAAATTGATGAGGAAAGTCTAATGTGGTGCTTTGCACTGAGAAAATAATAAATGTATTGAATTTGATTTAAAGGAATTTATTTTATCCACTCTACAAGGGGAGAAGTGACCTTCTGATTTCTTATTTGTGTAAATCTAGATCTTCATATCATTCGTTTAAAGTGAAGTTGAAATATGAAAGCATTTTCATTTAATAGAAATATTATTAAAACTTTTCCAGGGAAAAAAGCAAAACAAAGCAGAGATACCAAAGCTTATGTAGAATCCCAGGATCATTGTGCAAAAATCAGTTACCATCTTGGGATCCACAATATTTTATAATCATAGTGGGGAATCCATTGTGCCTAGGTAACAATTCATAAAGTCATACGTGTAGTCACTTGTCAGGTCTCCAGAAGAGTTTTATACCAACTACAGAATATTGCAGTGTATTTAGGCCATAGGGTCTTGAGAAAATTGCACTATTTAACTGTTTTAAATGTGTTGGTTCTGAGAGGCCAGTGAATCAGTTGCCATCAGTAGGAAGCTGTTTTAATAACTAGCCAACTTTACTGATGGATTCAGCCAAAACAGAGGATAGTATGTATCATTCCTATTATGTGGAAGAAGAAATTATGGAAGATCCAAGTTGTTACCTGAACAAAAGACTGCACATGTTTCTAGATACTGTTAAAATTCCCCTGTGTTGATTCCTACCCAAAAGTCACAAGAACACAGGAGTCCAGGAAGAAGCTGATGTTTTCTCCCAGGATTTTTTAAGAGATAGGATCTCACTTTGTTGCCCAAGCTGGAAGGCAGTGGCAAAATCATAGCTCATTGCAGCCTTGAACTCCTGGGCTCAAGTGATCCTCCTGCCTCAGCCTTCCTAGTTGGTAGGACTACAGGTGCATGCTACCATGCTCAGTTAACTTTTTTTGTAGAGGTGGGGTCTTGCTATGTTGCCCAGGGTGGTCTCAAACTCTTGGGCTCAACTGATACTCCCGCTTCCACCCCCTAAGGTGCTGGGATTACAGGGTTAAGCCACTGAACCCAGCCTCTTTCAGGAAGCTTTAATTCCACTTCACTTAGGTGCTAAGTCAAAGACTTTCTATGGGATTTGTCTACAGCAGCACCTGTAAGGATATGGATGACCAAAAGCCAACCTAAATACCCCAAAATAATAATAGTATTCTAGGTGTTATTAACCAGGGGATGGGAGTGATGGCTGCATTGCAGCCCAATGCAAGCTGGGCTCCTCCCTACAGCCAGCTTCCCAGGAGAAGCAGTTATAATGCCATGTGCATATTTATGTGCGGATGCCATTAGAGAATGTGTTTAGGGAGAGCCTTTAGGAAGCTGATTGCTTATGTTTACTTCAAATATTTTGAAATTTTGTTGCTTTCTGAAACTACTTGTGGAGTTATCTTTACATTTTGCAAGTGAGAGCTACCAATGATTTTAGTTTGTGGCTCTCCTGAAGAGTTCATCCCCCCATGAAATTCTGATGATGCCAATGTCTTCCTTTCCTATGCTAGGGACCACCTGTGATTTCAAAGGACTTCGCGACCATGAGGTACAAAGCAAGACTTTGTGAGGGTCAACCATGCCTACCCTCAGTACCTAGTATATTGCCTCCACATAGTGGGTAATCAATAAAGTATCCATTGAACAAAAGATTACACATCCTTTGCTATCTCTCCTGCTTGCTACTGAAAGTAAAACATACCTCTCCTTTAGACAGGTGAGGCTTTTGCTGAACCACCAAAGAAGCTATCAGACTAAAACAACCAATTATACACTAGAAACACTTATGAAAATGGCATCACACTTATGTTAAAGCTACCAGAACTCACCAGATGGGCCACCTGAACTGGGGTCCTTGGATTGCTTAGGTGACACAGCCTGTTCTACTGTTGATTACGAATGCTGGCTCCAAGTCCATCAGTAACCTTGGATGTGCCTTTTTCCTCTCTTGGGCTCAGTTGCCTCATTTATAAAACTGGGATCACAGAACTAACACTCTTTGTTCCTGTGAGAGTTTTTTGTGAAGTAAACTCAAGTCAATCACAAGGCCACAGCGAACTACCCCAATAAATGATTCATGGGTGTTTCAGCCAGTCAGGATAGGGAAAAACCGCAGTACAGGATCATCATTTAAAATGGAAATTGCTGTTCACAATATTCATACCTATGACTTAAAATAAGCATGACTGTGTGGGATATAAAAAAATTCTGTCAAGTTTTAGGAGGGGAAGGTTTTTCTTTCCTTTTTTTTTTTTTTAGTTAAGACTAAAATGCCATTTCATTTAAATCTATTAAATACGTGGTTTCCAAGTATCATTTTGAATGCCCCTGATATTTATGTTTACATTTCCTGAAGTGGATTCCCAGTCTGCCTTAGCCTGTACAAGATGGGGTCTGGTACCTGCCACTTTCCTTGCCAGACTCTTAAGAATGGGAAATGCAAGCATTTTCAGCATCCACACATCCTGCTGTGGGCTTTTCATTTTGTTGGCAATACCTCAGTGCACTCTTCATTCCAACCAGTTATGGGAAGGAAATCTCCATCCACGTGGCTTTATGTAATTCTGTTACTGTGTCAACTTGCCAATCCATTGTTCTTTGCACTTTCTTTACACTTATAAAATGTTGGCAACCATATAATAAGTCCTTATTTTCAGTTGATGTTGGCATACAGGAAGTGCTAAAAATGATGTTAGGCTGCCCTTTTTATTTTGGAAAGGTCATTCTTATCCTGTGTCATTCACATTTATGGGGCTAATTTATACACACGTTTAAGGGGAGAGATGGTAAATGAGAGAATGGAAAGAGACTCTAGAAAGGAGACAGTCAAGCAACATCATTAGTCACCTATGAATAAGGCAACATGAGATTCTCATACCAGCTGTAACACTGCAAATCCATGCAAATAATTTTATCTGATGTCTTAAAATATGAATAAGGGGGCATCAATTTCTTCTTCTTACTTCCTCATTATGAGAGATTGCTAGTGAGGATGATAGGTGGCTTTACAATTTTGAGTTTGTTACTAATAAAATCAACATGATTGGTGAGATAAGACATATGTATTCAATGTCACTCAGACAGAGAATGGCTTCTAAGCCAGAGTCAGGCTTGAATGTGCCAGATCGTTGTACTAATAAAACCTAACAAAGGATGGACCAACCACAGGAAGGAGGTCAGCTCAAGCAATAGGGATTTAAGTCTGCTGTGAGTGGCTGTTCCTGTCTAGGGAGTGAGACACTCAGGCTGGCTGTCTACACAGGGTAGCCTGGATGAAAACATTAATATTATCCACTCTGTCTTGCTCTGCTTTCAGACTCACTTAGCAGCCTTCTGATAATTAATTGGATTTTCCTGCTACATCAATGCCTGAAATGAAGGTGCCCTGGATAGAAAATATTGCTTGCTTGCTTAATTGATTCATTCATTCCTTCAACAAATATTTATTGAGTGTCCACTCCCTGCCAGGCATTGTTCTATGCCCTGAGGACATACCAGGGAATGAAAACAGACCCAATTTCTGTCTATGGAAGGCACATATCCTGGTTGGAGGGAACTATTAAAACAAAGTCCATTCTGTGTCGGGTGGTGGTTAAGCGTTATGGTGAAAAAAATAAAGCAGGAAGGAGTGAGAGAGTTAGCTCCTTTTAGACATTTAGATATAGCGCCAGGGAGGTCTCACTGATGAGTTGAATGAAAGAGGTAAAGGAAGGAAGCAAGCAAATGCCTGAGAGAAGAGCCAGTGCAAGGGCCTGGGTGCAGAAGGGTGCTTGGGGTGCCTGAGGAAGGACAGGGTAGCTGGAGCAGAGTGAGCCGAGGGGAAAGAGTAGGATAGGAGGGGCTCTACGGACCAGACTGTGACTTGAGCCTTCTTATGGCTGAAGAGTATCTCCCCCTGCCCATACCTCCCACTCCACAATGGGGATATGGCAATTTAGGAATTTGGTGTCTGGTTTGTACTTCTGCCTCCTTTGAGCTTGGCTACAGTGAGTCCACCTCCTATTAGACTGAACCACTCCTGGTGTCTCTGAATATTTAACTTTCTGCCCCTAAAGAGTTGAGGATCTGATTCAGAAGTCGGGGATTCCTTCATGGTGGTGCTTTCTGTGTGACCAACAAAAACCTGTAACCTTGTTATCACACCGATATAGTACCAATAAATGTTCAAGATGTGAGCTCTGGACTGTATCATGTAAGGAGTCCTAATTATTCATTGTTTGAATGGTGACTTTGTGAACATACTGAGACATGAGGATTTACAGGTAGAGTAAGAGATATCATGGACATAGGAATGTTAATAATCAAGTTTGTTTAGGTATCTTGATGGACTTTAGGGTCAGACTAATCTGGGCTTGAATCATGAAATTGACACTTACTAGCTATGGAAACAAAGTTATTTAAGTTATCTGGGAATTTGTTTCCTCCACATCAAAGAGGGTGGTTGTAAGAATTAAATAAAACAAAAAGAGTAGTTAAATGAAGAGAATTAAATGAAATAACATTCCTCCCTGCTCAGTAACATTAGTTCCATTTCTCATCTCTGCATTTCTCAATTTCTTCTTTGTACTCCATAATTTGGAATTGCTGCCCACGTTGAATCATAATGAACCTTAATTAATCATCAGTTTTGGCATCATAGGCTTCTTTCCAACAGGGGAGCCGCTGTTGCAGCAGAGGCCAACCCAATCAGTAGTACACTTGTGTTGTTATATCTCTAGACCCTCCCAGCCTCCTACAGAGCTGGGGAGGTGGAATGAAGTAATAAATGTAAAGCACTGAACACAGTGCTTGGCATTATTCATCCTCATTGAATGTTAAGTTTTATAATTTTTATTCTGTAGTTTTTGGAAAACTTTTAGGGAAAGGTATGTATGTACTACTTATGCTATGAAAAAGAAAAAACAAAACTATGTGAGTGACTGGTTTTATTGATAACAATGGTAAATTAAGAGGGGTTTTCTATCTTTGAGTCTGAATATTAGGCATTAATTGAATATAAATTCAGTGATGTGATTATTAGTTTTATGGGTCAATCTGGCTAGACTACTCAGTTATTCATTTAAACCTTAACTTAGGTGTCATTGTTGACATCTAAGGTATTTTGTAGATGTGGTTAATATCTGCGATTGACACTAAGCAAAGGAGTTTATCCTCAATACGGTGTGTGGGCCTCATGCAATCAGTTGCATGGACTTAACAGCAAAACTTAGGCTTTTCTGAGGAAGAAAGAATTCTGCCTAAGGACTGCAGTATTAGCTCTTGCCTGAATTTCCAGACAGAGAGCCTGCTCTGCAAATTTTGGACTTGCCAGCCCCCACAACTGCATAAACCAATTCCTTGAAATAAATCTATATGTATATGATATGTAAAGTACTTCTGCTGATTCTATTTATTTGGAGAACCCTGACTGATATAGGTGTGTATGAAGTTATATATTCTTCTTTTTCTTTTGTCTAATTATTTGTGATACCTCATTTTCATGATGCAATTTTACTGAAATGAAACTAACAGCTCCAAACTACATAGCCAATTTCTTTCAGCCTTGTGACAATTTCTTTTTGGTCCAGGCCAGCAACCTGATCTCAGGATGAGGGGCTAATCTCTACACTGGTGGTGGCTGGCATAGCCTAACTTATGAAGTTCACAGGACACATTGCCTGGGTTCTGGGTGGACAATAGAATGAACATAAATGCCAAATGGATAATTTGCTCTAAAATAACAGATATATTAAGAGGCCACATAGTTGAAACTGTTTGCTTGCTACTCTCTAGGTATAAATTCAGAGCATAGCTAAGATACAAAAACTTCATTGTCTAAGTCAATATATATTTGTGTAGTGACGGCAGCATAGCAATTTCTAGAATGAATGTGCAGGAGGATAAATTACCATGAGAAGAGATATGACTGAGAGTGTAAATCTGCTTTTATTTTTGCTAGTCTATCTATAATCATATGGAAATAAACCCCTGATGAAAGTGAGACAAAAACTATGACATCATCTGAATTTAGTGTCACTGCCTTAAGCTAAAAATTTTGATGGACTTCCACTTTTATTTTCTTGTCTTCAAGTTTTTTTTCACTTTATTCCTTTTCTTCATTGTAAAGCTTTCCTCATAGCATTGTCAGAATTTGAACAAAAACATCTTTTTATCTCATTTCTGATTTACCGTGTTCTTTCTGTACATCTCATTGTGTTTACTCTTTAGTCAAATTTTTATAATTTTGAACAAACTGAGTTATCAGATACTTATAAGCAATGGCAGGGGCAAATTCTGCTTCCAAAGAGAGATCAACCAGGAGCAAAAACCAGCAATAACTTTCTAAGAACGAGCTTCCCTTAGAGAGACCAGAAAGTCTTCATGTAGTTACTGAGATACCAGAACCTTTAAGAAATAATTAATGGCCAAGATGGACTTCTCTCAAGATGGTGGTAACCTCCATTTGTCCATAAAACTGAAGACTGAGCAAGAAAGGATATCTGGCTATAGATAACAGAGCTATGAAAAAACAAAACTCTAACCTCAAAAACCCTCTATCTTCCACATCACCATTTCATAATTCTTGGAATGCTCTACTTTTGCAAAATTGCTTTTTAATTGTCACATTGTTTTACTTTTGCTTATCTCTGCAATCTTCAATTGGTTTCTCTTCACTTCTCTCTTAATTTTTGCTTTCTATTTTCCAGTCATTCCTCTAATTTGCTTTCCTTTCCTTCCTGCATTTCTCTTGCCTCCCCTCCCCTGTCCATTTTTACCTCTTTTTCTTCACCTATTCTTTGAATTTCCTTTCCCTATTCTTAATTCTTCCTCCTCTCCCACTGATCTGTTGTGGCTTTAATCATTTTTGCTTAGGCACTGAAAATCATCCACTGACTGACACTTTCTCACTGAAAGGAGAGGGATTTGTGACTGGAAAACTAGCTACAAAGACCCAACACATTCAATTTACAGTGCCGTTCTTTCCTTTCTTCCTTGGAGCTTTTGCCTGGGATTAGAGATGGATGGCTTACTGCAGCTCACAATGGCAAAACACTTCAGACCTGACTTAGCCCCACGAATCACATGGCAAGGTATATCTGAGCTACTATGTTTACAGTGATTGCTAGATTTTTAAAATTGCCCTTCACTGGAAAAAGCTTATTCAAGTCTGCCTGGAAAACAAAGCAGTGCTATTTTATGATGAACTCTGATGAACTGGACTCATCTCCTTGGCCCATTTATTTTTGTTCCCTGTCCCCACCCCTTCATTTTTTACAGCATGAAACAAAAACACACAAATGGGTTCCTGGGAGAAGGGTGCAGGAGCTTTGGCTGGGTTACCCTGGCCAGAGGCTGCTGAGACTGTTCATACAATGCCCTCAATCAAGCAGGCCTATTTGACCAGAAGTAAGAGCTTTACAAAGGGAGAACAGCAAAACAGCTTCTTCAGGACTATATGATTTTATCAACTGGCATTATTGTCAGGAAAACCTTAGATAAATTTGACTCTGAGAAGTTTCACTTTAGCTCTCTGAAACACTTAAGTATGGACTACCCTGCTTTTTATTTTATGAAATCATTCCTTTTTATAAGTTTGGCTGTGAATTCACTTTACCTTTTGGTGTTTCTTGAAGAGCAGGAGTGCACACTTCAATGATTAAGAGCTTAAAGTAATTCTCTGCCTGCAGCAGGATCTGTGAGATCGTTATTATCAAAGGATACTTGTGGTCAAAGCTATACCACATTCTGAAGAGCCGAGCACTCTCTGCTTTCGTCATGTTTTTATCCAAGTTATTTGCTTCCTGGGGAGAAACAATAGAAAAAGGCATTGGGTAAATAGTCAAAAAGATTTTAATATAAAAATACATGTCAAACCAAGTTAAATTTAACTACATTTAAAAAAAACCTTTCTAAGTATAGGCATTTTCATCTAAATGGTGAAGCAGTTTCCAGGCAAATTAGCTCATAAATCTTGCTATGTGGATGAGACCCTTTTGGAGTATTTCAACATTTACTTTTCTTAATAATCCCAATTTTATTAAATAGCTAAGAAATGCTATTTTGACATCAATAAAAATGACATTTCTGCCATAGTGCTGTTGTGGGAATTTTACAGTTTATTTCTGTCAAATTTGGATGATATTTATTTATGGATTACCAAAAGGTCAAGGCTAAAGTGAGGATAATAGTCTAATAAGTGTTATGCTATATTTTATTCATTTTGTTTGATAGATTATTACCAAAGGCTATTGGTTGATTTTTGATATATTTCTGCCTAGATTATGAAGAGTTTTGAAATAGATATTCCTGATAAGAAGATTGCAACAATTGAATGTGCTTGTCTACCTCTTTTTTTCTTTCCCACAAGGGCCATAAAGGGTGAGAGGATGATAAGGAATTAAAGACAAAAGAGGAAGAGAAAGTGTTTGATGGGTGTTTTTGTGAGAGAAGAGGATGAAATGTGAAAAAAAAAAAGGAAAGAAAGTGAATTTTTTTTTGTGAGCTTTAGAGACAGATAATAAAATGTAAGGAGGGTATCCAGTGGCGTTTTTACTGTATTCCATTTTGTGTGTTAAGGGAATTTCAATCAGTTGTAATTATCCTTATCATTAAAAGCATTTATATCTCTTAATGTGGGCTTTGTTGCTATGTCTGGACCCCCAGTTTTCATGCCCAAGTTGTGTCATGAGTTGCAGTCTGGTAGTAATATGAATAGTCTTCTGAGGATGTAATGACCCACGGAAGACAATGAAAGTCTACTGGATGCTCCACAGCCAGCCCTTAGATGAGCTCATATTGATTTGCTTTTATTTTTTTTGTCCTTTTCTAGCCAGTTCCATCATTGGTTAATGATAAATAGCTGGACACAAAAGGCTGTGTTCTACCCATGAAACGTATGTGTACCAGTAGATGCTTCCGTTCTATCCCCCGCAAATGAAATGGAACTACAAGAAAGCAAAGTGTGCTTCACTTTTAGTCAGCCATTTATCCTTTGTTTAAAATGGCTGAAGCAGAGACTCACAATGAAATTAAAACCCAAACTTTTGTCTTTTTCATTGATTGTCTTAAGATCTCTGATTTTTCAAGTCTTGCATTTTTCCAAACAGTGTCCCCTAGAGAATCACTGTTCATTTGATGTTGATGGAAATTCTGTGCTAATCATTCAGGAAAGGATGGGGTCTACAGTGTTAAATAGGTTTCTTAAATGGAGGACTTCTCATTCATTGCAGCACTATTTACAATAGCAAAGACACAGAATTAACCTAAATGCCCATCAATGGTAGACAGGATAAAGAAAATGTGGTACATATATACCCTGGAATAATATGCACTCATAAAAAGGAATGAGATTATGTCTTTTGCAGGAACATGGATGGAGCTGGAGGCTATTATCCTTATTAAACTAATGCAGGAAGAGAAAACCAAATACCACATGTTCTTACTTATAAGTGGAAGCTAAATGATGAGAACACATGGACACAAAGATGGAAACAATATACACTGGGGCCTACCTGAGGGTGGAAGGAGGGAGAGGCCAGAAAAAATAACTATTGGTACTAGACTTAGTATCTGGGAGATGAAACAATCTATATCACAAACCCCTGTGACACAAGTTTACCTATATAACAAACCTGCACATGTATACTTGAACCTAAAATAAAAGTTAAAAAAGAAAGGAAAATGTAGAACTTCTCAGTCTTTCATTTATAAATGAGCATTGCAAATCTTCAACAGAAAGTGTGTCTCAAAGTTACTTGGCCATGGAATTCATTCCCATTCCCAGTCCCTACTGTGGGACACTGATGATCTTTTCCTGGACATTAGAGTTCCACAGGTCTCTGTTTTCTGATAGGGCCGGAGTGCCATGCCTTGTTATCTATAGTCAGAATTTATGCATATTTCCTCAAGAAAGGAAACCAGGGTGTCTGGTTCAATTTCTATCCTTCCCTATACCTTTCTCAAAGCATTTCTACCCCAGCAAAGGTATCAGATTTGCAAAATGACTGTTGCACACAGTGTTTTCTTCATCATCCTCAAACATCTGCAAACTGTTTCTGAGCCACTGTTTGTCAACAGCATATTGGGGTTCATCTGGCAAAGCAAAACTGCTCATGTTGAGCTAAACTAGTTATGAAAAGCTTGGGGCCAAGGGTTGGAACTTTCCTTTTTTCCCACCCTTTCCTTTAAGAATAAGGATACGTGGATTTTTATCCATCAACAATCATAGGTAATTTTTGATAGTGGATAATATCTACTGATGACTAGAAAGTCATTTAAAAAGCTGATAAAAAGGAATGAGAGCAAATTCCCAATTTTTGTTTGTTTTTAATGTAAGGGTGGGCAGTGTTGTGGTGAGCTATACTGGCAATCAGGGGCCGGGATTCTGGCAGCCAGTCTGCAGCACTGCAGCTGAATGATGTTCCCAATAATGATGGTCCCAAGCTATTGAATGCCCATTAACTCCCAGGCAGAATGCTAGTCACATTATCCAGCCATTAATTTTTTCAGTCATTATTTTTTCAATTCTCACTCTATCAAGGTAGGTTGCATTGTACCTATTTTGCACATAGGGATTTTAGAGAGTCCTAGAGAAGGAAAGAAGTGAGTTCAAAGTCACACCACTAGAAGGTAACAATTGGAATTTTAGTCTAGGACTGCCAGACTCCAAAGAGAATGTTTTTCTGCAAGTATCTAATTCAGCCTTTAATTCAAAAGCACAGACATTCTATTAATAGACTACGTAACTTCATTGGGCTGCAGTTTCCTTGTCTGTAAAATGAATTGAGGAAATTGGACTGGCTGGTCTCTTAGGTCCTAATCATATGGAAAAGACTTTTTATTAATGACAACAGTAATAGCTATACTTGAACACTTGCCATATGCCAGACACTATTCTAAGTACTTTTCATATATTAACACTTCAGATTCTTATAATTATTTGATGAAGTGTGGTCTATTATTATTCCTATTTTACAGATGAGGAAACTGATGCACTGGGATACATATAGGTTTTCAAGAATACTGAGGCCCCTAAGCAGGCAAGATTCCTCTTATCTAGATGGGGCCCCAGGATACAAGTGGAGAGCAAACTAGTGCAAAAGGGGAAGTTAGAGCAATGGAATGCTCCTCCTGCAGGCTGAGATACAGCAGGTATACATACCCCAAAACATAATGAAAATTTAGAGCTCCCCTTAGCTGGGTGAACTGCCAATGGCTTTGAAAATGTCCCCATAGAAACTTTAGTGTTTTAGGAATTTCTTTAGACTTCTAGATACTGGTTTCAAGCGTTTCCCAAGGTCTTAGAAATCCTCTCTTTTTCTCCTTTTTATTTCCCAAGGGGAATATATCAGAACTCATATGCACTTCTGAAAGAGCTTATACTCTATTCTTGGCAAACCTTCCAGGGATATTTATGGTCAGCTGATGGGAGCAACATACATTAGGTAGTATTTTGGAAAAATATTAACACATGCAATCTCTTTCTAAAAAACTTCATTTCATGTGGGTGACTGGAGATGTTATTCATTTCAATACTTTGTGAGGAATAAACTTGGATCTAATTAGAATAAAACATCTGTGAAATATGTTTTCCCAGGTGGGGAAAATACCACTGATGACTCAGCATTGACATTTACACCAATCCTAGATAAGATGTTCAGAATATGTCTTAAATATCTTTTGGCCCAGTTCTGGATCCATTCGTTTATTTCTCTGAAGTTACTGATGACTTAATAACTTGGTTATGAAAGGCCATCAATAAATGAGTAGAAATAAATGAATTAGTCTAGTGTGTGCTCTGCTTGTGCACTGAGGGTTGAAGATAAATGTGCTAAGGGAAGGCCGGTCTTTGAAATCACCCTGGAACAGGGAAGGTATCTGATGAGGCAGCACAGAGAGCCAGCCCACGGGAGGGTCCAGATGGGCAGCGGACAGCAGGTAGCATCAATCTATCTGGATTCTTCTGAAGCAGAGATCAGCTCACACCTCAAGGACAATAGATGTGAGCAGTCATCACAAGTTGAATCTGGAACTTGATGGTATTTTTCTTATCATTAGCAATATTTCTTCTCTTTCGAGGATCTTTATTCCAGAGGGGATGTGGTGTGCATGTTAGAACAAGCATAGGTGCCAGAAACTGAAGACCAAGATTTGAGTTTAGTTACAACATTTTAGTAATAATACTATTATTAATAATGCCAACTCTGAGCCTCATGTTTCACAGCTATAAATGGGAACTGGTGAGTCAAGCATGTTGAATCTCAACTTTTATTTAACTAGATACTCTAAGCAGCAGAATGTTTGATACATTGGGATTTTCTGGCTCTTTTATTATCCTCTGTTTTTCTGCGAAACTTTTAGAAATGGGCCATTTGATATCTTTTTCTCCTTAAATAAGGCAATAGACCAGAGGTTGGGAAGTGACAGAATAGCAGGCAGTGGATAGTTTTCTTTTAGGTGATCCCCTAATACTTAACACCCTCTAGAGAGGGAGCAACAGAAAAATTATGATGGTACTCTGTTTTGTGCTTATTTGAACCCCTGAGAGAAAACAAAAGGTTCTGGCAAGAAATCTGTGAAAAACAGACACCAAAGCAAGAAGGGATTGTTTATTGTATTAACTTTGATGAAAAAGAACTAGGCAAATGTAAATACATTCCTTTGTCAATATTCAAATATGAGGAATTTGCTAAGTGAACTGGATGAACTCTGCTTTGGGATAATCATACGGGATTGCTCCTCATTTCAGGGGGATTCAGTGGATTAAGTGAGAGAGGGAGGATTTTCCTTTCTATTTCTCAAGATTTCATATTCAATATTAATGTCAGTGGAAGTTGCATCAACTGATAACAAAGACAAATAATTATCATAATAAATCTGCAGAGCTCTTTATGGGCTCCAAGGAACTTTTTAAGGTAGTACCTGTGAATAGAATTTGCTATCAATACGTTTGCCCTACTGTCTCCTTCCAAATTGGAGTATATTTGTATAACAATTTCAAATGCATTGCCTTGACTTTCTAATTACCAAGGAGAGGATCAGATTCCATGCTTCTAAAGAGAAAGAATTCTGGGTTCTGAAGAGGGAACACAGTATATAATTCAAGGGGCAAATAGAAATATTTTTTTCAAATTTACATTTTAAAAGGTGAATCATTAATTCTTAGCCTCTGCATAGAAAGCAGTTTATAAAAATATTCTCACCTTCCCAATGCCCAGTTAAATTCATAAATATTACCAGGAAGATAGAGTCAGAAAATACATGCCTAGAGAGAAAAAAACTGAGACAACTAGACACAGATGGATAAAACTGTTAAGATGACACAGAGATCTCACAGATAGACTACCAGATGGGCTTGGCTCATGCTTTAGCTACAAAGAAAGGGCTTGGTCCAGGTAACTTTGTCTGTATAGTAGATCCAAGTTAATCCAGAGATAAATAAATTATTTGGTTCAGGAAAATATAATATGATAATTATGGTGGTCTTAAAGTGTATATCTATGTATTCTTTGATATTTTTTCCTTTAAAACATGGAACTTACCTGCAGGTAGAAAGTAGAATTGTGGTTACCAGAGGCTGGGAAGGGTAGTTGTGAGGGGAGGATAGAGAGAGGTTAATAGGTACAAAATTACAGCTAGATAGGAAGAATAAGTTCTAGTGTTCTGTAGCACTGTGGGGTGAATATAGTTAACAGTAATTCATTGCATAATTTCAAATAGCTAGAAGAGAGGATTTTAAATGTTCCTAATACAAAGAAATGAGAAATGTTTGAGGTAATGGCTATGCTAATTACCTTGACTTGATCATTACACATTGCATACATGTATCAAATTATCATTCTGTACCCTATAAGTATGTACAATTATTACGTGCCAGTTAAAAATTTTAAAATTAAAAAAAAATCTCTTTGAAGGAAAAAAAAGATGGGGCCTAATTTCTCTTCCTGTTGGGTGTGGGTCATACTTAATGGCTCATTTTTCATAAATAGAATATAGCAGAAATGATGGTGTGTCATATCCAAGAGTAGGTCATAAAAAGGCATTGTGGCTTTCTTTTTTGCTGTCTCTCTTGGACCATGTGCTCTGAGAAAAGTCAGCTGCCCTGTTGTGAGGACGCTCAAGAAGCTCTGTGGAGAGATCCATGTGGAAAGGAATTAAGTATGCCTGCCAATGGCAAGTAAGGAACAGAGGCCTTCTGCCAACATGGAAGCGAATCCTCTAGGCCCAGTCCAGCCTTCAGATGATTCTAACTTTAGCTGACATCTTGACTGCAACCTCATGAAAGACCTTGCATCAGAAACACTCAGTTAAGTTGCTTTCCAATTCCTGATCCATAGAAACTTTGAGATAATAAATGTGGGTTGTTTTAAGCCACTATATTTTAGGATAATTTTTTATGCAGCAATAGAAAATTAATACAATGATATACTGGAATAATAAATTCCAGATGTGAAAGGTATTGAAATAACGATTTGGAAAGAGATAATAAAATGTTGAGGCCTACATTTGCATAGCTCTTTACAGTTTATGAACTGTTTTCATAAAAGTAACATTTGTGGTATAGAAGACATATGTTCCCTCTTAAAAGTATATCAAAAACTATCCTGGGTCAAATATACCCATCTTACAGATTGAAGATTAAATACAAAGACAAAAAATGATGGACCAACTTAGAGAGAGGAGGAAGTTCACAGCATCTCACTGTACCTGCTTCATTGTATTCTTAACTAATGCCTGACACATATCATAATTCAGTTGGTGTGATAACTCTTTTATATACATGTACACAAGTATATGCATGTGCGCGCACACACACACACACACACACACACACACACACACCCTAACAAATAATTTTCCTGGAACAAGAAGATCCTGGTTCATGCTAATAACAAAACCCAGAACCACTACTGCCATAGTAAAGGTAAGAGTCTCACGTGTAGATTTGTGATTCCATTATTTAGTATTTTGTATGTGTCTAAAAACAAAGGAAAACAATGTGTCTCCCTACAAAACCACTTCATCATCGCTTTCACAATGGCTAGCCATGATAGAATAACTGGATCATAAACATATGATAGGATTCAGGCATTGGATAACTGGCAGCAAAGGACTGTGATCCTTGAAAGAAGGGAAGAAATGAGGTGAGCCCTCTACTCTCCTTGACTTGCTGCCTGTAAGTCATTCTCTTGAAGGTAAGGAGATAAAGTTCAAGCAGAGAACAGCAGTCTCACTGAGTTGAAGAGCTACAGATGGGAGTTAGGGTACCGCTGGAGTGGCTGTGTACAGAAAGGAGGAAACTGCACAGAGAGGACACCCAGAAGTCTGTGGAGATGTTTCCCTTATGTCCTTGGTTGAACACTGACCTGTACATGCACAGGTTGAGGTTCACAAAGGCTTACAGGGAGAAACTCTTGTGAAATTGAGAAATAAATGGAGAGATTAAGATCACATAGTGCTAAGAAACACTGCAGTTTGGTCCAGCTAAAGCCAAAAGTCAGCTATTCTATTGAGACCTCAGAAAAAAAGCATGTTTTATGAGTAAGGACAATGTTCTAGAATAATGACCATGCCCTAAAACCGAGGATGAAATGAAAATGTATCAAGGAAGGCAAGCATAGAACTAAGGCTTACAAGATTTTAATGGCTTGACTGAATAAAATTCAGCAAACTTTATAGAATACTCCACACTCCATTCAATGTAATATTCATAAGACATAGCATATCATAACAACTGCTAGACATGGGAGGAAGCAGGAAAGCATGACCTGAAGCCAGAAGAAAGGTAACCTATAGAAACAGAACTTGAAATGACTCAGATGCTGGAATTAACAGGCAATGGAATTAAAATACTCTAAAAAATATGGTAGGGAATTTAAAGACAAAGAGACAATAAAAACACAAGTGAATATTTCAGAAGGATGTAAATTGTATTAAAAGAACAAAATGGAAATTCTAGAATCAGGCAAGGGAAGGAAATAAAGGGCACCCAAATTGGAAAAGAAGAAGTCCAGCTGTAACTGTTCACTGAGGATATGATTGTACACCTAGAAAACCCTAAAGATCCCTCCAAGAGACAACTGGATTTGATAAAGCAATTCAGTAAAGTCTCAGGTTACAAAATCAATGTACACAAATCAGTAGCACTGCTGTATACCAACAGTGACCAAGCTGAGAATCAAATCAAGAACTCAATCCCTTTTACAACAGCTTCAAAGAAAGATAAAATACCTAGGAATATACTTAACCAAGGAGGTGAAAGATCTCTATGAGTAGAACTACAAAAACACTGCTGAAAGAAATCATAGATCCAAATAAATGGAAACATATCACATGGTTATGGATTAGAAGAATCAGTATCACGAAAGTGATGATACTGCCTAAAGCAGTCTATAGATCCAATGTAGTTCCTATCAAAATAACTACCGTTTTTCACAGAATTAGAAAAAACAATTCTAAAATTCATATGGAACAAAAAGAGCCTGAATAGTCAAAGCAATCCTAAGCAAAAAGAACAAATCTGGAGGTATCACATTACTGGACTTCCAATTATACTACCAAGGCTACAGTTACCAAAACAGCACGGTACTGGTATAAAAGTAGATACATAGACCAATGGAATGGTCTAAATGGTGCTGGGAAAATTGGATAGCCACATGTAGAAGAATGAAAGTGAACCTCTTTCTCTCTCACCTTATAAAAAAAAACTGAAGATGGATTAAAGACATAAATCTAAGACCTGAAACCATAAAAAGTCTAGAAGATAACCTAGGAAAAACTCTTCTGGACACTGATCTAGGCATAGAATTCATGACTAAGACCCCAAAAGCAAATGCAACTAAAACAAAAATAAATGGGGCCTAATTAATCTAATAAACTTACGTGTAGCAAAATAAATTATCAATAGAGCAAACTACAGAATGGGATAAAATATTTGCAAACTATGCATCTGACGAGAAACTAGTGTCCAGAATCTATAAGGAACTCAAACGGATCAAGAAAAATAACAAATAATCCCATCAAAAGGTGGACAAATGACATGAATAGACATTTTTCAAAAGAAGAAATACAAATGGCAAAAAAATGTGGAAAAATGTTCAACATTACTATTCATCAGGGAAATGCAAATTAAAGCCACAATGAGATACTACTTTACTCCTGCAAGAATGGCCATTATTAAAAAGTCAAAAAACAATAGTCATTGGCCTGAATGTGATGAAAAGGGAATGCTTACACACTACTGATGGGAATGTAAATTAGTACAATCTCTATGGAAAACAGTATGGAGATTTCTTAAAGAACCAAAAGTAGATTTACCATTAGTAAATTCCACTACTGGGTATCTACCCAAGGGAAAATAAGTCAATATATCAAAAAGACACCTGCACATGTATATTTATTGCAATACAATTCACAACTGTAAAGATACGGCACCAACCTAAGTGCCCACTGGCCAATGAGTGGCTAAAGAAAATGTGGTATGTATATACCACTGAACATTTCTCAGCCATAAGAATGAATGAAATAATGTCTTTTGCAGCAACTCAGATTGAGTGAGAGGCCATTATTCTAAATGAAATAACTCACGAATGGTAAACCAAATAACTTTTGTTCTTACCTATAAATGTAAGCTAAGCTATGGGTGTGTAAAGGCATACAGAGTGACATAATGAAATTGAGAGACTTAGAAGAGGGAGGTTGAAAGGAGCTAAGGATTAAAAAATTACACATTGGGTACCATGTATACCACTCCAGTGATGGGTGCACTAAAATCTCAGACTTCACCACTATATAATTCATCCGTGTAACCAAAAACCATTGTATCCCCAAAGCCACTGAAATAGTAAAAAAAAAAAAAAAAAAAAAAAATAGCCATTAAAAATTCCTGGAACCAAGAAGTACAATATTTGGAATTAAAAATTTACTAGATCAGCTTAAAGGCAGATTGGATACTAAGAAGAAAGTGTCAGTGAACTTGAAAAGAGATCAATAAAAATTATGCAATTTGTAAAACACAGAGAAACAAGATTAAAATAGACTAATACCTAAGTGATATGAGAAAAAAATATTAAGTAGCCTAATGTATATAAGATTGGAGGGCTAGAAAGAGGGCAGTAGGAACATGGAGAACAAACATTTTTCAAAAAGCAATAGTTGAATATTTCCCGAATTTGATGAAAAATATCAACCAAGAGTTCCAAGAAATTCAGTGAACCCAAATTAGGATAAATTCTAAGAAAACTAGGCATATAAGAATCAAACTTCTAAAAAACTAGAGATAAGAGAAAAATCTTTAAAGCAACCAGGGAAAGACAGAGCATATTATGTTCCAGGAAATTAAAAAAAATTCAAATGACTTTTATCAGAAAAAATGGAGGCCAGAGGCCGGGTGTGGTGGCTCACACCTCTAATCCCAGCACTTTGGGAGGCCGAGGTGGGCGGATCACGAGGTCAGGAGATCGAGACCATCCTGGCTAACATGGTGAAACCCCGTCTGTACTGAAAATATAAAAAATTAGCCGGGCGTGGTGGCGGGCGCCTGTAGTCCCAGCTACTGGGGAGGCTGAGGCAGGAGAATGGCGTGAACCCGGGAGGCGGAGCTTGCAGTGAGCCAAGATCGCACCACTGTACTCCAGCCTGGGAGACAGCGAGACTCTGTCTCAAAAAAAAAAAAAAAAAAAAAAAAGAAAAAACATGGAGGCCAGAACACAACAGAATGTGATTTTCAAAGCATTGACTTTCAAAGAAGACAACCATCAAACCAGAATTCTATATCCAGTGAAAAGCATATTAAGCACTATTTAACAGATAAAGAAACAGGAAAATTCCTAATTATAATTGGAGGTTTTATGTTAAATTTTTAAATTATTTTTCAAAACAATTTTTTTGTGGGCACATAATAGGTATATATATTTATGGGGTACATGAGATGTTTTGATACAGGCATGCAATGTGAAATAAGCACATTATGGAAAATGGGGTATCCATCCTCTTACATTTATCCTTTGAATTGCACACAAGCCAGTTACATACTTTAAATTATTTTAAAATATACAATTAAGTTATTATTGACTATAGTCACTTTATTTTGCTATCAAATAGTAGGTCTTATTCATCTTTTCTATTTTATGTACCCATTAACCATCCCCACCTTTCCCACTGCCCCAAACACCTACTACTCTTCCTAGACACTTCTAACCATCCTTCTACTCTCTAGATCCATGAGTTCAATTGTTCAATTGGGGGTTTTATCAGTAACTGATAAAATAAGTAGACAAAAAAACAAGTTGACATAATTTACACTTACTGAGCTATGCCAACTGGATTCTGCAGTTGTTTGGTATAGTATTGAAACAGTTGCAAGAATACACATTCAAGTACACACGGAATATTCACCAAGATATATCAATTGGAACCATAAAATAAGTATCAGTACATTTCAAAAGTCTGAAATTGTACAGATTACTATAAAGTCCAAACTGTTTACATTGGCTCATGTGACCTATATGGCAGACTAATTGCATTAGAGGTGCCATTTTTTCAACCCTGTATCTATGGCCTTTTCCATGTAAATCTGCAGTTCTTTTGACCAAATAGGAGTCATTTATTCATACACCTGTTTTTTAGGACGACCTCGTAATTTTCTCTGGTCAACAGAATGTAGCAGCAATGCCAATGTATCACTTCTGATGCTCAGCCTCAAGAAACCTTGCCTGTTTTTGCTTACATTCTTGCCCTCTGTCATGGCCAGGAGAAAGACCTACTCAGGGTAGCCCCCTGGTCCCAGATGAGATGAGAATCATGTGGTGCACAGCTAAGGCACTTAAGTCATCCCTATTAAGGTTATCCTAGATCAGCTGACAGCTCTCCAACTCCAGACACATGAGCAAGCCTAGCTCAGATCAGCAGTTATCTAGCAAATTGTAGCTGACCCTAGATATATGAACAAGTCCACTATAGAACAACTGAACCCCACAGACTTGTGAGATAAGTATTTATTGTTCACGCCTCTGAGATTTTGCTTGTTATGCAGCATTGTGTGGCAACAGATAACTGATCCTGCCTATATCTCTGACTCATAGCTTATAGTATTCTTGGTGGCTCACTGTAGCTATACTTGCACCTTTGCTATTTCTCAAACAGGTAGGCATGTTCCTGCCTCAGGGCCCTTGTCTTGTCTAGTATGGTCTTCCTTTAGACATCTGCATGAATAAGAGCTAAAGACTGGCTGGCAACTCAACCCTTGCTGGGAGGAAGTAACAAGCAGAGAATGATGCAGGTTGACCCTCTCCTCCTGGGAGACAGTAGAGCCTGCTGCACTGTGAGTGAAGGATGACACACTCTGCAGTAGGAAAAGACCTCCTAGACAACGGGCCCATACTCACAGCTTACTGGGTTTGGGTGAAGGGAACGATTCCAAGGATGAGGAATATACTCTAGCCTCTTGAAATGAGAATATGCTTGATACTCTCGATAGGGTTGGGAAATGAGGCTGGCCAGGAGTTAACAGGGAAAGGATTACTCAAATGTTAACTGACAGGCTATCCTTACTGGGAAGAAAGAACACGTTTACAGATTGGATGTGGTGCAATGGTGAGAATGAAACGGCTTTGGCCTTTAGTTCTGGCTCAGCCCATCACTGGTTTGTTGTCTTGGGAAAATTAATTCTTTGAACTCCAATTTCACCATTTGTAAAATGGGAGTGATATAGGTATCTTGATTGGTCAAGGTAAAGATTAAATGTGATTATGTATATATACACATAGGTATATAATTGTTAATCACTTAATATATAAAAATGCTTATTAAAGTATAGCTGCCACCTTCCACTTCTTCTTCCTTATTATCATTCCTACTTTCTAGAACATGTACTTGCAGGAACTACCGGTAAGATAAAAATATAGAATTTAGAATTTAGTCCTATGCAGTAAAAAGTTAGTAGGGGGAGGACATAATTTTGAATCTAAAAGCCATAAGTAAGTATAACCAAAATAAATTCAATGTTGGCCAAGGGAAAACCCAAGATATTTTCTCTGAAATGTTTATTTTATTTTTCTCAAAATACCATTAGTTACAATGACATTGGAATGACATAACATTACAAAAGCTCTCACCTGGGTCACATCAAATTTTGAGACTCGTATTCTATTTCTGAAATATTCGTAGAAGTGTAGTGTGAAATTTACACTCTATGAGACTAACTCCAACAGTACAGGAGCAGTAAATGCAGAAAGTATGGAAAAATGTTGATAACTGTTAAGTTTGGGGGATGGGTATGTTAAGATTCATTATTCTCTTATCTTTGTGTTTATTAGGAACATTTGAAAATATTCACAAAGAAAAATTTTATTTAATGACCATGATGACCCCACTATCTGCTAAATTAATCTCTTCCCTTCTTGAACCTACTTATATTTCCAACTCTTGCAACTCTGGAAGGCCCTGAATAAGAACTATCAATTGTGCAAAAGAACAAATACTTTTATTATTCACCCATGGCCTCTTCCAGGCTTCAAAGGTATTCCAGGTTATGGTTTTCTGGGAGTTAGCAAACAAGTCTTCATTCGCTTTACACCTTTCATATTTTTACAGATACTTTGTTGTGCCCCTTCGTAGTTCTAGTCTTTCTGATGGAAAAATCCTAATCCTTTTAATCCCTGCTGCTCTGGCAGCAGGTCCCTCTGTCAGTTATTGAAGTTGCCCTTCTTCAGACCTTTCTCAGCTCTGCTGACTTTCATGTGCTGCAGTGACCAGAACGGATCCACCCAGGTTACACACAAGAATAAAGGACAACCAAAACCAGAATTTCAATGAAGGGACTTTCAGAAACAAAAGAAAATTGGAAGGTAACGTCGAGAAACCATTAAGTAACAAGCATAGTGTTAGAAAATGAAATTGTATGAAAAAAGATGAAAATTATCCTCATCACAACAGCTGGCAGGGTGGAATGGGGAGAAATTTATTTTAATGGGCTAATTCTATTACTTCCAAGCTCCAAACCAAACCATCAAGGGTGTCTATCACATTAGAAAAAAACTCAAACCTAACACCATGGCCAATGGTCTGGCCCCTGCCCCTGTCTGTTTCTCCCACTTTTTCTCCATCCGCTCCCACCTTGCTTACTCAGCTCCAGCCATGCTGGCCTTCCTGCTGCTTTTGTGCACACCATAACCCACTGTGACTCCAATGCCTCCATACTTGCTGTAGCCTCTGCCAGACTACCTCTCCTCAACCCCTTCTCACATGGATTGTTTCCTCCACACATCATCTGGCCTCTGATCAAATGCCACTTCTACCCTGACCAAGTAGCCTCCTCGCCTGTTCTCTATCCTCTGACCTGCTTTACTGTGATCATGCTTTGAATGTATAGAATGCAGTTTACCTTTTTCTTATCAGTGTCCCCCAATAGAGTATATACTCTGGGAGGAAGAGAGCTTTGAATTGGTAACTCCTGAATCCTCACATCTACGTTAGTGCCGTAGGAGTGGGTACCAAGAATTACTTGTATGAATAAATGAATGAATACATGCACGCATACCAGTTAAGAGTGGAAGCTCTGGAACCAAACTGTCTGGGTTCAAATTCCACCTCTCCCTTCTGTGTGTTCTTGGGCAAGTTTTGTCTCTGTGTACAATTTCCTTATTTGTAAAATGCAGATAATTATAGTACCCACTCAGGGTTATCTTGGAAATTAAGTGAGCAAACGCATATAAGGTGCTCAGAGCAGTGTTAAGAATAATAGCTAGTGCCCAACGAATATGGGAGTGAGTACGATCAAATGGCAAAAGGGAAAAAGAGAAGCAATACTGGCAGCCTTTCTTGAGTAGCAGGAGTTTTCTATTAAAGGACTGAAGGCAAGTGTGGTGCTCCAGTGACTCTCACCTACTCTGAAAAGGTGTGCTTTCAAGTACAAGGAATCAATTACAAGGGAAACTTCCTGTTGTGTGGGAGGCTACCTGAGGGTTTTGTTTTTCACATTTAAGAGGCATAAAATTCACAACTGCAGTATCTTCCAGTTCTCAAATTAGCACGTTTGCATGAAGTATGCATCCAGAGTGTGATATCTGCATATGGAACATGCTCTCTAAAGCTTTTGTGCCTGGTACAAATAATTGTGTAACACCATTCACATTCTAAAGGTATTGTATGGCAAAAAGGAAAGTTGTGACATTACTAGTTAGCCACAGCTACAAGTTCACATTCCCAAAAGTTATTTTACTTTCCACAGCAGAGAACAAAGAAGAAATTTAAAAACATATTAATATATATAATTTTAAATATATATATATAGTTTATTCTTGATTTTGAGAGTGTATAATCAGTAACAGCTATAACTACCTGCAAAATTTTTAGCCTTTGGTAAGTAAGAAGGGTTTCTGTGTATGTGTTAAGGCTGCCCATTACAAAGATTAACCTATTTGTTAATGCAAACCCAGTTTAATAAATGCAAATCAAGGGGAAACATACAATCCTCCTAAGAATTGGGGTTATGTTACATAATCCAACAGAGCAAGAGATGTTGATAATAAGACAGGTGTTGCCAGGCAAAATGAGAGCAGAGAGGTTCTTGACAGTTTGGGAAGTACCAAAAAACGGTCCAGGTTCAGTGGCAGCTGTGAGGACACTGCAGCTTGTTACCTCCCATCAGAGCCCACTGTTTCCTGTACTTGATACTGAAGATAAGCATTATCCCAATGTGTGGAGAAAACCTCTTTCTGAAACGTAAGTTCTTTGGTAATCGAACATTATCATGAATAAGAACACTTACAGTATACTTCTTAAAAATGAAATCATTTGTAGGTAGCAGCAGTTCAGGAGGCGCCATGTCAATGATAACGCTACTTACTTAACATTTAGATAGTGCTGTATGTGTCCTCTACAGGAGGCCCCAAGTGAGAAATGTCTTTAAAAACATAGTGATGTTTCGTGTCACTTGAGGAGAGGGTATTATTTTTCCTTCTAATGATGTGAATTTAATATATTACCAATTATTATTTCTTTATTTCCCCTTTGGCCATCAGAAAGCTTACTTATGGTTTGACTACAGTAAGTCTATAAGGCCTTATGATCTGCTTATCCATGATTCTTTATACCCCTCTGGTTTTGACTATCTGCTCTTATTAATATTTTTTACTGATTTTTAAAATTTCTATAAAAATATGTTACTATTATATGTGGTGGTTTAAGCTGCCTCCAATCATCCATAAAATGAGATGGGTTTAGCTTAATTAAGTTGGGTCATTTTCATAAACCCAATTTCCCTTGATTATCATAAATAACATCCTGGAGAGGCAGACGTTATTATCATTTACATTTTATAGAGAGGGAAACTGAGACCCAAAGGTGTAAACACCTTGCCCAAGACCCAAATATCACAGAATTTTCACTGTTCTATGTTATGCTATCCTATTTCTCTAATAAAAAAGTAACTTTAATTGCTATAATATCTTCAGGTAAGGGTTATTACTGATTTAACAATGATGAACTTTGTTTTAAAGTGTCACATGAATGAGATAAAATAAAATACATTTAAATTGGAAAGGATTTAGGCTAGTAGGAAATTTTTACCAATAACAGTATATGTGATTGTAGAATATTAGGCAGTTAGAAGAAGACAGAGAATTTTATTTGATGAATTTTATAATTGTGTCTTTTCTTCTTTTAAAGAAAAAGGTATACAAGAAGGACAAAATTTAGATAAAAGTTTTCTTGAAGGTAGGAGAATGAATTATTTGACCTACACAAGATGAAAATGCTTTTTAAAAATCAGCCACCACCAGACATTACTGACTATTCATTATAGCCCACCAGTGTAAGGAGATGGGCTTTGATCTCCTTTCTAAGGTCACCAGGCTGGCTCTAATCCCAGTGCTTTGGGCACCCCTGCTGTGCTCCATCCTGCAGTTAGGTGTGTTTCCTGGACAATGGAGTCTGTGGAAACTGCCTGGCCTTGGAACACATGTGACAAAAAACCTCAAAGTACATGAGAGCCAGGATCATCACCAACTTAATTTCCCAGCCTTTTCCACAGAGCACAGGCTCCTTTCTTTTTCACATCTGTGTGTGCCAGGAAAGCAGTGTCTTGCCCAGGAAAACTCACCAGTTGTGCCTCATTGATGGTGTTATTGGAAAAACAAGCATGAAATAAAAGAGAGGGATTCCCTTAGAATACAAATACGCTCATAACACAATTCATTAAGCAATATCACTTATTTATGATATTCTCCTATTATATCTATGTCTGCCTACTTCTAATTTCAGCAAAAAGGTGTAAAATTTCCCTACATTTTCTTATTTGTGACAAGTACTGAGTTTAAAATGGTAGTGCAAAACTGACATTGATAGATTCTACTTTGACGTTAGGTTCAAATTCAGTTTGGAGAATGCATTTCCCCTACTTGAGGTGATATGGTTTGGCTGTGTTCCACTCAAACCTCATCTTGAATTCTAACTCCCACAATTCCCATGTGTTGTGGGAGGAACCTGGTGGGAGGTAGTTGAATTATGGGGATGGGTCTTTCCCATGCTGTTCTTGTGACAGTGAATGGGTCTCACTAGATCTGATGGTTTTAAAAACAGTTTCCCTGCACAAGCTCTCTCTTTGACTGCCACCATCCATGTAAGATGTGACTTGCTCTTCCTTGCCTCCTGCCCTGATTGTGACGCCTCCCCAGCCATGTGGAACTGTAAGTCCATTAAACCTTTTTCCTGTATAAATTACCCAGTCTTGGGTATGTCTTCATCAGCATTATGAAAATGAACTAATATATGAGGGAAGAACTCATTGTTCTAAACAATTACCCCAAAGGATTTTCAGGTCTCTGTAGATAATTGTTGCTCAATTAAGTCAAAGGATGGATCACCTAGACAGTTTTTTGGGCCTTAGACCTGATAAATGAGAAGCTATCCAGGAGAAATAAGTCAATTTGTTGTTTGTGCAACATGCATTGGACATACTTTGTGTAAATTTCACTGAGTTGGCTAGCTAGCAAGTTGCTGGGTAGGGATTTGAACTATGAAGTGCCTCATTCCAAGAGCCATCATATACTTTGTAAAGTTTCCAGACTTCCTGCTGCCATAGAGAGGCTTGCAAGTACATGCTAGTTCTAAGCATTCATATGCTAGAAGTTATCAACACCCTGAATTCCCTTGTATTTTATTGTAATCTCATTTGTTTTATCAGCAGAGGAAGCTCCGTTTAGAAATAGCTCCTTGGTCACATGCTGGACAAACATGGAACAGCCTATGGAACAGAACAATCATATCTCTATATAATGTGCATTGGTTTCTTTGACTTGCCTGGTGTTGTGAGGAGGGGTCCTCCTTCAGATTTTCATCCAGGTCCACGCCAACTCTGTTAAACAAAACCAAAAACTGGTCAATCCCCTGCTGCAGAAGGAATGAGACAGTCTTGTGTGTCAGATGACCTAACCCAAACACAATGTGAATCTGAGAAAAGATTTGGCAGAAAACTATCCTACGTCTTCTTGAATCAAAAGAACCTCAGATTTATACCAAAATAAGAACTTGAACAGCTGGGCCTCAGGATGCTGGAGAAATTAAGCATCAACAGCAGCTCTTCACTACTGTCGTTCCTGGCAAGGTAAGCATCCCTGAGAACCTAGGACAGCAGCCATCAGGAAAAAGACCTCCATAGCCCCAAAAACACACATTCTGGAAAGAAGGTGACCTGGTACCTCTGCAACCAACCATTGACCAAAATGCCCTGGGAATTTGTGTGCCCAGCCTGGAGCAGGGTTTCTTGAGGCAGAGTAAACAGAACGTTTTTCTAGAGACTCCCCATAGGGAGGATTCAGACTGTGGAGCCTGAGGCATATACAATTTGGGGGCTCTCTCTTTAAGGAAAATAATACAAAAATATAAACACAAAATTGGGAGTGAAAGTGACTCTTCAGAAGGATAAGTTACAAAAAAAATTACATATGTTTTTAAAGCTGGCAAATGCAATAGACCTCTCAAAGCCCAGGAAAAATACAAAACATTTTAATTAATTAGCTGTCTGACACACTGCTAAAATAACTTTCTTCCGGAATTTTTGCCTACTGACTTTGCTACTCTCTTTATATGATAATGATTTTGTATTAGAGAATAAAAAGATAAGGCAGTCTTTCCTCTAGCAAGACTGATCAAAATTGTTGATAGTTGGAAGGCATTAAAGCACTCTTTCTCACACACAGACACGCTTGCTATGTGCCTCACTGCTACAGGGTAATGCCCTGCAAATGCAAGATTTCTGATAATTTTTATTTTATGCAATTCCCATAAGCAATGCACAGTGTACTTATCAGTGTACATGCTTTGCCATTGAATATATTCCTGAATTTCCATTTTGATGAGGCATCAATGAAAACTGCATTTTATACATCTCATGATTAGAAGAATTTTCAACAGAGTCCCCAGTCTGGCTCAGTCCATCTCAAACCTTGTTTTTCCTCCACTACCCACAGACTTCTGATGCCAGGCACCATAGGACACGTTTATATTTAATTCAGCCTTGTGCATTATTCCTGTAAGCTGTTCCTACTCCGGGGTGGACAGCAGTGGCTTAGCCATGCACAGAAGTGACTGCAGCCCACACAAATGTATCGCATTCAATCTAAACTAAATGTACTCTCAATTCAGCTTCCCCTTAGTTGGATCCCCCAAATGCCCACAGCTATTCCAATACCATTTGATCAGAGAAGTATGAGGAAAAGGAAGCTGTAGTGGAAAGAAACAGCAGTTGAACCCAACTGTGTTGAAACTATGTATTTTTTTGCAAATCTTACAAAAATATAAGACCATGGGAACACAGTACTGGGGATCTTCCCAGGGCCTTGGAGGGCCAGACCAAGTGAGGGGCCCTGAAACTCAAACTTCCTCTGTTTCCAGAGAGAGTCCCTCTGCCTGCTTCAGCTGGAGTGGGGCAGGGTGGGAGTGCTGGGGAGAGGTCTGGCCCAAGCTCCACCAGAGCCCTTCCTGTGAATCCACATTTGCTAGACATTTAGGGACTTTTCTTCAACTCTTGTTCCTCATAAACACCTCCCTAATTATCTCCCAGTCCTGCTGTTGGGGTGGGGGAAGCAAGGCCATGTGAGAAGCCTCCAGTCAAGCAAATGTGTAACTCCTTATAAGGAGAACAGTAACGGTAAAGTCCCGCCTGTTTAAAATACCTCTGATTCTTCACAGGTAAGTGTCTTCTGGACATGAATAGCCCCATCTCTCTAACCAAGGGAACAAATTAATAGCTATTTATTTTGTGCTGAATTTTTTGCCTTTAGGTTACTGGGAAGAGCCTCTGGAGGGGAGGAACCTTTGATTCTTGGGGTAGAAAAACTAGCTATTTGATTGATGTCATCTGAGGAGGAACAAGAAGGGGAAGGGGAGGAGAGGGAAAGGATGTCAGTGAGGAGAAAGGAGAGGGGAAGGGATGAGGGGAGAACAGCAGTGTAGAGAGGGGTGGGGGTGGCCTGCCTCCGACAGTGGGACCCAGGTGTGGAGGCTCCCAGCCCCCTTCTCTTATGGGGCCAGGCCACTCTCACAGCTGTGTGGTGGATCAGAGCCCTCCAGCAGGTGCTGGCTGTTCCCTAGAGGCTTCATTGCTGGATAAACCCAGATCTCAGGGATGAAGCTGCTGGGCACCCAGGTTGGCCGTGAACTGAACTGAGGATCATGGGGCTCCCACCACTGTATCTGCTTAGGGCCTTTTTCTAGGTCTCTGTCTAGAAACCTGGAGAGGACAGAAATAGAATTTTATAAGAAGCCCAACATTTAACGTTTGAGGCAGCACTGAGGCCTTTCACTAAAGTGGAATCTTTTCTTTGCAGCAGCAATCAGAGCAGACATTCCTGCACAACTAGATGGGGCAGAGGAAGTGATGAAATTCTTTCATTTGATGGGGACTCAGTGGAAGGCATCTCAGAGACCTGACTGGGAAGAAGACTGTACCTCCTCCCACATCTCATCTCAGGGCAGGTCCAGAGCAGGACAAACGCCACAAGTGGCTTGAGGAAAGAGAACCTCCATGAAAGGTGTTTCCCTCCTGGGGAAGCCAGGGTGAACACGGTCCTTGCCCACACAGGGCATACGATTCGGGAGGTTCAATGAGGATAATATAAAAAATGTACCACAGCTTAAGGGCCATGAAGGAAACAATGCCTTCTTTCACTTGTGATATTAGCTGCTTTTGAGGAAAATCTGGCTAATATATGTTTCTTGGCTACCTGCCTCCTTAAATAGTGTGTAAGGGGGATATTCTAATCTTAACTGGAGGACTCAGCATTGCAACTGGTCCCATAAAGTCTGACACTTGCTTCTTTATAATGATTTCCAAGAGGTGTATGAACCTTTTTATGATCACGTTAAATGGTCCCTGACTACTGTCTTTTTTTTTCAAATTATTGTATCTGCCAGTTAGATTGCCTTTATTTTTCCTGACTGTAACAATATGTTGACATATTGTCCCTATGACCCCCACCCCTTTAATTTACTGTAGGACTAACCCTGACAGTCAAATTTATTTTTATTTTCATTTTCTATCTATCTATCTAATTTAAATATTATAGAAAGGCTTACAATCACACACAATTGTTCTCATAATACCCTTGCACCCCTTCAGACCAACTCCCATTGCCTTGGAGGGCAATTTTCTGCCTTTTCTCAATTGTGATATATAAGCTGACATAGACATGCATGGCACCTTCACACAGCATCCCAAGGGGTATGCAAACATGCCAACTACATCTGTATCTCTTACTCTCCTCTTCAAGAAAGCAAGTCAGAATATGGAACTGACATTATTTTAGGGCTAACCATGTATCCATTCACTTTAAACAAATTTTTACAGCTCTTTTTAATGCATGAGCATCCACTTTTGTGCACAAAAGATCATTTATACGTAATGAGTTTTTGAGAGATTAGAAAGAAGACATAATATTGTCCCAGTTTGTGGTGTTACATGTATATAGCAGCCCCCCAGGTGAGATCACAGTATGAAGTCCAACCTCCTTAGGTGACATCCAAGGGTCTTTAGCACCTCTCCCTCAATGTTAAGCTAGCCACCCTTTCTGCTCACCTGATCTGGACAGTGTCCTGGGTCCGGTAACTGGACTTGTCCTTGTTTCTGAGCCCCAGCACCAAATACAGTCCCTGAGCTCTGGCCATACAATAATCTGCCAGTTTCTCTCCCATGGACTGGACCCCCTCCCTCCAAACTCCAGGCTGGTATTTTGGGCCACGCTGGCTACCACTGAACTTGTGCGATACCCTGCCTTCTTTCCTGAACTCCAAGCACTGTCCTCCCTTCTGTCTGATCACCACCTTGTCCCATCCACCACGATGCCCTTCCTAGGTCTCAGATCTCCCATCACTAGAAGTTACTGAGACTTGGAGTGAAGTAGCTGTACTCCTCCTACTCTGCTCTCTGCTCCCAAATAGAATCCCTTCTGGGCACTGGAGATCACCTTGCTCTGTCTTTGGCGACCCTGGCTCACCCTTTGCTCACCTGTCTGTTTATACCCAGGCATGCAGGGCAAGCTCTACAGTATACATCGGCCCTAGCTGGAATCTGATGACTTCATGATTACCCTGTAGTTGTTCAAGGGTCAGTGAAACCCAGATGTCAAGAGAGTTGTTTGGAGCCAGACTACCTGGGTTGAAAAATGTGGCTCTGCCTCTCACTTGCTCTGTGACCTGTGTCACTCACTCTGTCTCCATCTTGGTTTCCTCACCAATACAATGGGGATAATTAGAGAACTCATTTCACAGGGTTGTGGTGAGGATTAAGTAAGAAAATAGCTTAGGACCTGTTATATAGTAAGTTTTTAAGAATGTTAGCAGCTATTATTGATATTATTATTTTTCAGTACTTATCAGTGGGGCCAGAGCTCAGTTACTGATTACTTTCAGAGATAAGCCCTCCTAGTCCTTGTTTCTGCACTGGACAACCTTTGAATATATAGCAACCACCACAATTGAGCCACAAGGAGCAGCCAGTGTACAGCAAGGATTTCTGGTCTCATAGCAAAACATTATTTCTGTTTAAAGAGGGCCAAGTTTCCCAGGTTTTGATTTTTTTAAAATTTATTTCTTTTATTTTTGAGACACAGTCTCATTCTGTCACCCAGGCTGGAGTATAGCGGTATGTTCTTGGTTCACTGCAACCTCCACCTCCTGGGTTCAAGTGATTCTTTTGCCTTAGCCCCCTGAGTAGCTGGGATTATAGGCGTACGCCACCACACCCAGCTGATTTTTGTATTTTCAGTAGAGATGGGGTTTTGTCATATTGCCCAGGCTGTTTTCAAACTCCTGGGCTCAAGTGATCCATCCACCTAGGCTTCCCAAAGTGCTGGGATTACAGGTGTGAGCCACTGTGCCTCGCCTGGTTTGGAATTATTTATAATTTATTGGTAGACTAGTTAGGGTAATAAGGCAACAAAGAAGGAAAAGAAGGTGTCTGAAGAGCAAGGAGAAACAAGGAAGAGGGAAGAGCTGAGCAGAAAGCAAGAAAAGAAAAGGAAGGTGAAAAGGAAAGATAGAGAAAGAAATACATTACTATAAAGAATAGGTGCCCATCGTGGATAAATAACTGTAAAGGTGCATGCAGCCTTAGAAAAGGTAAGCCGAGGGTGGAGGGAAAATATAGAAAATATAGAGAAATAAATATAGAAAAAATATAGGGAAATTAAGAACCAGTAAAGAATTAGAAAGCAACTAAAAAAGGCTGGTTAAAATTTTATATGATGTTTTGCATTCCTGATGTACCTTTTAATTTTAAGCAAGTTGAGTGCTGCCTCTATGGTATTCAAATGGAAATGAAGGCAAGCATTGCACATATTCCCAGCTGTGCCCTCGTACATCTCACTCCGGGTTCCTCATTTACAATGAGCATCAAGCTCAATTTTCAGAGCAAAACACATCTCTTGTGCACCATAATGCACCCTCCCTTCCTATTGCACTTCCACTCTTTGGTGAGTTTTATTAGACATATTAAAATCTCAGGATGCTCTTATACCCAACCATAGTTAAAAAAAAAAAAATGACCCAAAGTTGGGTTTTTCTTAGAGGGAAAGCAAGGTAACTAACAAAAGCCTCACTTTTCCGCTAAAGCCAACAACTTCCATTCTGATTCTTACCACTTAGCACCTCCAAAAAGGCACTGAAATACTACTAGGGCTTAGTTTCATTGTGTGAATTCCAATAGTCTTAGGTGCAGTTTTGATTCTTTTGAGCCCCCTGGTGACAGGGGCTGGGTGGTGGGGGAAGATACATTATTTCCTCTAAGACCTGCTTTTGATGGCAAAGTGTAAAAAAATGACATTTTCAGTAAGGGAAGAGTGGCTGGAGATTGAGCACATAAATACAGCTTGACAATGGAGGAGTCTGAAAGATACCCACTAAGGTTTGGGGACTATTGTGTAGCCATGAGAATATCACTTGGGGGCCAACATCTGCTACTGAACCCTGTATTATTTGACTAAATAATCCTGGAGTTTGTGTAAGACCAACATTAATACAATTAATAATTCAAATATTTTAATTTTGTTTTGGGAAATAAGAAAATGAACTAAAGTAAGTGAAAAAACTCAGTTCATTTTGTTATTTAAGTGTGGCACAGTAGTTAAGAATTTAGATCCTGGAATCGGGTTGCATGGATTCAAATTTCACTTCCATTATTTGCTACTTCTATAACTTTGAGACAAATTAGTTAACCTTTGCAAATCTCAGTTTTCCCAACTATAAGAGGGGATAAGCATATATATATTTCATGAGCTATTATAAGGATGAAATGAGTTAATAAAATACATAAAATATTGGCTGCCATCTAGGAAGCACTCATGAAATATTAGTTGATGCTCTCCTTGTTAGTGCTGTTATTATAAGAGAAATGTGTGCACCCTACATTGAGTCATAGATACAATATAGGTTAAAGACAAGAGCGGCTTTTCCATAAATGACAGATGCTAGGATATAAAGGTCAATGATAGGATTCCTGCCATCAATGACCCAAGATCTAATGGGAAAAACAAATCGGAAGCAAAGAACCACAGTATGGTGTGATAAGCATTGAACATTAATTATTTGAACACACCAACAAAGAGCCTGATCAAGATGAGCTATGGAGCAATTAGGTACGTTTCACAGAGGAGATGGACACTGAAAAGTGAGAATGAGTTTAATGGTAAGAGAAAAGGTTGGGGAGGGGACTCCAGGCACGGCATGGGCAAAGGCATAGGGGAACAAAGTAGGTTGGAACATCATAAATAGCTCTGTGTGGCTAGACTGTGAGGGTCATGAACACAGAGGTGGACAGAGTTGCTTTGGATGACACCAGAAAGTAAATTAAGGCCAAATTATGAAGAATCTTGAGTGCTATGCTTATGCTTTTGTTTCTCTGTAGGCAGTAGGGGGTGAAATAATTACATTTATGTTTTAGAAAGATCACTGGAGGTATACATTGTGATATTAAGAAACTGGTGGTTGTCTTCAGGTTGGGAGAGAAAAGAAAAAAAAAGAAACTGGAGGCATGGAGGTCATTTAGTAGTCTACTGTAATGGTCCAACCAAGAGTTCATTAGGGTCTAACTAAGTTAGCAGTGGTGGAAAAGAAGAGAGAGATTTCAGAGATATATACATGAAGCGGTGGTGAGGGCCATTGTGCAGGACAGGCTCACTGTGGGAAGAAGTGGAAAGTATTGAGGTGTTTGAGTTTCTACTCCAGACACTTGAATGGTTTGCCCTACCATTAGCCATATTAAAGAAGGAGAAGCATGTGCCTGGGAATTTCCCCCAAGGGACATCCTGTTAAAAGATAAAACCGAAACTCAGGGTCAGTAAGATCAGATCTGAGCACTTCTATTGTGAGAGAAGCAAAGTCAGCTCTCTACATTGTTATCAACTCAAGAAAAATAGCAACCCCCTCAGAGTTTTGTCTAGTTGCTTGTCTGAAGTGGAGATTCTGACCAAAAGGTAAAGTCTAAGAATAAGGAAGGGATAATGAGTTCTTCAAGGTCAAGATCAATGGACTGGGAATATTCATGGAAGCTGGAGAAGGGTGTGGCATGTCAAGTATGTAAAGACAGTTTGGACGTCTTATTTAAGAAGGGTTAGAGGGAGAAGGAAGAAAGGGGGGTTCTATAATTTGGGGACATGAAGTATGTAATATGATTGTAAGCCCCTCCATGGGAGATGCAGATGCAGAGCTGGGATGCTGCTGAGAGCAGTGGTGCCCCTCTGGGTTTCCACCACTGCATGGACACACTGTCATTGACAGGTACTCATATGCTTTGCTAGGTCCATTTTTCTACCCCTGGGACTTGTCTCATTACCAAATTGAAAACAGCTGGGTCAAGGATTCATGCAACATTCCTGTCCTGGTATTCCAAGGTTGCCCATATGCCATTTACTTTTCTCCTAGACATTATGGAGGTGGGATGGATTTCATGAAACTCTATTGGGCTGATCAGACTAAAGAAGGGTCTGGTCTATCTTTAACTCTTTGCTGACACAGTTGACTGAAATTACTAGGTAACAGCTAAGAAGAGGCACAGAGCATGAACATTAGGAGTTAGACATTCTGAACGGCTGTTCCTATCACTTACTTGTGTGACTATGGGCAGGAAACTGTACCTCGGTTTCCTTTTCCACAAAACGGAGATAGGAATGGTAAATATGTCATAGGCTGTTGTGGGATAATACATGTAAGGGGTGAATTGTTCCAAGATGGCCAAATAAGAACAGCTCCAGTCTACAGCTCCCAGCATGAGCAACGCAGAAGACAAGTGATTTCTGCGTTTCCAACTGAGGTACCAGGTTCATCTCACTGGGGCTTGTCGGACAGGGGGTGCAGGACAGTGGGTGCAGCACACCGAGTGTGAGCCGAAGCAGGGCGAGGCGTCGCCTCACCCGGGAAGTGCAAGGGGTCAGAGAATTCCATTTCCTAGTCAAGGGAAGCTGTGACAGACAGCACCTGGAAAATTGGGTCACTCCCACCCTAATACCACACTTTTCCAATGGTCTTAGCAAATGGCACACCAGGAGATTATATCCTGGGCCTGGCTCAGAGGGTCCCACACCCACAGAGCCTCACTCATTGCTAGCACAGCAGGCTGAGATTGAACTGCAAGGCAGCAGCAAGGCTGGGGGAGGGGTGCCCACCATTGCTGAGGCTTGAGTAGGTAAACAAAGCGGCTGGGAAGCTTGAACTAGGTGGAGCCCACCGCAGCTCAAGGAGGCCTGCCTGCCTCTGTAGACTCCACCTCCGGGGGCAGGGCATAGCCAAACAAAAGGCAGCAGAATCCTCTGCAGACTTAAATGTCCCTGTCTGACAGCTTTGAAGAGAGTAGTGGTTCTCCCAACATGGAGTTTGAGATCTGAGAACAGACAGATATGCCTCCTCAAGTGGGTCCCTGACCCCTGAGTAGCCTAACTGGGAGGCACCCTCCAGTAGGGGCAGACAGACACCTCACATGGCTGGGTACCCCTCTGAGATGAAGCTTCCAGAGGAACGATCAGGCAGCAACATTTGCTGTTCAGCAATATTTGCTGTTCTGCAGCCTCCGCTGCTGATACCCAGGCAAACAGAGTCTGCAGTGGACCTCCAGCAAACTCCAACAGACCTGCAGCTGAGGGTCCTGACTGTTAGAAGGAAAACTAAAAAACAAAAAGGACATCCACACCAAAACCCCATCTGTACGTCACCATCATCAAACACCAAAGGTAGACAAAACCACAAAGATGGGGAAAAAACAGAGCAGAAATTCTGAAAATTCTAAAAATCAGAGCGCCTCTCCCCCTCCAAAGGAACACAGCTCCTTGCCAGCAATGGAACAAAGCTGGATGGAAAATGACTTTGACGAGTTGAGAGAAGAAGGCTTCAAACGATCAAACTTCTCCGAGCTAAAGGAGGAAGTTTGACCCCCTGGCAAAGAAGCTAAAAACTTTGAAAAAAGATTAGACGAATGGCTAACTAGAATAACCAGTGTAGAGAAGTCCTTAAATGACCTGATGGAGCTGAAAACCATGGCACGAGAACTATGGGACGAATGCACAAGCTTCAGTAGCCGATTTGATCAACTGGAAGAAAAGGTATCAGTGATTGAAGATCAGATGAATGAAATGAAGCAAGAAGAGAAGTTTAGAGAAAAAAGAGTAAAAAGAAATGAACAAAGCCTCCAAGAAATATGGGACTGTGTGAAAAGACCAAATCTACATCTGATTGGTGTACCTGAAAGTGATGGGGAGAATGGAATCAAGTTGGAAAACACTCTGCAGGATATTATCCAGGAGAACTTCCCCAATCTAGCAAGGCAGGCCAATATTCAAATTCAGGAAACACAGAGAACGCCACAAACATACTCCTTGAGAAGAGCAACTCCAAGACACATAATTGTCATATTCACCAAAGTTGAAATGAAGGAAGAAATGTTAAGGGCAGCCAGAGAGAAAGGTCGGGTTACCCACAAAGGGAAGCCCATCAGACTAACAGCTGATGTTTCAGCAGAAACTCTACAAGCCAGAAGACAGTGGGGCCAATATTCAACATTCTTAAAGAAAAGAATTTTCAACCCAGAATTTCATATCCAGCCAAACTAAGCTTCATAAGTGAAGGAGAAATAAAATCGTTTACAGACAAGCAAAGACTGAGAGATTTTGTCACTGCCAGGCTTGCCCTACAAGAGCTCCTGAAGGAAGCACTAAACATGGAAAGGAACAACTGGTACCAGCCACTGCAAAAACATGCCAAATTGTAAAGACCATCGAGGCTAGGAAGAAACTGCATCAACTAACAAGCAAAATAACCAGCTAACATCATAATGACAGGATCAAATTCACACATAACAACATTAACCTTAAATGTAAATGGGCTAAATGCTCCAATTTAAAGACATAGACTGGCAAATTGGATAAAGAGTCAAGACCCATCAGTGTGCTGTATTCAGGAGACCCATCTCACGTGCAGAGACACGCACAGGCTCAAAATAAAGGGATGGAGGAAGATCTACCAAGCAAATGGAAAACAAAAAAGGCAGGGGTTGCAATCCTAGTCTCTGATAAAACAGACTTTAAACCAACAAAGATCAAAAGAGACAAAGAAGGCCATTACATAATGGTAAAGGGATCAATTCAACAACAAGAGCTAACTATCCTAAATATGCACCCAATACAGGAACACCCAGATTCATAAAGCAAGTCCTTGAGACCTACAAAGAGACTTAGACTCCCACACAATAATAATGGGAGACTTTAACACCCCACTGTCAATATTAGACAGATAAATGAGACAGAAAGTTAACAAGGATATCCAGGAATTGAACTCAGCTCTGCACCAAGCAGACCTAATAGACATCTACAGAACTCTCCACCTCAAAATCAACAGAATATACATTCTTCTCTGCACCACACCACACCTATTCCAAAATTGACCACATAGTTGGAAGTAAAGCACTCCTCAGCAAATGTAAAAGAACAGAAATTATAACAAACTGTCTATCAGTTTGACCACAGTGCAATCAAACTAGAACTCAGGATTAAGAAACTCACTCAAAACCACTCAACTACATGCAAACTGAACAGCCTGCTCCTGAATGACTACTGGGTACGTAAGGAAATGAAGGCAGAAATAAAGATGTTCTTTGAAACCAATGAGAACAAAGACACAACATACCAGAATCTCTGGGACACATTCAAAACAGTGTGTAGAGGGAAACTTATAGCACTAAATGCCTACAAGAAAAAGGAGGAAAGATCTAAAACTGACACCCTAACATCACAATTAAAAGAACTAGAGAAGCAAGAGCAAACACATTCAAAAGCTAGCAGAAGGCAAGAAATAACTAAGATCAGAGCAGAAATGAAGGAAATAGAGACATAAAAAACCCTTCAAAAAATCAATGAATACAGGAGCTGGTTTTTTGAAAAGATCAACAAAATTGATAGACCGCTAGCAAGACTAATAAAGAAGAAAAGAGAGAAGAATCAAATAGACGCAATAAAAAATGATAAAGAGGATATCACCACCGATCCCACAGAAATACAAACTACCATCAGAGAATACTATAAACATCTCTATGCAAATAAACTAGAAAATCTAGAAGAAATGGATAAATTCCTTGACACATACACCCTCCCAAGACTAAACCAGGAAGAAGTTGAATCTCTGAATAGACCAATATGAGGCTCTGAAATTGAGGCAATAATTAACAGCTTACCAACCAAAAAAAGTCCAGGACCAGATGGATTCACAGCCGAATTCTACCAGAGGTACAAGGAGGAGCTGGTACCATTCCTTCTGAAACTATTCCAATCAATAGAAAAAGAGGGAATCCCCCCTAACTCATTTTATGAGGCCAGCATCATCCTGATACCAAAACCTGGCAGAGACACAACAAAAAAAAGAGAATTTTAGACCAATATCCCTGATGAACATCAATGCAAAAATCCTCAATAAAATACTGGCAAACTGAATCCAGCGGCACATCAAAAAGCTTATCCACCATGATCAAGTGGGCTTCATCCCTGGGATGCAAGGCTGGTTCAACATATGCAAATCAATAAATGTAATCCAGCATATAAACAGAACCAAAGACAAAAACCATATGATTATCCCAATAGAAGCAGAAAAGGCCTTTGACAAAATTCAACAACTCTTCATGCTAAAAACTCTCAATAAATTAGGTATTGATGGGATGTATCTCAAAATAATAAGAGCTATCTATGACAAACCCACAGTCAGTATCATACTGAATGGGCAAAAACTGGAAGCATTCCCTTTGAAAACTGCTACAAGACAGGGATGCCCTCTCTCACCACTCTTATTCAACACAGGTTGGAAGTTCTGGCCAGGGCAATCAGACAGGAGAAGGAAATAAAGGGTATTCAATTAGGAAAAGAGGAAGTCAAATTGTCCCTGTTTGCAGATGACATGATGGTATGTCTACAAAACCCCATCGTCTCAGCCCCAAATCTCCTTAAGCTGATAGGCAACTTCAGCAAAGTCTCAGGATACAAAATCAATGTGCAAAAATCATAAGCATTCCTATACACCAATAACAGACAGAGAGCTAAATCATGAGTGAAATCCCATTCACAATTGCTTCAAAGAGAATAAAATACCTAGGAATCCAACTTACAAGGGATGTGAAGGACCTCTTCAAGGAGAGCTACAAACCACTGCTCAGTGAAATAAAAGAGGATACAAACAAATGGGAGAACATTCCATGCTCATGGATAGGAAGAATCAATACTATGAAAATGGCCATACTGCCCAAGGTAATTTATAGATTCAATGCCATCCCCATCAAGCTACCAATGACTTTCTTCACAGAATTGGAAAAAACTACTTTAAAGTTCATATGGAACCAAAAAAGAGCCCGCATTGCCAAGTCAATCCTAAGCCAAAAGAACAAAGCTGGAGGCATCATGCTACATGACTTCAAACTATACTATAAGGCTACAGTAACCAAAACAGCATGGTACTGGTACCAAAACAGAGATATAGACCAATGGAACAGAACAGAGCCCTCAGAAATAAACCACACATCTATAGCCATCTGATCTTGGACAAACCTGACAAAAACAAGGAATGGGGAAAGGATTCCCTATTTAATAAATGGTGCTGGGAAAACTGGCTAGCCATATGTAGAAAACTGAAACTGGATCCCTTCCTTACACCTTATACAAAAATTAATTCAAGATGGATTAAGGACTTAAATGTTAGACCTAAAACCATAAAAACCCTAGAAGAAAACCTAGGCAATACCATTCAGAACACAGGCATGGGCAAGGACTTCATGTCTAAAACACCAAAAGCAATGGCAACAAAAGCCAAAATAGACAAATGGGATCTAATTAAATTAAAGAGCTTCTGCACAGCAAACGAAATTACCATCAGAGTGAACAGGCAACCTACAGAATGGGAGAAAATTTTTGCAATCTAGTCATCTGACGAAGGGCTAATATCCAGAATCTACAAAGAACTCAAACAAATTTACAAGAAAAAAACAAACAACCCCATCAAAAAGTGGGCAAAGGATATGAACAGACACTTCTCAAAAGAACACATTTATGCAGCCAACAGACATATGAAAAAATGCTCATCATCACTGGCCATCAGAGAAATGCAAATCAAAACCACAATGAGATACCATCTCACACCAGTTAGAATGGCGATCATTAAAAAGTCAGGAAACAACAAGTGCTGGAGAGGATGTGGAAAAATAGGAACACTTTTACACTGTTGGTGGGACTGTAAGCTAGTTCAACCGTTGTGGAAGTCAGTGTGGCGATTCCTCAGGGATCTAGAACTAGAAATACCATTTGACCCAGCAATCCCATTACTGGGTATATACCCAAAGGATTATAAATCATGCTACTATAAAGACACATGCACACGTATGTTTATTGCAGCACTATTCACAATAGGAAAGACTTGGAACCAACCCAAATGTTCAATAATGATAGACTGGATTAAGAAAATGTGGCACATATACACCATGGAATACTATGCAGCCATAAAAAATGATGAGTTCCTGTCCTTTGTAGGGACATGGATGAAGCTGGAAACCATTCTCAGCAAACTATCGCAAGGATAAAAAACCAAACACCGCATGTTCTCACTCATAGGTGGGAATTGAACCATGAGAACACATGGACACAGGAAGCGGAACATCACACACAGCCTGTTGTGGGTTGGGGGGCTGGGGAAGGGATAGCATTAGGAGATATACCTAATGTAAATGATGAGTTAATGGGTGCAGCACACCAACGTGGCACATGTATACATATGTAACAAACCTGCACGTTGTGTACATGTACCCTAGACCTTAAAGTATAATAATAAAAAAAATTCATGTAAGGGGCTTGGCACAGGATCTAGCCCCTAGAAAATGCTTAGAAGAAGTAGCTGTTGTTCTTGTTGTGGTAGTGGTATTAATAGATATTGTTGTCTTTGCTACTCAGGCCTCCTGAATAAAAGATTTAACTGTGAAGATTTCCAGCAAAAGAGTTATGTTTTACCTTACCTCACCTGTGATTTTTCTTGTGATTTCTGATTCCAGTGGAGGCTTGTTTATGATGGAGGTTTTGGACTTAAGAGTGGGGATGTTCTGGCTGCAGAGATAAAATGTGTGGCTGGTGTTTACATGTATCTGACAATTTAGATATACATTTTGGAGTGTATAAGTATGCTGAAAACATTATGTTCTTTGAAAAATAAACAAGAATAAGCAAGTACCTGTTCCAGACACAAATGCAGATCTACATCCTGTACTTTATGTTTGGCACAACTTCCCTTGAGTTTGAAGTACTTAGCTCTGCCAAGATGTAAGCTAATTTCAGGCTACGGATAAGAGTCCATTAGAAACTAGATTGAAAATGAATACACAGACTGATTTCTTTTGACCTAAGCTGCAAGCATACTGACATCCTTTGGTAGGAAGACAGATGTAATAGCTTATCAAGGCATCTGGCCTTTCTTCCCTAAGGCTTCACTCTGGGTGCCCTGCCTGGGCAATTAGGGATTTATCAGAGTCAAATGCACATCCCCAGAAAAGCTATCCTTTCAAGTGGATTCGCTTTTTAAAATTCTAGTGTTACTGGGTGGGGAGTCTTCTCAATGTCAGACTGAACAAGTTACATGGGAAAAAAGAGGGACATTTTATCACGGAATATGAAGTAGTTGTAGGAGCTTTATATGTTGGTATGAAACCATAAATGGTTGAAAAACAAATCCCAGACTCTCAGGGGTCTGAGCGAGAAGTGGAAAACCTAAAACCTGAAAACCATTGTGGTTATTTCACAGTTAAATAAACAGAATGATATGATGCCAGAAGTGCATCTCCTTCCCTCACTTTTCAGTGTCCCAAGCTACGAGGAACTCTAGGCAGAATTGTGGCCTAATCCCAGCTTGCCATTAAAGACCATGCTTGGTGTGCACCATGGGTCAGCAGTGAGATCTCAGGGTGAGTCTCCACATTGCTGCTCTTTGATGTGCTCAGGCTTCAGTGGGAAACCTGGAAGGGAAGGAGCCTTAATGGGAATGCATTCTCTTGATGCAAGGAGCATATTCTCCCCATGAACATCATTTACAAAATCACAAGTATACTTTGACAATAAGGGGGGAATGCATAGAACATATATTTAATATATTTAAAGAACTGTAAAACTCCTCTATGCAATAATCCAGAAGAACATTTAACCCAGCCAAAGCAAATATTTTTGTGGAGTGATATCTTGGAAAGAATCCTTAGAAGGCAACAACAAAGTTTTGCAAAATTGATGGATAGGTACCTACAACACAATTCATTCAAAACATGAAATTCTAATGGTTGATTCTGAACTTCCCCCCCGCCACCACCTTACCACCACATTGGCTTTGACTATTCATAGGGAAAGATGGTTTCTAAGATGTTTTGAGAAGGCTTCCTCCCAAGACATGAATTTCCCTAACTGCCAATGCCTAGACTTCCTTAGCACAGGATAAAGCTCTTCATTCCTTGTTGAGGATTAGGCCTTACAAGGCAAGGACTTGGGAGAGGTAATATTTGAGCTTGTATTCACACAAGATACAAGTGAATCAGACTTATTCCTGAGAGCAGAAAGAGATGGGAACAAAAGCCTAAGGCCAACAAAGGTATCTCCACCATGAAGCGTGGAAGGCAGGCAGCGGGTGAAAAGGGAGTTGGAGACACAAAATTATCATAGTAACAGCCAATATGTAGAATCTACACTAGGTAATATTCATGTATTATATAAAACATATGGAGTTTGGGAAGAGGATCTGAAGTTATTGTAACACCATGTATTTTAGTAATTAAAAGCAAAAAGAGATTTATAACCCTTTTCTTTATATTAACCATTAAAAAGCACTTGCAATTGGTTACTTTAATAATTTTGCACCAGTAAATCTGTTGCTTCAGGCTATCTATCACCAACATCCAGCAGACAGTACAGAATTATTAACCATGTGCACTGAAAACATGGAAAAATAGCCAAAGAAGATTGTTTCACCAACACTAATATATCACTAAAATTAAAATTAAAACAGCTTTGGGATATATAACAGTTGCCAAAACTATTGTTTAAGCCCACAATTGGAAGCAGATTTGATCTACAATCTCTACAAATAACTGAAACCTTATTTTCATTTGGAGCAGTTAACACTCTGTAAGACCATATTATATTATAGACCATATTAAGACCAGATGCTATTAATAATAAATTCACAGATTTGTTGTATACACACACACACATACACACACATACATATATATGTACATGCACATATATATCTATATTTCACTTCTATTTTTACTTTTTAAGTGAAAAAACTTCTTCCCTAGTCTCAGAAGAGAATCAAGTCAAAAATACGTCTTAATAATGCATTATCTTGTTTTTTGCTAAAAATGAGTAAATATCTTAATTTTAAAAGGAAAGTTGACAGAAAGACAATGGGTAAGCTAGGAAGCTGCTACTGCATGACACATAAAAAGAGAAGAAAATAATTTTAGTTTCTTGCTGAGACGGATTAAAGTAAATCACTAGAAAAATAATGTTTTTCTCTGGTCAAATCTGTTATTCACCATTGGGCTGAAGTGCATGCTTGCGTGCATGACTATGTTAAAAAGAAATTAAATATTTAAAATTTTAAAAGGGGAAGAATTCATGGTTAACACTAGAATTATATTGAAAACTGCACCTTGATTTTGGAATCAGTGGTTTAAAATCAGGAAAGTGAAAGAAAATTGGCAACAATACTATTGGGAAGAAGTTGTCTTAGAGCAGAAGAGAAAGGCAAAGAGGAAAAGAGTAGCAAGAATATGTTGTAAAACAGGTTCTGAAATTATCATGAAGACTACGGAAAGTGCACAGCATGGAAACAGAATTAGCATCAATTTGGCGGAAAATAACATAATGAAAGTTAATTGGATGCTTGTGGCTAATGTAACACTCAGGCTGTTTTGGCCTATCATTCTAGGAGATCATGATGACAGCTTAAACAACTGTTGTATATGAACTGATATTTTTCCTGACACCACACTATCGACATCCTAAAAGCAGGGCAGGTAGACTATTTCATTCATTCTCTCCTTCACTCACTAACTCACCCACTCATTCATTCATGAAATACCAGTTGAGAATATATCAAGACCATTAGTATATGCTAGATATTGTGGTAGACATGAAAAATTTGTTACACTCATATATATCTTTAAAGTACATACGGTGAGTTTCATCAAACCTAGATGTAGTTCATGATAAGGCATACTATTACTTTATGTACATCTAAGAAGAAAAACGCTGTTAATTATATTTGTGACACCACTGATTATGAGACACATCTTGACTTCAAAAATGCTAAAGTGTGAAAAAACGTGCAGCTGGAATAAATGGATACCCACACAAAATAATAAAAATCCAGGGTTCAATAATAATGTCAAGCCATTATACATACTGGCCTCTGGATATTTCATGTATGGCTAGTATGTTATTTGCTGTCATTGGGGAAAAATTCAAAAGAGTATTTTGAAATCTTTCAAACAAAATATTCTTTTTATGCTTACAAATTAAAAGATAATTCATGCTCTACTACTCAGCCGTAAAAAAGAAAGGAATTAATGGCATCCGCAGGAACCTGGATGGAACTGGAAACTATTATTTTAAGAGAAGTAACTCAGGAATGGAAAACCAAACGTCGTATGTTCTCACTCATAAGTGGGAACTAAGCTATGAGGACAAAAAAGCATATGAATGATACATTGAACATTGGGGAGTCAGGGCAAAGGCTGGCAGGTGGGTGAGGGATAAAGACTCCAAATTGGGTCCAGTGTATACTACTCGGGTGATAGGTGCACCAAAATCTCACAAATCACCACAAAAGAACTTACTCATGTAAGCAAATACCACCTGTTTCCCAAAAACCTATGGAAATAAACAATTAAAAAAACTTTTGACTGAATTTATGCAAAAAAAAAAAAAAAAAAGGTAATTCATTCCCTTTTAAAATTCTGTGTCAAGCAACTTTTAGTCACTGGGTGGAATCAGAGCCAAGACTAGAGTTAGGCAAGGGAGACATCCTGTCTCTCAGGATCGTGCAAGTGCTGAGCATTTGTATGAGCCCGAGAGTGAGTGCTTCCTTAGATTTTGCATCCTAGGTACCTTGTTTGCCTCCCCCAGTCCTGATCGTGGGTGAAGTAACAACTTTGCAATTGTTTTTAATATTTTACCCTTGGATCTTCTGGACTGCTGACTTTTTCATTTTTCCCTCTACATCTACTCTACCCCCTTTTCTCTACATTATCCTGGGCTCTGGAATGCAGACCAATGCAGATGGCATCAATTGGGTTATCGTGCTCTTTGGTCTTGAATAGGTTTAGCCAATAGGAAGTACTGGCAGGATACTGGAAGGAGAGAGGAGAGTGAGACAGGGTATCTATTTCTTCCTTCCTGCCAGGTCACCAGGCTTGTCTGTGTTCTTCTATCAAAGCCTCAGCTCCTTAATCCCTCTCTATCTACCCCACCCAGCTACCCTCTCTGGGTTCTGGTTAATATTCCCATTTGGGTATAGGGTGGTAACTGCTCTCCATTGATTCCAGTCCTGGGGTACTGCACTATTCCTTGTTTTCTAAAACCAGCTCTTATAATAGTTCCTTGCTAAGTTCCTTTAATTTACTCAGCTTGAATGTGCCATTGTTTTTCCTACCTGGCATCAGACTAGTGTAGAAAGCTATTCACATTAGTAAGCATGCAGCAGTAAAAAGGTTTCACTTAAACTGGAAACTAAGTTTTCAGGGACTTGAAATTTCTTAAGAAATCCATAAATATAATAAATCTTAAACATAGCTTTGTTTCCAGCCTTAATGTTAGAATTGTGTCTTTAAATGTTTCTCTAAGGTACCTGAATATTCATGTACAACTCGACATAGACTGTTCCTATTCCTAGGCTGGATCAGGTTTTCACAAGAAATTCACATACAGGTTGTGGCATCTGACAATGGCAGATGTCAGGAGTGCAGATCATATCATAAGATATAGTAGGACCTACACAGGAGGAATGAAAGTGCTCCTGAACAGAATCCACTTATGATGCCTTAAATCAAAATATGCTTTATTAAATGCTCCAACTTAAACCTATGAATTCCATACAGATGTTAAGAGTTCTCAGAAGTCTTTCTAGAAGCTGAAATTCTACCCTAGTGAGGTACATCTCACCATCTCAGATGGAGAAATCTAGATTCTACTGGCCTTCCTGATGATTACCTTGGTGAAACAGTTCATTTTCATGGTGAAAACACCAGTCTCAGAACTGTAAGTGGAAGGAAGCTCAGATGATCGCACCCTACCATGTCATTTTAAAGATAAGAACACTGAGACCCACAAAGATTAGCTAATTTGAGAGAAGTTACACTGGTAATAAGAAACAGAAGAATTAAACAGTTTTTTTAAAAAAATTTAATTTGGCATGCTGCCTACCTCAACGAATAAAAAGGAAGAAATTATAAAAATTTAAAAATCCTTTGGCATGAATAGACTTTTATGAGAAGATTTAAGTGTAGAAATTATTGGAATATACTTATTGCTCGAGATGTCCATATATAACAATGTAAAGTGAACTTGAAATCTGCAAATATTATTGCAGTGTGGTAGAATGTGGCATTTCTCAAACTCTAGCAATTTACTTAGCACCTTTGTGTTTTTTTTTTTTTTTTTTTGTAGAACTGAAAGATACTTTCTTTAATGTTTTTAACTTTTCTGTCAGTTTTTGCTTCATGTATCCTGGGACCTTGTT